>NC_000010.11:104840064-105143095 GCF_000001405.40 Homo sapiens | reverse complement strand
GGATAGATGGATGTACAGGCAAAGAATATACAGCAGCAGGTTGAAGAGAGAATAGGGAGTAAGAAAAGAGATTAGAATTACAGATAACTCTTTTGAGAAGTGTGGCCGTGACACAGCAGTGAAGGATAAATCAGTATTTGGGGAAATGTAAAAACTAAGGAAACAAAAGGTTAATATCATTGTTATTATCATTATAATGAATTTTCTAAGACATATTTCCCTTTCCTCTCTTTTATTATTCAAAACAGAATTAACCATATTCTACTGTCAAATAAAAAATGAACCCAGACTTAGGTAAGAGGAGATTTTATTTGAAACGACTTGCAATACCTGCAAGCACCTTGAAGTGAAGGCAGAAAAGAATGACTTTTATGGGAAAAAGTAAAAAAAAACTAGAAATAACTGGGTGTGAAAAGTAGGGTGTGCAGGTGGCATGATCGAGCAATTGAACAGGAAATTTTCTTTGGGGTCAGCTGATTCTCAGAAGGGCTGTTAAGGGGGGCTGTTCCTCATTGCCATGCTTGCTTCAGCTCCCATTGGTTACACAAGCTCAAGAGTGGGTCAAAGTTCAGGGGCTTGAGGAAAGAGAAAAGCTGGTTTTAAGTTTGAGCAAGTCAAATTAGCAGGCATTTTGTCCAGATTGGCCAGCAGGACAACATTTTAGCAAATCACGTATGAGAAAAAGAATGGGAATCTGGTCTTATAGGTAAACAAGACAGACGTCTGAATCTTGTCAAGTCATATGGAGAGAGGGGGTCTGCAATAAGCCATTTCCCAAACACAAAAGGGTGCAGAATTTCTTAACCTTGGCTCTTTTCCAGGAGCACAAGGCTCAGGCAAAGATCAACATTTTTACTTTCAACCTGAATCCCATACAGAAAGAAACAAAAATATTTTCTCTTGTAGAAACAATTTATTAGAGTAGTAAGTTAAGAATAAATCCAGAATCTAAGAGACAAAAGAGGGTATATCAGGCTCAGCGTGGTAAAGTGAGGGTTTAAGGCAATATTGAGTCCAAGGCCAGTCTGGAATGTGATCCCATTATGAACACTGATCTCCATGTAGGACAGGTTAAGAGCCTCAGTATTATTACCCCCAGACCAAAACCATTCCTTAGATTTGTCGAACACTTTACACTTGACTAACAATGAGCCATTCATTAAATCCTCACAACTCTGTCAAACAATATTAACCCCATTTCACAGATGTGAAGACCTGGGCTCATGGATAAGTAAGTGGTAGAGCTGGAATGAAAGCTCAGGGTCTCTGCTCATAAGCTCACCTGTCTTTTCCCTAGGTTACCTGCTCCCTATCACCTGCCCCATGCCCTCTGCTGCTGTGTGCTTTTCATGCCTGTTGGACTAAGAGCACCAACCTGATGCCCAGGGACTGAGTTATGGAGGGCTCAGCACAAGGCTATGGCTTCTAATAATGCTCCTCATTGTTAATGGCACTCATTTCATTCTCTGCCAAACACTACAAAGCTATGGAGTACCCCAGGAGAGCATATTCTGAGCATGTAAGCTGGGAGCAGAGGTGCGAGGGCAATGATGATAGGGAGCTTTTCATGCCTTTGTTTCTAAGCAAGCCACCTAAAAGCATCCACGGCACTGCATGGAACAGCAAAACTTGCTTAAAAGCCATTTTCATTTTTAAACAATGGAAAGAACCAATCTCCCTCCACCCTCTCTGTCCCCACCTCTTCAGCTTTGACTATGAAAACTTGGGCCAGCACTGGCTAATAAAGGGGATCGATAACCATCCAGCTATTTTCACAGCAGCCCTCATATTAATGAGAAGCTGCTCTGGATGAGGCTCTATAAAAGGGACTAAGCGGATGGCATTCCACCACAATAAATTGCCTCGGGGTTGCTAATCATTAACAGAGTGTTCTAGGGTTGTGATCAATTCAGGGCCTCATTTGTCCCCACCTGCAGCCACACTGTCCAGGGGAGTGAATGGTTGGTTTTCCTGAGAAGGTTAAAAATACATAAAAGATGCACAAATACAGAAACAAAATAATCCCTACCTCAGGGAGATGGCTTGGAAAGTTCCCTAAACTCATTTCCTAGGCTTAGAAACATGGGAGACCTTCTGGTTACTGTAACGGGGCATTCTCCTTTAGAAAGAGCATAACTGTGAATTTCCCCTTTCTAACCTTCTCCAAGCTGGAATATCTCTTTCCTGTTTGGGTTTAGAATATCTGATGGGTACATCCTGCAAACACCATACTATACAATGGTCCCATAAAGCTTATCTCTGATCAGAGAGAGGGTAGATAAAATGAGAAATTGGTTCCCATTGCCCCTGAAGCTACTTAAAATGGTCTCTGCTGACCTTATCAGCCTCTCTGCAACCCAGTCTCTCAAGATGGCTTCCTAGTTTGTTGAATGAACGGTGCTGTCTCTTAAAATCGAGCCTATGCATATATTTTCTATCAGCTTCTCCCCATCTTTGTTTGCAGAATTAACTCCTTTATTTTTCTTGTATCAACTTAAACATCACTTTTTCTAGGAAACTGCCCTCACTACCCATAGTTGACTAAAACCACCTTTTATGTCAAGATGGCCCTTGAACTTCTGTAACACTCTCATACCTATCGTTGCTTATTCAGTATCTTTTTTTTCCAGAACATAACATCCATGAAGACAGGGACCATTTGTGCCTTATTCACTACTCTACTCATAGAGTTTAGTTCACAGAGGAAAAGTTAAATGGAGAAAGAATAGTTGAACGGATGCATAAAAGAGTGAATGAATACACGCATGCATAAATTAATGAATGAATAATAACAACTGGGGGTAGGAAATTATCCACTTTCTCATGCCATAATTCCTCCACCTCTGTACTCATTTAGTCTTTCATAATATGTTCCTTAGTACCAGCTTAGAGACCCAAGTCTTTGCAACATTACACCTGATATGTGTCCAACCTGAGATTTTACTCCTTTGTAGCCTCATTAAGTGATGCAATTATAACCTGTCCATTTTCACACTGAGGTTCTAAGGTCCATCTCCCTCCAGAAGCCAATGTTCACAAGGAATGGGGTCCCCAAAGTAAGTTTTATGATTTTTCAATAGAAGAGTTAAAATGCCAACATTTGATATTAACATTCTATTAATTTACCCCTTTTTAATTACTCATGGTGGCAGGGGGAGTAGAAACATAGGCAATACATTTTTATTTAGCCTTAAAATGTAGAAAGAAGCAATAAAACCACCAGACTTATCTGTGCACTTTTATGCGTCTGTCCTCCTGCTGAGTTTGGCCTTCTATTTGGTGATAAAGCCCTTTGCAAAAGGGAGAGCCCCTCAGAGGAGATTCCAAAGCTAGTGTTCCTTTCATTACTGCCCCTGGGAAATGACCCAAGGTTATACCAGACCTTTGAGTTACAGGAAATCAAAGCTCTTGGCTGGTACCCAGCTGAGACAGAAATACAGAATCCAGGTTGTGCACCACTAAGGGAGGCCAAACGACTTGGTGGTGAGTGAGTCTAAATGCCAGCAGTCCTTCCAAACAGATAAAACCTCCCAGTAGCCCAACAAAGCAGCCTCTCCAACCCTCCCTTTGCCTAGAGGGACCCAGGACCGCTAGTGGTGCATGCAGTACCTTTGGCAACGAGTACTTAGGCAGCTTTATCTGAGCAAAGGCCTCTCTTCGATAAGACACGTAGTAGCTGGCTCTTCCACTAGTTGTTACCTAGATTGTGGGGGAAACACAAAGAGATCAGATGAGGCCACAGATCATGCACAAGTTGGAAAGTATTAGCTCTTCTATCAACAACCACAATGGGTTTGTAATTACCTTTTAGAGAATATTCCTTGCTGGCTTTGGGTCTCTAATCCCATGGCACTCTGAGTTGCTCCCACTGCACAGTGCTTAGATCACAGGTGGGCAATTACAACAATCTTTCCCACTGGCAGATTCTCCCTCAGAACAGAGACTGACTCTATTTGGTCACTGTGCTCTGCACATGGCACATACCTAGTAAGTATTTTCAACTAAAAACAGAGAAGCTACCAATGTGGGCTACACCCATGATCTATTTATTCTTTTTGAATTGTTTATTAATTCATTCCAACCATAACATAATTGTCAAATGTATTTTTCCTGGATCTGAATAATTACTATTGTTCAAAGCTCTCATTATTTTGAAATGTAATCTCACTTCTGATCTAAGCACAGATTTCTTTCCTTCATATTTACAAATCCATGTATTGAGCAGATATTTATTGACTCTTTCCACGTACAAGATACTTAAAAACATCAAAAGTTAGAGGAAGAACTCCAAATTTGAAATTCAGAAGTCCTGGGTTTGAGTCTGAACTCTGTTATCTCTGGCTAGAAGGCTCAGGGACAAGCCCTGTAACCTCACTTGTGAAAGGATAGATTCTTAATGGGAGGAAAGTGGAAACCACGCCAAGAAATGGTCCTCTGGCCAGGGCCTGCTGAAAAGCCCTGCCAACATGGCACGGCTCTGCAGATGGCTGCTCTCTGCCCAATTATCCTAACTCAGGGGAAATTAATATTCACAGGAGAAGATAACATGGCTTGTTCAGAGAAAATAGCAGGACAACAATAGCAACCAGGCTGCTGCGCTGAGGAGGCAATTACCCAAGGCACATGCTTCATTCTCACTAAGGTCCAAGCACAGGCTGGAGACAGGCCAGTCCTCCCAGTCTGATCCAAATCTGACAGCCATCCACAGGCCCTACTGGGAGCAGAAGAGCTGTAACTTCTCTACTGAAGCCACCCATCTCTCCTCACTCGGGGAGGGAGATGACATCTCCCACGGCTACCCCTTGCTCTGCACAGATCGGAAGCCCACAAAGCAGGCACCACACGCTGCCAGGTAGAGCAGATGTCAGAGTCAGCATGAAGGCAGAGACTTGGAAAAACTTGGTGCAAAGGCTTATGCTGTGAACCAAGAAGAGAGACTGGTTTTCACCCTGATCTTCAGGGAGAAACATCCACATCTAATTACCATCATTCTTGCCTTGTATTTCAGGACTTTAAAACTTTTTTATTTTGATACAACATCTGTTCTGAATCTATATTGTTGTGTGTTGGCTTAGAGGTGGGTGTTGCTATATTAAGATCAATAGGTTGCTCTGAAGTCTTTTTCCTTTTCCAAATAAGTCTCAAGTGCATAAAATATCATCCTTAGATCTGAACACATAGTCACCATTAGTTCTCACATGATTGTATGTATTTGTTTAATTTGGTTTTACATTTAATTAGAAAACCAACACATGTAAACATACTTGCTAACCCAGAAACTAGATCAATAGTTTTTAAACTTCAGCATGCATCAGAATCACCTGGAAAGCTTGTGAAAACACAGATTACTAAGGCCCATCTGCAGAGTCTCTGATTCAATAGATCTGAGTTGGGGATCAAGAATTTTCTAATAAATTTCCAGGTGATGCCAATGCTGCTGGTCTGGGAACCACACTTTGAACACCTCATAACTAGACTTTTAACAACAATTTGCATAGACCTCTGTGCTCCTCACCTGCCCTGACCCCCTGCCTCTCAGATGTAGATATGTTCCTGAATTCTGTGTTTACAATGATGAGAAAGGTGGGGTTTTTTTTTTAATTTGAGGTGAAATTCACATACTCTAATAATTTTAAACTGTACAATTCGGTGTCTTTTAGTACATTCACAGTGTGTGATCCAGCCAGACCCTCTATTTAGTTCTAAAACATTTTCATCACCCCCAAAGGAGTCCTTATACCTGATGACAAAGCTTTTATACTCCCAAAATATATCATCTGGTCACCTATCATATGCTTAATAACCACCTCTCTATAGGTCACCCTGAACCTTACCCTGAACCAAACACATTCATGGGAAAGCAGACCAGCATCCGAGAAGGCAAGTCCCATTCCTGAATGCTGGCCAGAGATCATCAATTAAAAGGGGCTTCTCCTTGGAAGATCCAGCTGCCTCAACAGGGAACAAAATGATAGCACACTCCACCTCCTATCAGAAGTCCAGGGCAAGGCTGGGAGCATTGGGGTTTCCAAGTCACCAACGGCCAAAAGAGAATAGAGTGGTCCCTTTGACAGCGTGATCAGCCCCGCAGCCTTGAGAACTCATCCTCCCATGTCTATTAGAGCCCTGCACAATCACAGACTCTCTTAAAAGCTCACACACAACCCAGGAAAGTTTGTGCTTGAGTAAATAATGAAGATAGAAATTATACTTTAAATGTTTAAATGCATTGTCGAATGGTCCAAAACATAAAGGGGCTATATGAAGGCCACAGAGCCCTGGGGTCTCCAAGTACCTCTGATACTGTAGTATCTCCCAGAGATACCAAGCTTCATCCTGCCAATCTCCCTTTGTCCTGAGTGTGTCCTTCTCCGTACTTGCCAAAATCCAACTGATGCATTAAACCTCAGTGTAAATCCTATGAGTTCATGGAAGGGTTTTTGAATGCTACCAATTCATTCTAATTTCTCCTATCTCTCAATTACTGAACTTTGTTCTTTTCATTTCTATAGCACTTTCAACATTCACTCTCATGGCACACACATTCCTATAATTATTCTTCTATAGTTTATTACAAGGTTGTGACCTACTTCATTCCTAGACAATGCTGGTTCTGTGGTTTGAATGTTTGTGTCCCTTCCAAAATGAACGTTGAAAATTACTCCTCAATGCAACAGTATTAAGAGGTGGGGCCTTGAGGACATGACTGGGACATGAGGACTATGCCATCATGAAGGGATCAGTGCTTTATAAGAGGGCTAGAGAAAATTAGCTAACCCTCTTTTTTCCCTTTCATCACTTCTGCCATGTGAGGACACAGTGTTCAAGGCACCATCTTAGAAACAAAGACCAAGCCCTCATCAGACATCAAACCTGCAGGGGTCTTTGTCATGGACTTCCCAGCCTCTACAGATGTAAGAAATAAACTATGTCGTCTAAATAATTTTGCTATAGTAGCAGAAATGGTCTGAGACAGAAATTGGTACTGAATTGGTATTGGTATTGCTATAACAAATACCTAAAAATATGACAGTGGTTTTGGAACCAGGTAATGAATAGGTGTATGAACAGTTTTGAAGTGAATACTAGAAAAAAAACCCTATATTGCATTAAACAGCGCATTAAGGGCAATTCTGGTGAGGACCCTTCTTCAGAAGAAGTGGGGAGCTGTAGAAAGAACTTAAGTATCCTTAGAAATTACTTACCTGGTCATGAACAGAATACTTGTAGAAATATAGACGGTAAAGGTAATGCTGTTGAAGTCTTAGATGGAAATGAGGAGTAAGGTATTGGAAATTAGAGGAAAGGTCATCCTTGCTATAAAGCGGCAAAAAACTTGGCTTAATCGTGCCTGTGTCTAAAGATTTGTAGAAGGCAGAAATTGTAAGCGGTGTACAAGGATATCTGGAAGAACTATCAATGCAAATGTGGAGAGTGCTGCATGGCTTTTTTTGACCATTTATAGTAAAACGCAAGAAGAGAGACATGAATTAAAGGCAGCTTACAATTGAAAGGGAAACAGAACTTAAAGATTTGGAAAATTCTCAGCCTGGCCATGTAAAGTTTAAAAAGGCAAGTTTGAGAGAGAACACCAAGGGTGTGGCCAAGGGACCATTGATAAAATTAGTACAGCTAGAAGGCAGCCAGATGCTACTCACCAGATCAATGAAACAATGGCCCAGAAGGCATACCAGAGATCTTCCAGGCTGCCATGCTCATCACAGGCCCAGAGTGCCAGGGCCTTGAGGGGAAAACAATTTGAAGGGAGGAGCCAGGCTCCCATGGAATGTTGGGGCTGTCTGTCCAGTACTACCTCAAGTCTCTGATCGCCACATTCTGGTGCAGCTGCATGGACTCTAATCTGTCACAGCTACTACATGTGCTATACCTACCCAAAACCATGGGTGCAGGGTCCCCTAGAGCCTTGGAGACCCAATCCTCACCCCATGGCCTGGAAGGTGGGACATGGAGTGAAGAAAATTATTCTTAAGCCTCAAGATTTAAGGTTGTTTACCCTGTTGGGTTTTGGACTTCACCGAGACTTGTTACTCATTCCTTCCTTCCTTTTGCTTGCTTTTGAAATTGGAATGACTGTCCCATACCTCTCCCACCATTGTATTTCAGAGGCACATAACTTGTTTGATTTCACAGGCTTGCAGCTGGAGGGGAATCTGCCTCAGGATGAATCTCCTTGAGTCTCACCCGCATCTTATTAAGATGATACGCAGATGAGACTTTGGACCTAGATTTTAAAGTTGATGCTGGAACAAATTAACACATTTGAAGCTATTGGGATGAAACGAACATATTTTGCATGTGAGAAGGACATAAATTTGTGGGGCCATGGATGGAATGCTATGGGCCGATTGTTTCTGTCCTCTCCTAAATTCCTGTTGAAACTTAATCCCCATTGCAACAGTATTAAGAGTTGGGGCCGTTCAAGAGGTGATTAGGCCATGAGGGCTTCTTCCTCAGGAAAGGAAAAGTGCTTCATAAAAGGGCTGGAGAAAACTAGCTAGGCTTCTTTTTTTTTTTTTTTTCCTTTTTGTCCCTTCTATCCTTCTGCCATGTAAAGACTCAGTATTCAAGGCATTATCTTGGAAGCAGACACCGGGCCTTCACTAGATATCTAACATGCTGGTGCCTTAATCTTGGGCTTTCCAGCCTTTAGAACTGTGAAAAATAAATTTCCATGGTTTATAAGCAGAAAGGGACTGAGAGAGCTGATCTTCTGGCAGATGACCAGCGGATACATAATAATAAAAATAATAAGACAGTCATTAATTGAGTACATCTACCACACTCCAGAACTGCACATAGC
Source organism: Homo sapiens (assembly GCF_000001405.40). Lineage (NCBI taxonomy): Eukaryota > Metazoa > Chordata > Mammalia > Primates > Hominidae > Homo > Homo sapiens. Next base: position 105,134,274 of record NC_000010.11, on the reverse strand, counting down.
CTTTATGAAAATTACCTAATTTAATCCTCATAACAACTCTACAGAGGTTTTGAGTGACTTGTCCAAGATAAGACAGATCTGAACCTCAGAAAGTTTGGCTCTAAGCCTGTGCTCCTCCTTCTGTGACTAAGAAGAATCCTCTGTCCATCTTTCTTATTTCACTGCAATAACACAATAGATTATCTTGATTCCAACATCTTTTGTGAAAAACTTTTTAAAAATCTCTGTAATTGACATGCATGTCTATGGTTTTGTTTCCTTGCATTCCCGGAAAATCTGTTTTGACACTCGGGCTGTATTTTTAAATTTTCTTTTGTGAGACAGGGTCTCACTCTGTCACCCAGGCTAGAGTGCAGTGGTACAATCATGGTTCACTGAAGCCTTGACCTGCCCAGCTCAAGCAATCCTCCTACCTCAGCCTCCCAAGTAGCTGGGACTACAGGCAAAACCACCATACCTGACTAATTTTATTTTTTTATGTTTTGTAGAGACTGGGTCTCCCTCTGTTGCCCAGGCTGGTCTCAAAGTGACCAAAGCCACTCCTGGGCTCAAGCAGCCTTCTGCCTCAGCCTCCCAAAGTGCTGGAATTGTAGATATGAGCCACTGCATCTAGTCTGGTGCTATATTTTGAAAATAATATCTTCTTAGGAGAGCAGAAGTAAGGTAATAAAACTAAGAGTAATAATAACTATCATGTAAAGAATATTTCATACAGGTCAGAAAACTGAAGCTGAGAGAGAGCAACTAATTTGCCCAACATCATATAGCCTTTCATTGTTACAGCCAGAATATAAACCTGGGCTTTCTAACCCTCGCCTACATCTGAACCCTTATAAACCTGGGCTCTCCAACTCTAGTCTGTACCTGAAACCTTAACCAGGAGTGAGCACACCTCATAGAGGCAGGTACACAGCAGGGGGTCAATATTTATTCACTTACTGAATAACAGATTGTTGGAATTAATCTGCTTAAGCAGAAAGACTTTGAGTTTGGATTCCTCCATTGGATACTGACTAAAACACAGATGTAGTGAAGAACTCTCAACTCCTGCCTGGTTCCTGGATGGTCAAAGGAATTTATTTTCAAATACATCACACACCCCTTCAGGGGCAGAGTCCTCACAAAAGCAGGAATTTATTTTCCAAAGATCGCACAGCCCTTCAGGGGCAGAGTCCTCACAAAAGCAGGCTGATGCATTTGCTGCTTCACAATGTTAGGGTAAAAGCAGGCTGATGCATGCATTTTCTGCTTCTCTGTGATCCTGTGGCTCTCTGGCACACAAGAAAGAAATAAAGTTTAGTGACTATTAATCTGTTTTGATGAACTTTTCTCTTCTTTACTAGCAAACTTGCTGGCATTGTAAATCCCAAAGATTATTACCACTTTTCCTTTCGGTGACACCTTTTATTTTATATTTGATGAATGTCATCCAATTATTTGCTCTGGGCCCATCCGTCATGCTAAACACAGAATTAGCTGGGTCTTTTCCTTACTAATGACTGGTTCGTTAATCTGATTTTCTGGATTTCCATTTTACAGGTTTAATTGGGCTCCTGGCCAGTGAAAATGATTCCTTTGGACAAATGCATTGGCCATTAAACACATCTATCTCTTCTGACTTGTTCCCGCTCTTGCTGTGACCAAGCCTAACCTGACAGATCCTTTATTTTTTCATTTATCCTTGTTTCTGGATGATGGCTTGCCCTGGAGGAAAGACAGAAATCTGCCCCCAAAAATTAGAACCAAAGGGCCTTGAGTCATTTCCTAGCTCCCGTTGGGGATTTAGAAGTTGAGCCTATTTCTGTCACAGGAGAAAACTTAAACTGTTTCTAGAATTTATAAGTAGACATAGGTAATCTTAGAAGAGAGTCAGAAGCAAATATTTTTGAGTTTATATTCTATATTGGGTGCTTTACTTTCATGATATTATTTAATATCCACAACAATAATTATTATTACTATCATTATTGTTAATAGCATTACCAGTACCATACATGGTAAAGATATTAATAATATTTTTGAGCATTTATTATATGCCAACCATTCCTGTGTACACGTTAGCCTTCTATTTTATGTACAGGTGGGGAAACAGGTGTAGGAAAATCATATAACATACTCAAAGATACACAACAAATAAATGGTGGAGCTGGAATTTGAACCCAAGTTTATCTGACTTTTAAAGGTTTTGCTGGTCCCTCAGGCTATGTGAAATTTCCAAACCTCTATGTGGAGGGGAATGGGTCCCATGTCACTTCATTTCCAATTCCCAGAAAATATGTTCACTGATATAGTTTGGATGTGTGTCCACACCCAAATATCAGATTGAAGTATAATCCCCAATGTTGGAGGTGGGGCCTGGTGGGAGGTGATTGGATCATGGGGGCAGATGTCTCATGAATGGTTTAGTACCATTTCCCTTGGTACTGTCCGTGCGATAGTGAGTTCTCGTGATATCTGGTTGTTTAAAAGTGTGTAGCACCTCCCCTCTCTTCTCTTGCTTCTCCTCTGGCCATATTATGTGTCTGCTCCTCCTTTACCTTCCGCCGTAATTGTAAGTTTCCTGAGGTCTCCCTAGAAGCCAAGCATCATGCTTCCCATACAGCCTGCAAAACCATGAACGAATCAAACCTCTTTTCTTTATAAATTCCCCAGTCTCAGGTATTTATAACAATGCAAGAACAGACTAATGCACCCACGGCCAAGGCAGATGTTTCTATGTGAGGGTTCCTATCAATTTCCAAGTTCTGAGAAATCAATGCTACATTGTCGCACAGAAGTGCTTGGTGTTGCTATGGGAATTTGTGAATACGAACCATAATTGGGCTTACACGAGAGCTGTCGTATTAATAAGAAATGACATGTGGAAGCTTTTCCAGTTAGAGGATTGTGCTGTATCGAATATTATGTGAATAATCTGTCTAAGCCAAGAGAAATGACCACCTCTAAGGGTACATCTTAGTTACTTCTCACACTGCCTCTGCAGTGTTTCCTCCTCTTTAAAGAAACAAAAGGATCAGCCAAGATGTTACGATGCACAATTGACTTTTCTAATTCCTTTGCTCATTAATTCAGTTCATATTATTTATAATAAATCTTGACTTTTTGGGGCTTTTCTCTCTCTACTTCCATAATTCCTTCAAAGATCATATTTATCTTAAGAACAAAATAAAACAAAACAGGCTTCCAAATATTGGACCATAGGAGTCTATAAACAGCTACAAGTTTCATCAGGAAGTTGCTATACATGTCAGTCTGGCCCTAGAGTCTTATGCGTGGATGAATTAGTTGCTTCTGCCATCTTGAGCTGATTTTCCAACACTGCTTTCCTAGGGACCACACTATGAGTCAGAATAAAAAGTGTGGTACAGCATTTGGAACAACATGGCATCCTATCAGCATGTCATCTCCTCTGTTAGACTGTTTGACTTTGAATTTAGTGTTTGTCTAACTGGTGTTTGCTCATTTTATGTCCTTGAGGCTCTGCAATATTGATGCAGTTTTATCTGCCTAGAAAGACTGGGTCTATTACCCAACATCATACTATGGCTGAGCCTCCTTTGAAACAGATTTGCACATAAAATCTTTTATTGGTGCCCTAACATAATAGCCCCCAAATAGTTTCACCAAGAATAGACATGAGATAATAAGATAGTTGACACTGAAGCCAATATTGCTCTGGGTGTGTGTGTGTAGGGGAGATGCTGAAAGGAAGATGCATGCTGAGGTTGTCAGCACACTCACTGGTCAATAAATACTGACAGCACAACTGCCACTTTCAGCAGCCCTGCCGAGCAACTTCTTGTACCCTTCACTGCCTTTTGTTAATGCTAGTATGGCAGAGAAAGGGGGTGGGTTAGGAAGCATGGGACAAAGAGTTTGGGTCTAGACCACACACAAGACTAGAAGAAGAATTAGCATGCCTGACCCTCTGACACTGTTCCTTCAAATACAATAAAGGGTCTGGACTCAATCAGTTTCCAATTGCATAGTAAGTAACAGAGCACATTATTTGGGATCTCAGACCTGTGTTTAAATCCCGCTCATACCACTTTCTGGTTTGGTGACCTTGTACAAGTAATTTAACCTGCCTAATTTTCTCTCATGGAAAACAGATATTAGTACTATCAACTGAGAAGTTATCATGAGGATCAAATATAATTCAATATAGAAAGAGCTTTAGCCTTGCATCTGGCACATAGCACGTACTCAATGCATATTATCTGAGCCAGCAGAACTGGAGGCAAAAATGCCTGCACCAGTCTAACATCTTAGAGGTCTTCTGGAGACTGACTATGGTGGCAGTTTATGTATGCAACCTGGAGGCTTCAAGAGGTGCTGGGGTAGCCATGTGTGCCACCTGATCCCAGTTGATCAGGGATAAAGGATAGAAATTCTCCTTGCCCTCAGCCAAGATGAATTCCTAGAGGAAACCACAGATAGAGATCTCCAAGAGACTTGACCATTAATGGCTTCGAGACTTATCTTTGTGTTCTGGCTTTCATGATTTAGATGGAGGGGAAGAAGTTCTTAGGATGCTCACCTGAGCTTTCAAAATGGAAGTCCTTTGCACTTTCTCTTTCCTATTTGTGTGTGTGTGTGTGTGTGTGTGTGTATTTGAGTGGGTAAAAAAGCAAAGATAAGGGCAGAAATACAAAAGGACAGATACGAACTTGAATTATCATTATCATCCTAGTGTCCAAAATTCAGGAGCATTTGAAGACTCCCAAATAATGTAATAAGAGCTAATACTTTCAGTGTTATAGATAAGGACGCCAGAGCTTCAGGTGAAAGAAAAGGAAGGCACTGCCCATGAAACCTCTAAAGAGAAATGTTCAAACTTGCTATCAAAACATTGCCCCCTCTCTGTGCTCAAAAATGGTTCTGTTCCTTGTGGACTGTGGATTGGTAGGGTTTTGTAAAAAAAAAAAAAAAAAAAAAAAAAAGAGAAAGAAAGAAAGAAAAGAGAAAGAAAATGGAGCTGAGAGGAGGTTAAAGAAGATATTGCAAGAGATCTAGCTTATATGGTTGTCCAATACTTGTATAAGTTTTTCATTCAACTTGATACATCAAATGGCCTAATTCCTTTTTATGGGTGGACACTATGAGGTCAATTATTTAAATGAAATATACTCAAACTAGGTACTAGCCTCTTTCTTTTCTATAGTATCCCAGTACTTCAGAAAATAAAATCAAAATGGTGAGAGAGGAGAAGGGAAAAGGTGGAAGGTCCTGTTCCTTCACATTGTAACATCTGTGATTTTATTTTCAGCTCCATCATTTATTAGATGTGCAATTTTAGGCATTGTAACCCATCTCTTGCAGTTTGGGGGTTATTTTCAGATAAAAAAGGAACTAGTTGTAGTTATCTTTCTCTCACAAGATTCTTGTGAATAAACAACATAATAAAATGCTTTCATGTAACCAGAAAATGCTCTACAAACACAATGATTAGATTGTTATAATAGACCTATGGTATGTTCCCAGGAACACAAGCTTTTAGAAGTGTATTCACTGACAAATTATGCTGTTGATCCATAAATTCCCATCCTAATGATTGCGTGGGGCACTGAAATTTGCCGATGTAGCTTCAACTATGCACAGAAGGAAGGGCTAGAGGCAATACATAATATGAGAAGGAGAAGCAGAAAATGATGGCCACAGCTATAGAACAGAAACATCTTCAGCCACAGGGGATGAATGACAGGTGAATATAGCTGCTTAGAGAATAATTAATTTTATTGACATGTTCAAAATACATTAAATATCCTGAAAGGGCAAGGCAAACAAAATCATTCATTTTCTAGAGAATTAGGGACGCTTCTTTGGGGCATGGGATTTCTGGAAGGCTTGGAGATACACGTGAGCTGCTAGATACAACAGCAAAGTTTCACCAACATGGGATTTGCATGTCTCATGAGTGAATTTTGGGACAACAGTAGACGGATTTAAGCCATCTGTCAAGCTGTTTCTCAGAAAACACTGCTGCCTCCCCAAGAGCCATGAATATTTGTGAAATGCCAACTGCTACTTCTTGGAGCTTCCCCATCATGCTCTCCGGGTCATGCCTCTCCTGTCCTCTGCCAGCACAAGCAACATTGTTGGAGGGCCAGGCTCTATGCTTACCATGTAATATGCACTGCCTGCTCTTGCACACAATGACCCCATGAAGGAAATACCAAGAAACCTGCTTTACTGATAATTTAACTGACATGCATCGGGTATTCAGCTCCATGGTGGCAGAGCCTGGATTTGAACTTGTGTCTCTAAACCCTGACAATGACCACTACATGGTGCAGCCCTGAATGAGCCTAAAGTGTCTACGCCAGAGCCTTTCCAAAGAATGGCTAGTATAGGAGAAGTTATTTGAGGGACTTAGCCTGACCCAGATCACTTCAGCATCAGTGAATTTCACAGTGGCTCGTGTCAAAAGCTTTCTCCTTAACTAAGCTCCCCTAACCCCAATTTCCCAGTTGGAGTTCATCTTTTCTTCCTCTGATTCCCAGGGCTCTTTTTTTGTGGCTTGCTTGTTGCACTTACCAGCTGTTGTTCCAAATTAGAGGGAAGCAGGTCCTTTTGGGGTCTCTTGCTGTACTGTAATATCTTTGAGGGTAGATAATGTTCTTACTCATCTATAATAGTCTCTTAGTACCTAGTACTCAGGTCATAACAACTAATATTTGTTGAGTACTCTGTGCTATTAGTTTTCATTATTGTACTGAATCTCATTTGATCTGAGCACAACCCTGCAGGTGAGGTCTAATTACACCTTCATTTTAAAATTAAGGAGCCTGAGGCCTAGGAAGGCTGCTTGAGGTCATCTTGGTACTAAAAGGTAAGACTTAAAGCCAAGCTCAAAGCTTCTGACTTGCAACTCCAGGCTCTTTTCACTTTGCTAGGCTTCTAAAATCTGTGTTTCCAGAGTCAGAATAAGTAAAATACAAAGAAAAGACAATTGCATGAACTTTTACAAATGGGTAGTAATTTTACATCAAATACTCCTTTGCGTGGTTGACAACACCATGCCTTCGAAAATCAGGGGCTATAAAAGAGCTTGCTTTCCTGCAGGAAACAGGGAAGCAGAGTACAAGATGTTCTTCCCCACCCACTGCTGAATCCACGTAATAATTAAGGGTCTGGCCAAATTTAGATCATTCCTTGAACGTTAATCATGTTTAAAAATCTCATTATGGATACCGGCCACCATTCCACTATGTCTTACATTTGTCAATCAGCGAGTACTGGTTCAGTACCTTTGTGACCAGACTGTATTAAGTACCATGGGTCATGGAGCTGTCACCTCATGGAGTTCACCATCTCTTTGGGAAAGCAAACAACATACAAGATGTACAAATGACAATATAAGGCCAGTAATAATGCCATGGTACTCAGCACAGTGAAGATAAGATGCTACAAAAATCCTTTCCTCAGAAGCACAACAATTTACTCAGTGTGTTCTCATGCTCCTTCTACAATTACAATAAAATCCACCCTCATCCTATCTCCATTTTGTAGATGGACAACTAAGACACAAGGGGACAACTAAGTAAGGGACAACTAAGACAGCAAAGTCACACAGCTAGCAGAGGGCTGAACTGAAATTTAAACTCATGTTTGCCAGATTCCAGATACTGCAGGCATAACGATTCTCTTAGACCACCCTCCACAATGTGACATTCATACACACATGCACATATGTGTGCACATACCCACAGTGTTGTATGTAATCTATAAATAAGTGTGACTTATACTCCCACTGCCTTAAGAGTAGAGTAGGTTCTAAACACTGAAGGACATTTTATCTGCTGGATGTGATGATGGATTTGAGTTTGGAAGATTTGAGAAACCAGGACCTGGCTGAATTGTTCTACATAACAAATGGAGAGTCAGAGAGAAAAGGTAGGGAGGGAACTTGAAGGAAGAAAAGATTACCAGTCAAGCCGGAGAGGTTGCAGGGCAGAAGTGCCAAGGTGAGTTGTTGGTACCAGGAGAGGTAGTTTTGGGGGAATGGAAAGAAATAGTGAGTGTGTGTAGACTTTTGTTTGTTTGCTGTGTGTTACATGACACAAACACTCTACTTCATTTCTATTTGACATATTTAACAAAAAGTATATGACACTGCTCAATACTCTTATTAGTATAATTTTATTTATTGGTTTATCTTTGCAGAGGCAGTTCATAGCAGGAATGAAGTTTTGCTTGAAGAAAATGCCCAAGAGTTATAGCTGAGCTACCAGAAATTTTATTTTTATGCATCTTTTAAGTTATTTATTTTGTCCTTCGTTGTGAAAACTAACAAGGAACACAGCAACCAAGCCTAGACTTGGATTCCAACCCCCACCCTCACCTATTGGTTATGATATGTCTTTGGGACAATCATTTAAGTGCTTCTGGACCTTGAAACATACAGCCACACTCACGATGTGAGGTCCAACATCTGCTGACACAAAGTAGGGACTCAGAAACGTCACATCGCTTGAGGTCCACAACCACTCACTTCCTTGGTCCTGGTTTCCTAAGCCGAAGGTCTTCTTCAAGCAGTATCTTCAGATTCTAAGCTGCCTGTTTTGTGTGTGTGTGTGTGTGTGTGTGTGTGTGGATATTCAGTGATGCAACATGCATGTTTTAAGCAGCTACTTTGTGTTAAAGCTCTATGTACTTACTCATTGTCCCTTACACAGTTCCTGACCCAACTTGCCTCCAGCAAATAAGAAAGTGTAGGTTGTTCTGAATATTTCTTGTTTAAGGAGGAGAATCATGCAGTGACAGAGAAAGAAGGCTCTGGTGCCAAAATGGTTACATCAAAATCTCCACTCCATTGTTTACTGGCTGTGTCGTCTTGGGAAAATGGCTTAACCTTTCAGTGCCTCTTCTGTGAAACAGAAGAGTTGTACTTACCACATAAGCTGTAATAACAATTAAATTCACTAATTCATAAGCCTAGCTCATGCTGACCACTTAATTCGTGTCAGTTGTTACTACTAATGTAATTGAATCTCTAAGAATTACAGGTTATTCAATAATAAAGAAAATTAGCCAGGAGGTAAAAACCAGGGAAGAAGGTTTAGGACAAATCTTTAAAAATAACTATAGTGAGAATGAGAGTGTTTCTTGTACAGGATAGCTACATTCAATCAACTTCACAAGTACTTGTGGCAGATATGTCAGAGGAAGTAAGGAAGCCATCTCTTCCACCCCTTCCTGACCCCGTCCGTAGACAAAGAACACCTAAGAAGAAACTATGTAGCACAATGAAATAATGAATACAATCATATTAAGAGCACTTTGATCATTTCTTCCTGATGCAATCTAGAAACAGTCGCTACCTGGGCAGGCAGTAAAACTGAAAGCGTTTATTCCAGAGAATCAGACAGAAGGCCTTGGGTACAGCCGACTTTCTGTTCTAATTGCATTCCGTGGAATTACCCCTGCACATTATTACAAGGTGTACGTCTCTTCCGAGAACATTTTTCTCAGAAGAAACAGGAAGCAATCTTGCCTGGCCTCGAGAGGTTACAAGGCTAGAGGGAGAGGTGGGAAGTGGCTAATTTCATGTTCCCATCAAACACAAGCTGGATTATAAGAAAACAAGAGAAGAGAAGGAGGAAAGCATGGAGATTAAAGAATCAGACAATTTTAAAGCCCAAGAAATGCAGAGAGGGAAAAGCTGATCTTTTTAATGTATTTTTTTGTAACAGATGTTTGCTTGCAGTTCCAAATCTAATAGCAGTTGGTATAGTAAAGATGAAATAGTAGAAGGAAGAAAAAGAAAAGCTAAAAAGAGAGAAAGGGAGTCAGGCTGGCAAACAAGAAGCTAATTCCAATGCCCTTCCTTCTTCCCTGCTTCACCAGGCTCTGTCTGTTGGGTGCAGGCCGTATGCCCTGCCACATTGCCTTCCTGACAGTTCTAGGTTCTTGCTCACAGCAGCCCCCTGTCTGTAAGCATTCCACCCCAGGAAAGTAGGGGTAATCGGGCCCATCCTTTAAACATCTTCATTATATCACTTTCATAATCAGCTTATAATGTTCTTTTCAATAGACATGGAGCTGACCAGACCAAGTGCTTGTACAGCAGCTTGGGCTGTGGAGCTATTCTCTGTGCCATTGATCACAAAGACAAAAATCAATCCTGGCTAAGGAGAAAGAAGTTAAAAATAAATTGCAGGGATTGATTTCTATCCAGACCTTCTGACTCCCAGTTTAGAAAGGGGGAAGGAAGAGTATGCATGGATCCGCCAGTCATGAGATCGCTTAATAGGACCTAGTCTCAAAAGCAAAATCTAGGGATATTTTATATACTCACACACATAATTGTCTTTTATGTTTTTATATTCTTTTATTTTTGTTTCCTAATAACTATAAAAGATGAAAATCCATCTAAATTGCAAGCTCCCAGGAGAAAAATACTAGTGTTTGCCTTGATCTCCAAAATCTCCAAAATGAGGCCCCTTGCTTTCTGGATAGCAGTAGCTCAAGAAATATTTGTTGGGAGACTGACAGAATAAGTGAATAAATGAAGTGCCCTCCCTCCTATTATTGTCTCTCACAATTATGTTTATTTCTTCATAGATTTATCATAGTGGGTAATTACCATTCTTATTTATTGGTTTGCTTATGTAGTATCTCTCCCTCTCTCGACTATAAACCCTGTTATGGCAGGAACTGTGGTTTTCTTATTTACATATTTATTTCTTATATATAGCATAATCTCCAGGGAACATAACTTTCTTATTTACTTTTTGGATTTTTATTTCTTTTTTACTGCATTATCTCCATATTATACCCCAAGTAGATGTAAATGGAATGAAGAAAGGAAGGAAAGATTCAGCAACTTGCTTGAGGAATTAAGTACATCCCAAGTATCTTTTTTGTTTGATACTGACATTGGAAAAATGAACTGAGGCAATACCTCTGAACAGCAATCCCTTTCCTATGTCTGACTAAATGGAGCGATCTGTAGAGCAAGACAACTTGTGGAGTTTTAGGGTTAGAAGAGAACTTCTGGTGTCATACAGTCCGCTGCTTTGAAACTTTCTATGCTGTTCTAAGTTCTGCAAAGATGACTTGGGGTGTCCCCAAAGGGATGAAGAGTCTGGGTGGGTGGTGAAGCTCATACGGCCCCTCACCCTCTTTAATATAGATCTCTTCTAACTGTATCTATTTTATATATTGGAATGTCTTCAACAGTTTTGCCTGGAAGGCAGTTCTCCAAGAACAACAACAGAAGATTTGGAAGCCCTTCTTTAATGTAATCTTTTCATTTTGCCACAAGGAAACTGAGCTTCAGGGAGGAAAGGTGATGGCCCAAGATCACCCAATGAGTTAATGATGAGGCCAGACTTAAACCCAGGAACGCCAACTCCCTTCACCTGCACATCCATCCAACTGCACTGTCTCCTTCCAAGAGTCACTTCCCCTTGGGGCACTGAATGGTCCTCAAGCTGAGCCCCTCAAGTAAATTAGCTGCTATGAAAACTACCATGATCCTTGCCTCCTCCAGGATATCTTCTTTAATTGTAGATCTCCCTCACGCTGGGAAGCACTGTCCTGGAGAGTCTAGCAATTTCTTAAATGCTTTTGAGCATTGTTTATGAACAGTGTCTGGTCAAACAGCTTTATCTCCTCACCAAGACAAGGCAAAATGAGGACTGACACGTTCTCCGTCTTGTGACTATCACATGCCCTTCATTTAGAACAGTATCAGGAGCATATTAAGTGCTCAATACAAGATTATTAAATGAATGGATGAATGAATGAATCAGTCAGTCAATCAATACCTCTGTCACAGAGAGAACCAGTCACAGTACTGGGTACATAGTAGATCCTCAATCACATCAAGCTGATTGGTTAACATCTGTCTCTGCTGCTCTGAAACTCCAAGAAGTCCTTATTCTGTCTGACCATGAGGGGGTTTCAGAATTCTTAAAGGATTCTGATTCAGATTATTAAAGGCTGCTTGCAGAAATTCAAAATGATTATTTACTCCATTAGCTGGTCATAGAGTTATAGGCAGAGTGATTAAAATTTTTTAAAGCTGAAACTCTGAAATCATAGAGATATACTCTAATTAGAGCGGTAATGGGAAGAGAACTGGACTAAATCATCTACTTTTCAGTCAACAGCCCAACTTCCCTCATTATCAGCACTGCTGTTTTTACAGCAGTGTAATTATCTTTAATAGGAGAAGGACCCAGAAAAGGAATTCTCCAGGGAGCTGGGCTTAGCAGAGGGGGTGTGGAAGACTTGCTGGCATGTGGAAGGGAAGGAAAATGGGGAGACTCAGTGAGGTCATGACTCAACAGCTCCTCTGAGTCCTGGAATGGAACCCAAAGGCAGCCCCTCCTCCCACTCCAAATGCATAATGCATGGCAAGACGTACACAGGGAGGAGGAAAGGGCTGGAGAAGAGCAGAGCTGTGGATGTCATGATGATTCTCCACGCTGCCACCCAGTCCCCACGGGAAGTCCCAGGGATGGGTGTTTGAGTAAATCCCCCAAGTATATCTGAGGGACAGCTCTCAGAGGCTCAGGCATGAATACATTGTATTGAATCCCATTAAGCCTTTCTTTGGTTAATGATGCAGAAAGTTTCTGATATGAAACAAAATTGAAACAGATCCTGAGAAAGAGTCCACTGAATAGGGAATGGAGCAAGTCTTTGCAGCCACTAACATCTACCAAGATGGGGGCAACATCTGCTTATTTCACTTTCACAGTCATCTAGAAAAGTATCTGGGAATACCAATTATTAGGTGCTAATGCAGAGAAAAACGAAATGAGAAATCAATCATTGTCCTCTTGTGTCATCCTTTATAAACCCAGACAGCCCTGAGGTCATATCCTTGACCTTGCCATTTCCTGAGCTATACAACCATGGGTGATTACCTATATTTCACTGAAACTTGGTTTCCTCCATAGAAAAATAAAGATAATATCTGTCATATTGAGATCCTGTGAAGATTAAAGTTTTATTAAATAAAATAAAATGCACACATGCTGGACATAAATTTGATGTGAAATAATTGCAAGGTCCGTTTTCCACTATAACAACAATTCTTTCTGTTTGTTGATTGGTGAGTAAAATTGGTGGTGAAGCTAGGTAGAAAGAACACTCCAAATAACCATTGCTTTGGAGGTAGGAAATTGATTTCCAAATAGTGAAAGAGATTGAGAGTGTATAGCTGATCTCACTCCTTTGAGCTGATGATAGAAACTCTTGTAGTCTCCTGGATAACACATCTGCCTTCCTGACCAGAACTCACAGGCTGGCTCCCTCCATATAAGCATCCTGAATAATTAAACACCATGAGTGCCACCCTTCTTGCAAAATGAACTGCACAGCACGCTTACCACCACCCTTACTTCTCATGCCCATGGAGACGCTAATAGTAATAGAAGCTTTTCTACCAAACCACAATAACACAGCCTTCTATGGAGCTACTACCAATAACTCAGGGGTGATACATAAAATGAAAACAATTTAATACTCCTGTGCTAGACATGACCCATTCATATTTTATTATAAAGGCAAATAGTTACTTTATAATATGTAGCAAATTACAGAACCGTTCTCTGAGATTAAAGGAAAATATTCTTTGCCAAATTGACCTAGCAAGCAACAGGTATTGTAACTTCCATGGAGCCTCATTAGATCTCTTGGGAAGAAACAAGTCTTAGTAATTTATAAGGGGCATGCACAGTAGAGTTCTGAATGGAGCAAGGAGATTGCCATGCTTAAGGGATTGATGGGCATCCTGTAAAGAACGACCCCTTGCTAGAGCCTCCCAGTCTCTGCATTATGCTGAGAGGAGCAGGGAACATTGGGGTCATTGGCATTTGCATAGTAACTGACACTGTAAAAGGGGATGGGATGGACTTACTCAAAGAGAAAGTGTATTAGTCTGTTCTCACACTGCTATGAGGAAATACCCAAGACTGGGTAATTAAACTTCTTAAGAAAGGAGAAAAGGGGTTTAATTGACTCACAGTTCTACATGGCTGGAAAGGCCTCAGGAAACTTACAATCACAGCAGAAGGTGAAGGGGAGGAACAGCACCTTCTTCACAGGGCGGCTGGAAGGAGAAGTGCTAAGTAAAGGAGGAAAAGCCTCTATAAAACCATCAGATCTTGTGAGAACTCACTCTCACAAGAACAGTATGAGGGCAACCGCCCCCATGATTCAATTACCTCCCACCAGGTCTCCACCATAACACATGCGGATTATGGAAACTATAATTCAAGATGAAATTTGGATGAAGACACAGTCAAACCACATCATTCTGCCCCTGGCCCCTCCCAAATCTCATGTCCTCACATTTCAAAACACAATAATGCCTTTCCAAAAGTTCCCCAAAGTTTTAGCTCATTCCAGAATTAACCCAGAAGTCCAAGTCCAAAGTCTCATCTGAGACAAGGCAAGTCCCTTCTACCTATAAGCCTGTAAAATCATCTAAAACAAGTTAGTTACTTCCTAGATACAATGGGGGTATAGGCATTGGGTAAATACACCCATTCCAAATGGGAGAAATTGGCCAGAACAAAGGCACCACAGGCCCCATGCAAGTCCGAAATCCAATAGGGCAGCCATTAAACCTTAAAGTTCCAAAATGATCTCCTTTGACTCCATGTCTCACATGCAGATCATGTTGATGCAGGAGGTGGGCTCCCATGGCCTTGGGTAGCTCTGCCCCTGTGGCTTTGCAGGGTATGGCCCCGTTCCAACTGTTTTCACAGGCAGGCATTGAGTGTCTGTGACTTTTCCAGGCACACAGTGCAAGTTGTTGGTAGATCTATCATTCTGAGGTCTGGAGGATGGTGGCCCTCTTCTCAGTGCTCCACTAGGCAGTGCCCCAGTAGGGACTCTATGTGGAGGCTCGCACCCCACATTTCCCTTCCTCACTATCCTAGCAGAGGTTCTCTATGAGGGCTTCACTCCTGCAGCACAACTCTGCCTGGACATCCAGGCATTTCCCAACATCCTCTGAAATCTAAGTGAACATCCCCAAACCTCAATTCTTGACTTCTGTGCACCTATAGAGCCAGCATCTCACGTTAGCCACCAAGGCTTGAGACTTGCACCCTCTGAAGCAACAGCCTGAGCTGTACATTGGTCCCTTTCAGCCATGGCTGGAGAGGCTGGGATGCGGGGTACCAAGTTTCCAGGCTGCACACAGCAGGGGGACCCTAGGCCCAGCCCATGAAAACAATTTTTCCTCCTAGACCTCGGGACTGTGATGAGAGGGGCTTCTGTGATGACCTCTGATGTGCCCTGGAGACATTTTCCCCATTGTCTTGATGATTAACATTTGGCTCATTACTTATGCAAATTTATGCAGCTGGCTTGAATTTCTTCCCAGAAAATGAACTTTTCTCTTCTCTCACATCATCAGACTGCATATTTTCCAGACTTTTATGATCTGCTTTCTCTTGAACGTTTTGCCTCTTAGAAGTTCCTTCCACCAGATACCCTAAATCATCTCTCTCAAATTCAAAGTTCCACAGATCTCCAGGGCAAGGGCAAAAACCCACAAGTCTCTTTGCTAAAGCATAACAAGAGTGACCTTTACTCCAGTTCCCAAGAAGCTTCTCATCTCCATCGGACACCACCTCAGCCTGGACTTCCTTGTCCATATCACTATCAGCAATTTGGTCAAAGCCATTCCACAAGTCTCTAGGAAGCTCAAAACTTTTCCACGTCTTCTTTCTTCTTCTGAGCCTGCCAAACTGTTCCAACCTCTGCCTGTTACCCAGTTCCAAAATAACTTCCAAATTTTGGGGTATCTTTATAGCAGCACCCCACTCTCTGTAGTACCAATTTACTATATTAGTCTGTTCTCACACTGCTATAAAGAACTGCCCATGACTGGATAATTTATAAAGAAAAGAGGTTTAATTGACTCACAATTCCACTTTGGAAGGGCTGGGAAGGCCTCAGGAAACTTACAATCATGACAGAAGGAGAAGGGGAAGAAAGGCACCTTCTTCACAGCGGGGGCAGGAAGAAGTGCTGAGCAAAGGGGGAAAAAGCCCCTTAAAAAACCATCAGATCTCATGAGAGCTCACTCACTTTTACGAGAACAGCATGGGGATAACCGCCCCCATAATTCAATTACCTCCCACTGGGTCCCTCCCACGACACACTGGGGATTATGAGAACTATAATTCAAGATGAGATTTGGCTGGGGACACAGCCAAACCATATCAGAGAGGGTAGGAAGTAAACAGAGAAAAGGAACCTAGAAAGAACACTGAGGAAAAACCCATATTTAAAGAGTGGGCAGAGGAAGAGGCATCTGTGTTGGAAAGTAAGATGATATTGGAAAGATGGAGAGATGAGAGGGGACCCTGAACTGTACCTTATTGAGGAAGCAACGAGAATGCTTCAAGAAAGAAGGAGCAGTCAAGAGGTTCAAATTCTCTAGACAATTCAACTATGTTAATTATTGAGAGGCATAGTCTAGATATACTTCAAAGATACCTTTGATGAACTTGGCAAAAGCAATTTCAATGCAGTGGCAGAGGCAGAAGTCAGTCTCAAGTGAGTTACAGAGACAGGGAAATGAGAAGATGGGATTATGAATACAGCTAGTGCTCAAAAAATTTGATTGTGAATGAAACATGGGAGACTTACAGAGGGGTGTAGGTTCAAAGAAAGTTTTACCCTACTTTGTTTTGTTATGTCAGGATGGTGGATATTTTAAAAATATTTAAATATTGATGGAAAGTCTAACATAGGGATGAGTAAGCTAAAGACAGGGGAAAGGAGAGTGATCAGTAGTGCCAGGTCCTTGAGAAGAGGGATGGAAATGGATGTTTAGATTGAGGAATCTCATTTATATGGGGATGAGAACAATGCCTTCTACTTCACTTAAATAGTTCACTCTACCTACAATAACTGGATACATAGCAGGGATCCAAGAAATATTTGAGAGTCATTCAAGATTGCCTTGCATTAAGTTACCCCCAAAAGTAAAGCCTGAGTCAAGGACTTTTATGTAGTTTATCGTTTTTGTTTGTTGAGGAATGATCTGGGGACAGGAGTGGTGAAACTAGGAAGCAGGAAACAGGGAGGGAGAGAAGGCCATTCCAGGGTGCATTACTAAACTGGTTATTATTGTCAGCAATTAGGGCTCAATCCCACTAGACAGCCTATGAAAATTCATGTAGAATGAGGCTCAGACTTGCCTACCTGACATAAGAGAAGAGTACTGATCCATTAGTTTTGTTTTTTTTTTTAACTTTTATTTTAGGTTCAGGGTACATGCACAGGTTTGTTATATAGGCATATTGTATGTCATGGGTATTTGGTGTACAGATTATTTTGTCACCCAGGTAATAAGTATAGTACCTAATAGATAGTTTTCTGCTCCTCTTCCTCCTCCCACCCTCCACTTTTAAGTAGGCCTCGGGGTCTACCATTCCCTTCTTTGTGTCCATATGTACTCAAAGTTTAACTCCCACTTACAAGTGAGAACGTGAGGTATATGGTTTTCTATTTCCGTGTTAGTTTGCTTAGGATAATGGCCTCCAGCTCCATCCATGTTGCTGCAAAGGACATAATCTTGTTCTTTTTTATGGCTGCATAGTATTCCACTGTGTATATGTGCCATTTTTTTTTAATCTAGTCTACCATTGATGGGCATTTAGGTTGATTCCATGTCTTTACTACTGTGAACAAAGCTGTGATGAACACATGTGTGCATGTGTCTTTACAACAGAACAATTTATTTTCCTTTGGGCATATACCCAATAATGGCATTGCTGGGTCGAATGGTAATCCTGTTTTAAGTTCTTTGAGAAATTGCCAAACTGCTTTTCACAATGACTGAACTAATTTACATTCCCACCAGCACTGATCCACCAGCTTTGGATTCCTGTTGCTGAAGTTGTCCCAGATTTTTGGCACCTTCAAGACTTGTATCTGCACCAGAATAGGTAACGAGTCTCTTGCAAGCATCCTACTTGGGAATAAATCAGCCCTGGAACAGGGGATCCACAGTGCAGGTGAGGCAAGGTGATAGCAGGTCACCTCTGCGCAAAGCTAGTAGCTGAGGCAAACATAGCTGGAAGGATGTGAGATGGAGTATGCTCCATACAAAGGTCAACTAAATATCATTACTTTGCAATCAGATCACTAATTTGTGTTTATTCATAGAAGTATTTCAAATACTAACAGCAAACCACTATAATCATTACACATATAGGAGATGCATCCAAGCTATTTAAAGAACCTCCATTTGGGCTGGCTGTTGAAAACACTTTTACTTAAGATTCTGAAAGCACTTCAAGAATATTCACCTGAAGATGTCTTCATTGGATTTCTTTTGAAGACTGTCTCTGTAACTCTTTCATTTTGCTTTAAACTCCCGTGTTGTAAATGTGTCCCTAATGATGTAATTGCTATTTATTTAACATTCAAAATCTCTCCCATTAAGACCAAATTAACATCATTTAAAACATCTCCAAATAGCTTTTCTTTGAATAATTACACTCTATTAATTTCTGCCTCAGGGTTTTTTTCAGAAAGATAGTAATTTACTGGGGATACAGTAGCCACATCATAGAGGCTTGTCTACCTTCCATGATGGGTATATAAATCAGGATCTTAGATGAAGTACCAAAATCCAGGTGAGCTGAGACCAAGATGCAAAAACAGTCTTGAAAGTTAATTAAATCCCAGAATAGTTACATCTCATATATATCATTAAAAGTTGGTTATCAAAGAAACCAACACCATGGAAGCTATGTGGGAAGCTTTTATCATGCACATATGTTGATACATGAATTGAATCTATGAATAATTTAAAAACGAATTTGGAGAAAAGATCTAGTAATCTTTTATGTGATCGGCTTATAAAAATCCTTAAAAGAGGATGTGCATACACTAAACAGTGAGGCTGATTTTTGCATGTGGATTAGTCTCTCAATTCTTGCATTTTGTAGGGCTTTGTAGCGTTCAAAGCATTTCAAAGCCATTATTATCTCCCTTGATCCTCACAACAACCTTCCAATTTAGAAAGGGCAAGTAGCATGATTCCATTCTACAGAGATGAGAAAATTAGTACTCTGAGAGTTTAAGTGACTTGTGTCGTATTTCCTGGCTGGTAGGTGGCAGATTCCTGATTACAACCCAGGTCTTTAAAGTCAGGGCTGTTTTCTCCACATCAGACCACTAGCTATTTGAATCATAAACTGATGGAGACCAGGGCAATGCTCCATTGCACCTGGCATACTTCTAGGGCTCAACAAGTATCTGTTAATTGGCTACCAATACTTGTTAATTGCTAGTACTTCTGGAACATCTCCCAACACTTTATAACAGTACTATTTTTCTATGTTTATACATAGAACTCTTAAAACTAACAGCAACATGTATCCAAGCTACCAATTGACTTCAATGTAGTACTGGTATCATCCTAGAAACAGTCTGATACATGTTATTGCTCCACCTCAGAATTCCTTGTTACATAAGGTTTCTTTTTTCTTCGCCAGGTCTATAGAATATTACTGAGAGTTGAAAATACCACTGGGTAGTAGATGGATCTACACAGTGTTACCTGTCCGCTTGGCATCTTTACAAAGGTTCAGGGAGTAGCTAGCTGTTCTGGGTTTGCATGAGTGGTTGTGGGTGCCACAGGTTCAGGAAGCCACTCTCTTCTCCTGGCCTGAATCAGCACAAACCCTCCCAGGCTCAAGTGGCCAACTGTATCTTTAGGGTTCCTACCCTTTCCCTGTGCTCAGTTCCTAAAAACCATGCCCTTTTCCAGAATGTTCAAGTTGCAGCACCTCATCTCACAGGGTACTACAGGCTCACTTAAAACAGCGAGGGAAAAGTTTCATTCTGTGCTAAGGCAACAAAGACATTAGGGATGTGGAGAAAGACCTGGCAGAGGCAAGATGACCGTCCCTCTTCCAAATTTTCTGCTTTCTTCCTACCTCTAGAGTACTTTATTTGTATCTTAATTATGGACTTTTTTTTCCTCTTGTGTTTTAAATTTTTGAAGACTTGTCAGTATTATACCTCTTTTATGAAATGAACTCTTACCACATTGAAGGCCACCCTCTGTGCCATGAAGAGAGTATAGGGCAGGGTTTCACACAATCCACTGCAGACATAATATACACATTGCTGGTGACAGGTTACTAAGGGACTGTTCTTGTTTCTTCATCACATTCCCTAGTAGCAAGGGTAGCCAGGGTATGAATCTTATTACTAAAGGAATTTTATTGCAACTGCTGCTAAAATACAGATTCTCCAGGATAATCACTAGAAACGCTACTCCATAAGGAGAAAAGACAGGATTTTCAACCAGCTTGGCTCAGAACACAGAAATCAACTTACTGCTTTCCCCTGCCCCTACAGAGGAAAGCCGATTTCTCTTTTATCCAAGTGGAACGGAGGCATTTCAGGCAGACTCTTCCCTATTAAAACAAGGGCTCTTCTGGGAAGGATTAGCTTCTTTTGATTTTGCTACAAAACCCCAGGTCCCCTACACAGAAAAGGAACTGACAGATTAACAAATTTCACAGCTTTCTGTATATCTCCAGCTCAGCTTGTCCAACAGCAGGAGATCAAACACTGGGTTCCCCCAAGCAAAACCATCAGGATGGCTACCTTTACCTCCTAGTCAATAGGAAAATAAAAGGTGAAGTAGAGAACTTCCAGGTCTCTCTAAATAGTAGGAGCTGTGTGGGTGGTTTATGGACCCTTCTACTGCACATAAGACACAGAATTAAAAATAATATGTCAAGAGAAATAAAATTATGATTGGGTATGAGGCACATTCCTTTATAGGGGCAACCAGGAGAGGGTAAAATTTTTAATGTCATGGGAAGAGGTTTAATTTAATGAATGAATATCATTATAAAGAGGTTACCAAGGTTTTTCATTATTTAAACTGTACTCTCAAATGCATATACTGTACATTTGTATATAATCTCTCACTCATGTGTAAAAAATTGCACATTAAATATGTGCATCACATTTATTAATATGCAGAGAAAAGATTTGAGCCTGGATCTCACCTGCATTCCACACGGTTCAGCTGTCCACACATGGAAAAGCCTCACCTTTGACCAATGCAGCCAACAGGGCTGCAAAAAGTCAGTGATTTTCAAACATTTTTTAGCAGCAGGATCCTTTTGTCAAACGAAGGAGTATTAGGAAACCTAATATACAGAGCAAACAAAAGCAGAGTTGCTCCGTTTGAGGAGGTGCTGGGAAGCCCAAAGCCCAGCCTTTCCAGGCGTCCTCCTCCATTTGGCACATAAGGGTGGGAAAGGACGAAGGGAAAGGCTGGTCTCCTTTGTTTGTGAGGTTGTTTCTTCTTTCTCAGTTATATGTCTCTGTTAGCACTAAAACCAAATATAAGACATCAATACTTTTAAAAGTTCGAAATTTAAGTAGACAAATCTCTATAGTCATGAAAAACCAAACCCACCAAAGTCTCTCGTCCTCATCTTGCTGTTATTTAACTGCTTAAATAGTAGGAATAAAAAATAATCTGCCTCTACACGGATCCCCTTTAAAAGCCAAACCAGTAAGCATCTGTCAGTGGAATGCACAATCCTCAATGTCCAGTTCTGCCTTGGCGCTACTCCCTGGGAATGCCACCTTGAAGGGACTCAAGCCTCACTGCTCTATGACTTCTTGTACCAAGGCCATTCTTTGATAGACTGGTAGGCAGGAACAGGTAGAAAACCACCTCCTCTGATGCCCTGATACTGTGCTCATATAGCATCTGTGTAGCTTCTCCAATAGAGTAGGAAAAGCTACTCTGTTGGTCTGTGGGTTTTCTGCTTTGACAAAACCTGCAGAGGCAACTTTATTTCAATGAACAGAATGAAAAAGCTCGCCCTTTTCTAGGCCACAGGCAGATATTGATTACTATCGATACAAATCTTACCTTCTCCATAAAGCCCGTCCTAATCATCATTTCAATTTTCAAAACTTATACCCCCCACCCCAAAAAAGATTTTTAAATGACACTGGTTTCAGAAAATCATTTGAGATGGTTTCTAATAATTTTTTAAAAGCAATACACACACAAAATAAAACAAACAAACAAACAAAAAGAATATAAGAAAGCAGCCAAGGAATAAAAAATGGCCTATGGCAAAGCATAAAGGGATATGAAAAATAACAATACCATAAGCTTTATGTGGGGAAGCTGCTAAAATTCACACAAAAATTAGTTCTGTGCTTTCTAGCAACTATAAAGAGGGGAACACAACATTATCTAGATTTAATTAAAGAAAACAGAAAATGTTCAGTTCAATTTTCCAACTTCTTTTTCTACCACTCCACTCCCTCCCACAATTACAACTGCCCCTTATATAAGAGGTCCTGGTACATTGTGTTCACTTATTTCCTTAACTTTACCCAGGCCTTCTCCTCTGGGCAGAATGCTCTTTCTCCTTCACCTACTTAATTCGTACTCATAGCCTTCTTTTGAGAAAGCCTGTACTGACCCTCTTCTAGGGTCAGGTGAAAGGCTCTTTCTCCAAGAGCAACATGTGCTTTGCACTAATACAGCTCTCATCATATTACATTATATTTGTTTAGTTATGTGCATTTCCCACTGGGCTGAATGTATTTTAATACATTTAAATGAATGAATATAAAAAGGACAATGAATAATATATTGGGCAATTCCTGGACAGCAGTTTTATAAAAACGCAGAGACATTGTACATTGCATGGTCATTTCTTACGCATTGAGCAATTGTCAATTAGGCTAAGTTGTCCTGTATTGTTAGCTGCAGAAGCAAGATTCCCTTGCTTGAAAAAGATAACTAACTACACTTCCTGAGAATAGGATGGTGTCTTATCTTCTCAGTTCAGTTCAGTTCAGCAAACATTTATTGAGTACCAGTAATTATGCTAAGAGCAGGAGAAGCAAGAGAAGCAATGACGAATAACACACAGTCCTATTCCTTTTAGAGACCTGGCTGGGGAAACATAATGCAAATGGGTAAGAACTGCATTGGAGCTTAGTCCAATCCCGACTGAGGATGTCAGGGAAGACTTCCTACAGGAGGTGCTGTCTGTCCTAAATTTAAATAATAAATTTGTCTGGTAAAGGGACATCCCAGGCAGGAAAAAAATATATAAGAAAGGCATATACAGTAAGAAATGGCACAGTTTGTGCATGGAGACTAAAGAGGTTTATGTTTATTGAAGGTTACAATGAAACAAGGAAGGAATGTGAAGAGCAGTGGTGGGTAAGGAATTCATATGTGACTGATGGAGTAGGTAGGATCCAGGTCACAGAGGTCTTTGTAGACAATGGTAAGGAAATTGGATTTCACCCTATAGGTGATGAGCTGCCACTGAATGTAGAAATATTGATTTAGCCCTGTGACTGGCTGGTGGGGAAGGTTGGTGTTGATCTGGGAGAAGAAAATCAATTAGTAAGCTCTTGTAACATTTCAGAAAATATATAATAAGGATTTATAAATGGTTTTAAATAGCCAAATCATAATGATGCTTCTCCCTTTTCCTATTATAAATCACCCTAAAGCAATAAGAAAAATAAGAAAGGGAAATGCAAACTCTATCCGTAATGAAAATCTAACTCTGAAACACAATATACGTGGGAAAGGAGTCATATATATTGTGTTCCAGGTGGTTCTGTCTTATCAGAAGGACCCACTCACAGAGAAAACAATCTTGAGTCATACAGAACCTCAGTGAGAACCAAGAAGGATTCTTGTTAAGCTGAAACAGAGCCCTAATCTGTTGCTAAAATGAACCTCCTCAAATACTTTTTCTGGGAAGAACTCACAGCATTAAAAAATAAGCAATAGTTAAACATATAAAGATAAAAGAAAATAGCATAATAATGATAAAATAATATAGGAAAATAAAAGACAGAAAGGGACAGGAAAAACAAATAACAGATATGGAATAAAATATGCTTCCATAGAGCAAATAAAAATTGCAAACACACTGCTATAATTTAAAATAACCTGTATGATGAAGAGCTCACCTCTATAAGAGAAGGGTTTGAAGCAGAAATACAAGAGCTCAGGGAAGGTATGTTGATACGAGAGAAAGAGACACAATATAAACTGGCAAAGCTCAGAAAAGAAGTTAAACAAAAACAGGAAAAAGAAAAAAAAAGCAATAAAGCAAAAAGAGCCTAGAAAATAATGTAAGATTGTTTTTAATCTCATTTTCCTCAGTTTGCTCAGGGAGTAAAAAAGGGTTGGGATGGGAGAAATTATGGCTCTCTTTTGTCTTTCCTGTCTAGTGTACACATCCTAGATGTCCTGGAAGAAAGGAACCAAAACTACAAAACTGAAATAGAAAACATATTTCAAGATATGCCACAGAAACTCCCGAGAAATTAAAAAATAAAGAAAAAATTCAATCTATTTAACAAAAAAATTAATATTCCAGAAGAATCAGTACATTATGGCCAACCACAAGGCATATGCTAACTAATGAGTAATTGGTATCAAAATATTTTTTATTTTGATATAATATATTGTATCAATATATTTGATAACAATATATTGGCCAAAATATTTTTTAAAGGCTTTAAGTATTGAAGTTAAAAAACAAAATAAAACAACAACAAGATGCCTTAATGAAAAATATGAGACTGGTCTGAATAGTAACAAATTATTGGAGTAAAAATTCTCATGGAAAGAGGATGACACATACATTTTATACCCTGAGAAATGATATTAAAATATAAAAAGATACAGACAAACATATTTTCAGCATTCAAGAATTAGCCTTTCTTGGAAGACAAATTTCAGATAACCAAGAGATAAATGGGAAAAACTATAGGAAAAAGACTTCTGGGGACAACTGAATACATTTACCTATAAGACTAAAATCAAAATAAATGCAGGAATTACAGTGCAGAGTAGAATGTTCATGCTCTAAAATGATGACGTCAACAAACTGGGGTTGGAAAAAGGAATCTGACAAGAGGTCATAAACACATACTATTTTTTTCACCTTTCTTCTGTAGTGCTTCATAAAATATTTAAGTCTAACAGAATTATATTTTAAGGCAGTAAGACAAACATTAGAAAATAATTATTCAAAATTAGGTAGTGGAAGAATTAAAGAGAGGGAGAAAATTAGAAATTCAAGGAAATACACTGATTTTGTAATTGCTGCCAACAGGAAATCAATAGATATTGTCCAGAAATAGAAGATTCAGTATGTTATATAAATTTCTATTCATAAAGCTAAGCACTTAGAACAAAAATACAAATACTCAAAATTATCAGACACACAGGAAAGCAAACAGACCATATAATGGGAGTTTTAAAGTAATCATAATTAAACACAAAGAATATACTGTCAAAACTAAGACATATATGTCATATCTGTCAATGCAAATGGCCAAACTCACCTGTGAGAAGAAAAAGGTGGATTAAATGCTGATGATCCACTGATTTATATTTGTACCTACACTGTATGTAGTTGTCTACCTGCAACTCATTGGCATTCTTTTACCATATTTCAATCTTAGCTAATTGATAGTTGCAAATGATACCATGTAATCTGTGTTTAGTTGATGATTAATGAAATCCAATGTTTTTCTCAAGTTTATTGGCCTTTCACATTATTTGGGGCATTGTTAATCCATTGGTTCCCACATCATTGATAGTAAAAATAAAGCCTTCAAGGCCCAGTGGGATCTAGCACCTCCACCTTTCCGGCCTTATCTCTAAATTGTCTATCTAGGTCTCATTGCAGGTTTCTGCTCATCTCATTGAACTCTGAATATTGGAGTAGCCTGAGGCTCAGTCTTTGGATGGTTTCTCTTTTCTATCAATACTTATTTCTTAGTGGTCTAAGAAATGCCACCAATATACTGGCAACTTTACAATAGATCAACTCAGCTGCGACTGGCAATTCTGTGTGGTCTAAAAATGCCACCAATATACTATAAACTTTACAATGGATACACTCAGCTGCAACTGCTCCATGACGAACCCCCGCTCCTGAACCCAGACTCAAATCTCTAACTGCCCACTCCCCATCTTCATGTGGGCTCAAGGAAGCCAAGGCCTGACAACCTGGCTCCACGCTCCTCTCTGACTGCACTATCTTCTGCCACCGTGTTCCTAGTTCACCACTCAATGAGGCCTTCCTAAGTCTCCCTAAATAAAACAGCAATACCTTTATAGCTTCAATATTCACAGTCCCTGATTTATTTTTATTCATAGGACTTGTCATTATCTGATACATTTTGTAGATAGATAAAAGATAGAAAGCAAATATTCATATAACACTGTTTCTAGGGCATCGTTTTGCTGCTTTACAGATAGCGTTAATAAATATAATCCACCCAGCAACCCATGAAGTAGGTACTACAATTATCTTCTTTTTATAGATAAGTCAAATGATGCACAGCTCAAGGTCACACAGCTAAGTGTGGAATGCCACAGTTTCAACAAATGCCAGGTTTTGGACTCTAAATTATATGTTCTTAACCATTACTCTTTATAACTTTTCATCTATGTATATATGGATGTTTACATCATACACATATTTTTTCCTATCTTCCACTAGAATTAAATGCCACTAAGGCAGAAACTTTGTTGTGTTCACTATCCTAACCCCAGCACCTAGCACCTAGAACAGGGGACCTCACATATACTTGGCAATGAGTAAAACTTTATTGAATAATGAAACCGCATATCTTTTCAAGGAAAATAAAAATTGATGCTAATTAAAGACAAAACTTCCGTCTGCTTCCAGTATAATAAAAAAGGAATGTTTCAGAATAATTTTTAAAAAAATCTGTGTATCTGTCTGCGGAGTTACAGCAAACTTTATGGAACACAAGGAAAAATGAAAAAAGTCTGAACATTTTACATTCTAAGTCATGTTTCCGAGAAACAATTCTAGCATATTTAGCATTAAGGGAAGGGAAATCCGACTGGTAAATTCATAACTCACTCCTGTGCTTCCACTGTAAAAAAAAAAAAAAAAATCTAAATAGAAAGAGATAAAGGCCTTAAATGGGGACCATAACAATGAGAATGGAATAAAAGGAAACACTACAGAAATCACAAAGAGAGATATTAACAGAGGCTGTGGGTTCATTTAATTTGGCAACACAGACTGACTTTGACTGACCTGGTAGGGGGTTGTGCCACAAACTGTGTAAGGGTCAAGGTCAAGGGTGACCTGTTGGTTCTGTTTTACTTGTGGAATGTCTATGTTGGGATCCTGAGTTGGTTATTTGATATGGAAGGCTGCAGTACATGAGGTCACAGCTCACTGACTTGAAAGTCATCAAACCTTGGAAATAGTCCTTAAAACCAGGGGATTGCTCAGGCAGCGAGTACTGGGTAGAGAAGCAGGTCAAGGGCAGAAACTTGAGGAACTCTAGAGTAGTGACTGGTGCTATGTATTTTGCAATGTATGTGTTCAATAAACAAACACTTACGAATAAGAGAATGAGAGTGCCGTTGGCCTGCCAAGACTTAGAAATACAATTCTGAGATTCTGCATTTCAGTCAAGCTAAAAAACAGGGATTTTTGAAGCCACAGAACCTTCCTGTTTCACTCCCTCATCGAAGATGGTTTTTGAGTGGCTAGCTACTTTTCCTGTATTTTACTAGACCTCAAAAATCTATGTAACTAAGTTATAGATAGAAGTAACTGCGATGCCTACAATCAGTTCAATACAACAAATATTGACTGAGCACCCCTGATATGCAAAGACATCTTGTTAGGGCCAAGGGAGAGGGGTCAACTGTGTGTATAAAATATCATCACCATTCTCAGAGAGTGTAAAATGCAATTTGGAGAGAAGACAAATCCATTGATAGCCTGTGTGCTAGAGGAATGGTATAGACCATAAAGTTGCAAGGGTTCAGAGGATGGAGAGTCACACTGAGCTTGGAAGTTCATAGAAAGTCTCCTAGAAGAGATGGGATTGATCTGGACTGAACTACCAGGGGTCAGGTAGAGAAGGTCATTCAGGTGCTTAGGTCTGAGCCAACTCAGGGAGTTTTCAAAGTTCAACTTTCCTGTGGGAATAGTTTGCAAAACAACTGAGAATAGAAGGATGGAAAGGCAGAGTGTGGGAAATCAAGGTTGCAATCAAATACCATGTTTGATTTATCACATGCATCCTCTGTCAGTCATCTGGTGGAGCACTACCTTTTGTTCCCCTTATTTTTGTCCTGTTTTGTACCTCCTTATAGTACACAATAGAGATAAGAAGACCGAAAATGTAAAAGAAGGCTTCCCTGCTCTGCCTAAATATGAGTCCCATCTAATTTTTCCTAAGACTCAGTTCTGGGAGTAAACGCTTTGGGACATGGACATTGAGAAGGTAGTCAGCACTGGAAAGAAGGGGAAAGTTTAGTGAGTAGTAGGTATTTCCAGAAAAAGAATCCTAAAGATGCTTAATTTACAGGGGATTTTCATTGCCAAGTTATACAAGTCACTTTGGGTAGAAATAGAATGTGGCTTTGATAAATTACTTAAAGTCAAATCCCATTAGAAATTTGACTAAGTTACTTCAAACCCAGCCCAAGACTAGCCAATTCAGACAGCTCCTGTGCTATAAAATGGCAATCCAATGGAAGGATTCAGTGCATCACTAAAACCAGTAGAAGTCTGGGCTCTCCCCAGAGGACTGGGTCCCTGAAGCAAAGGAGGGACAGTGTCTCAACTCCACATCTTCACAACCTTGGGAAAGCCACCCTCCTTTTCCTAGCAGGCAGCCAACTTCAACGATGCATCCTCCTACCACCAACTGCACTTTCTGTACTCACCTGAATGAAGATATATTCATCCTGGACAACCAGGGAACTGATGTCAATGGAGCGGGCAAAAGGCCCACTTCTAGTTGTCTCGGCACATTCCTGGATCCTGCAGGTGAGGTAGTGAGCATCTGAAACAGGAGGGTAGAGTGATGCTTAGATACAAGTGAAAATCATGAGGGAGCCCCAGGTAGCATACAAAACTCTACTTCATGGGGGAATCAACAAGGTAATTTAAAATAACAGTGAGATTTCATGCTTTTGTCCACAGAATTTATAATAATTCCCAAAAAATCGTAATATCTAATTTGGGCAGAGAAGTGGAAAAATTGTTCATCTCATATCAGACTGCTGAAAGAGTAATTTGGTATAGCTTTTTGGAAGAACAAATTTGAAATATGTATCAGAATTTTAAAGGTACATATCTTACATCAGCAATTCTAATTCAAGGAGAATCTGTTCTCTCTAATTTTCTAATTAGAGAATTCTAATTCTCTAGATGTTTTCTAGAGAAAGACTCATATTTCCACAGAGGCAAGGGCAACGATATTCACAGTGGCATTGTTCATAGTAGTAAAAAATTAGAAATAGGCTCAATGCCCATGAATTAATGATCACCTAAATAAACTATGATATATGCATATGACAGAGTACTATGCTGCAATTAGAAGAATTCGGTGGATACGTATGCTTCAACATGGTAATTTCTCCAAAACGCACTGTTCTGCAATCTTTCAAAAATTAGTTAGCATCATGTGTAGTATGATCCAATTAGGCTTGTGCCATACTGCACAGAACAATGTTTAAAGGATACATATGAAAATTAGCTATGATTACTTTTAGGCAAAGAAATGGACTCAAGGAAGTAGACAGAATTCAAGTGAGACCTCTGCTTTTTACATTAGATACATTTTTATTATTTTTACAACAAGAATGCATTCACTTCTTACATAACATGTACAAAACTTACATAATTACTTGTAAAAATCTTCTAGAGATCTCAACAGCTGAACCCTCCTCCCTCGCCTCAAGCAACCCAAAAAATGCATGGTACCAGCTGTAGCTGAATGGGAAATCTTTGGCTCCAAAAGGCTTTCTGATTATGACTAGAAGGTTATCCAAGGAAAGGGAATCCATTCGGTTTTTTTGCTCTTTAATTAAGGAAAAACTACAGGTGAGTCTCTGTGAAGAATCCACCAAAAAAATTTGCTTTAAAAAAGGTTATTCATTTAATGAAATTTAAAAATAAATGATCAAAATGGAAAGTAGAAATCACTTTAAGATTAAAAGTAGAGAAATCTTATTATCTAAAACCACATGCATTATTACATATGCCTATCTAATGCAATTGTTTCCTTGTATGTGCACATATGTGTGCAGAGGTGTCAGGGGCTACAGAGAAGGAAGTGGTAGGCAGCAGATAAATAAAAGCAAAAGACTTACAGAAAAAAATGTATAACAATTGAGATTAAACTATGGGTACTTTAAATGATCTCTGTTTAAGTAATTATGGATGGATTCAGCAAATATTTCTCATGCACACACTACATATTGGGTATTGTTTGGGTACTAGGAATAAGCAGTGAATTAGAGATTTTCCTTTCTAAAAGAACCTCTGTCTAGGAAGGGGTTTACTCATATATGTAGCTAGTTACTACACATATTAATTTAGAAACATGATGCTACTTTAAGAAAGAAATATTTTAATGGGAAATGTATTCATTACATGCTGTATATAACTATTTCTTGAATGTTCAAATTTGAGCAATGTCTGTTTCCTTTGGTAACTATAATCTGACTAGGTCTAGTATTGATTCCATTCGCCCCATCAACAGTCATCATCTGCACAGTAGCTCCAGCCTCTAAACTTTTCTTTCTTCTGCATCCCATTTGGTTCCCAATCCTTGACAATTCTGCCTCTGAAGTGTTTCCAGAGTTTCTTCTCTTCCCTCCATTACCTGTGCTCTTTGCCTGGGACACTTTCTTGTCATCTGTGTTCCTTCTGCACTCATTTCACATCTAGGGTCCATGTGGATGATGAATTGGAAACTGGATGGACTTGAAACAAGTAGCCAAAGGCATCTCTAAAGCCTAAGCCTGGGCTAATACCTCCCAGCCTCAAAACAACCACTATTGCTGAGTGCCTTAGGATATGGCCTGAATAACTTTGTATGACATGGCAGGCCTTTATAACTATCCTAATAAACTCAAACGCTTAAGGGGCCATGCAAATTATGTATGAGAGTAAAACTAGCGGGGGTAGATGATAAATGGTGGCTGGCACAAGGTCTCAGTGTCAGGGATCTCTGAGGAGCAGCGGAGACTACACTCAAATGCAAACATTCGCCTATTTTAAGGGGGAACTGCTCCTCCACACAGAATTCATATGCAAAAAGAAGACATTCTGAGTCTCTAAGAAAAGCTAAATGCCTCTATTTTTTAAATGTTAAATTTCCTTATTTTTATAATTGAGAGCTATTGGGAGGCCGAGGTGGGTGGATCACGAGGTCAGGAGATCAGACCACCCTGGCTAACATGGTGAAATCCCATCTCTACCACAAATGCAAAATACTAGCTGGGTGTGGTAGCATGTGCCTGTAATCCCAGCTACTCGGGAGGCTGAGGCAGGAGAATTGCTTGAACCAGGGAGTCAGAGGTTGCACTGAGCCGAGATCGCGCCACGGTACTCCAGCCTGGTGACAGAGCAAAACTCCATCTCACAAAAAAAAAAAAAAAAAAAAAAAAAAGGTTGAGAGGTAATTTAAATATAAAAGATGGTACAGGCCAAACACCTTGAGGCCAACACTCCAAATGAAACCCAGGAGCCACTGTTTTTTTTCTTTTCCTTTCCAACTTCTATTTTAGATCCAGGATGCACATGTGCATAGGCAAATTGCATGTTGTGGGGATTTGGTGTACAGATTATTTCATCACCCAGGTAATAAGCATAGCACACGATAGTTTTTCTATTTTCATCCTCCTCCCAACCTCTTCCCTCAAAAGTAAGCCCTGGTGTCTGTTGCTCCCTTTTTTGTGTCTGTATGTACTCAATGTTTAGCTCCCACTTATAAATGAGAACATGTGGTATTTGTTTTTCTGTTCCAGTGTTAGTTTGCTTAGGATAATGGCCTCCAGCTCCATCCATGTTGCTGCAAAGGACATGATCTCATTCTTTTTTATGGTTGCATGATATTCCATGGTGTATATGTACTACATTTTATTTATCCAGTCCACTGTAGATGGGCATTTAGGTTGATGGCATGTTTTTGCTATTGTGAATAGTGCTGTAATGAACACATGTGTGCATGTTCAATGATTTATATTCCTTTCTGCTCTGCAATTTGGTCATGACCTTCCTTATAAGGAAAGAGACAGGCTTTCTTACCCTCATTCCCTGACCCTGTAGCAACAGCTTGTCCAACATGCTTTAAGGACAGCCTGTATGCCCCTTCCTTTTTGTCTTGGTTCACAGAGAAAGCCAAGAGTGGCCTGGATTTCCACTTCTGGCTGAGAGGAGAGGGGAAGGCAGGGAGCCCAGGCTGTGCTTTGGAGCACATTGCTGCTAGCCCACCAGGAATATTCTTGGAACCATACAGTCTTAGTAATTTACTCCTAGAATAAAGCACTAAAACAATGAAAACCTGCAGTAAAAACATGTAAAGAAACCACAGGTGTTGATATGGCAACCTGCTTCCTTCTTACCAGCCAGTGTCTCAGAAAGCCCTTTGCACTGGTAATCAAAGGTACACACAGGGGGACACCTTCTTATTCCCACACACTGGTTCATTTCCCTCTGGCTATTTACTATTCACTCTCTCATTTGGACACTTTGAAAAAGGAAGCAAGTGTATTCGAGGCCACCAGAAACAAAATCAAAACCTACCTAAACCTTGGCCCATAGCAGGTATAATGTTGTGCCAAGCTTGTCCTAGTTCTTGGCTCGCTCTCTACTTGCCACTGCTCAGTATGGAATGAAAGGTCCAATTTAACAGGAAGACAGCACTGAAATGAGTTTTTGAAAATCACTGAAAATTTGGTGGCCTTGCCGTCTTAGCTGGACTCAAATATTGGAAGTCTCAATGCTTTTATTTTTCAAAACATAGAGATTGGATAAGTGCCGCAGTGCCCTCTGCCAGGAGAGAACCGAAGTAGGGGCATGGGGAAACTAAATTGTCAGGCAGGCCTGGCGGTCAAACAGAAGTGACTCAGGGTCGTGGAGGAACTGTGGCTGTCAAGGGTGAGCAGGGAATATCATTTCGTTCAAACCTCACATATGCAAAATGTCTCAAATTAGAATTCTAGACATTACTTCCAAATGAGGCTGAATACAGTTATAGAGATTCTATGATGAAATTCACAAAGGTATTTATGACATAATTTAAAATCCCCAAATAGGCTTCCAACAAGTGTGGCCTTCTTATTTGTTTTTTAATAACGCCAGATACCAGATAAAATGAAAGTGGTCCAGATCTCTTGAGCATACTCCAGTGGTTCTGAAAGCAAGGACTCCGAAGCTAGAAAGTGCTGAGATCAAATCCGGGACTTACTATGTGCAGACTGGCCTTGGCCAAGTAGCAGCATGGCTTTTCAGCGGTGAGGCACAGACAATTTAGTATGTGCCTCTGAGGACTGTCATCAGGATTAAACAAGATTATGCATGAAAATTGTTTAGCACATTGTGGATACATTTTAAAAGATCAATAAATGTTAGTTATTTTTTATTATGAAGAGAAAGGGAAAGGAATCCAACTCTCAGCATCTTTTACAGATTCAATTTATAATAAATGTCCTATTTTGTTGTGGAGAATTGAAAGACCATGATATCACAGGTTCTACAGTGAAGTCATATTCTGAATTTAAATCATCGTTTACCTTAAGTGCAATGGATGTTCGGACAAGAAAGAAAGTATATGGGCTGGACAAATCAAGGAGAACTTCAAAGAGGAGGTAGCCCTTGAGTTTAACCTGGATGTGAAATTGTGCTATGTGAAAGGAAATTCTTGAATGAGGGAGTTAAAAATGCACATGGACTTTTATGTAAGCAAAGCTCATGAAATACGTGACATACTTGCATGTTAATGAATTGACTTTGATTAATTCTTATTCTTGAACTTCTATTTTCTAACCTCTCCTTTGAAATATCCTCAAATGAAAAACTAGAAAGAACAGACAGTAGAAAGATCTCATTTGGATATCCCTATGTAAAAACTAGAGAGTGATTTCCTAAATAATCTTCATGCTTAATATATTTCTAAATGTAAAATGTCTTCCTAATATATTTCTAAGAGCTGGTGTGGTCACTGCTCCACTTACAAAAACGAAAAGTCAAAGGCTTTGTTCCCTGCACCAGGAATAGAAGATTATTCTGCTATTTGGAAATATGCACCCCTATTTCAAACTAGCTCTACAGCTAGCAGGCCCTTTAGGGAGCATTGTAACATCATTTAAATGGAGCCAGCATCCATGTCTTCTCACCATACAGACGTGGGACCAAGGATCTCATATGGTGAGAAGGGCTGCCTTACACTGACTGATTCATTCCTTTTGTATTGGCTCAAGGGGTATAGAGAAGCTGCAGGTGTCAGACACATCCTGAGGTTCCAGGAAGCAGAGAACATCAGACAGGTTCTTGCCCTCAGAAGATTCCTATGCCAGTGATGGAGACAGGATGTTCACAAATGAATATGCCTTAGGATGCTTAGAGAACTGGTGAATGTGGGAGAAGAGATGGAGAAAATCTGACGCCCTTAGCCTTCTTTTCTTCCTAAGAGGCTGTATTTCTGCTCAAAGTTGCACAGGACTCAGGCAGGCAGCCACAGCCTTTCTCTATTCAGCAAGACAAGCCCCTCATCTACATCAACAAATTTCACTGTAAAGTCCAGTTCTGGTTCTGCCATACCTTTCCAAAAGGATCACCTCTTTACCAGCAGAAATAAAATCTTAGCCACTTTTCTCTTCCTGGGCTGACTTTATAAAGCTTCAGTGAATGCTGGTTAAACTGAACTGAATGACATTAAAAGCCTCTACATTTTGTTATGTTTAATTACATGGTGTCCCGTGATTATGTTTTGCCTTTGAGAATTACTAAGCATTCAAACTTCCTAGACATCAAGCCTCTTGTCATCTCAGAGAAAAAACTTTCTGTGATTTACTCAACTTCCATTCCTTTGGGTAATAATATACTATTGTCACAAATTGAAAAAGTGAATTAAAATTGTGAACAAAAAGCAAATTCAGCTCTTTAGGCCTTCTCTTAGAGAAATACCCGTGAGCTGTTTATTTTATGTAACATTAACTCTCAAATGAAAATAAGTGAAAACAAGCAGATTCAAGGTAACTCTAAAAAGTTATTTAGCTTCCATCAGCATCCTTTTTCTTGACTGGGGAGTGCAACTAACCTATCTGTAAAGACAAGGAAGGAAGTAATATTGCTGCAAATACCTAATACAGAGCTTGAAGCATAATCGATTCTAAAAACAAACAAAGGCAACAAACAATAAAAGGAAGTTTCCATTCCTTCTACTGAGTTCATGGATTTTGAGCTTTGGTGAAACTTCTCATCTCCCATAGGAGAATCCCAGCATTATCTGCCTCCTTGATGGCACAGGAGGCAATCTGGCAGTTACAGATATTTAGAAACCAAAGTGACACTGAATATCTCAGCAGTCCTACCATCCCATTCAGGGCTCTTTCCACTGTACCTGCTAAATAAACTGACCCTGAATAGGATGACTATATGAAGATCATGATGACAATGACAATGACGATGACAACAGTAGCATTTTTGACTGCTCATTCTGTGTTGTTTGGTGTTCTAGGAACTATATGCATTAACTAATTTCATTCTTGCAACAACCCAGGGAGTTACAATTATTATCATTTCCCTGTTATAGCAGAGGAAACTGAGGCACAGGATGATTAAGTAATTTGCCTAAGTTCCACAGCTCTAGGAAGTGACGGAGCTAGAATTTGAACCCAGGTGATTTTACACCAGTACCTGTGATTCTAACCTTTACGTATTTTAAACATGGAAAGGAAACTGGGCTAGGTATTTGACTAGAATCTACACACTGGGTCACTCCCTGTCACTAGCCGTCTATGTGACCTTGGGCAAGTTGTTATACAATTTGATACCTTTTGGAATGTAATATAATGTGGGAATTTCTTATATGTTCTGACTTTTTGATTATGGAATCCTTCTATCAAAGACAATCCTATATCTCAATCCATAAAGTGAGTTTTACTCTGCCTTCTATGGTTGAACAGAAGGCAAGCAGTCTGCAGTCCCATTGCCTTTAGCCCCCACTTTGTCCTCGTTTTGGCCTCTGAAGTCTTAAAGAGCTGCTAGAGCTCTGAGTTCACACAATTCCAAAGTTATTGAATTAATCAATATTTTAAAGAGCCAATAATATATGTATCTAGAGCCTAGAGTTTAGTCTTCAAAGCTAATAGTTTCACTTGTGTGCCAAGCTCATTTGATTACTTACATATGCCTGGAATTTCTGTTAAGAAGTATTAGGCTTTATCTTGCCTTAGAAGAAGTGCCGTGATTGCTTAATGCGGGATGATGATGAGAAGAAAACAAAGGACGGTGGCATATGTTCTATGGGTTTTGATTCTGCACATTTCTAGAATGTCTAGATGCTTCGAATGTTTTGCCCATGTTCAGGTTCACTTATCACAGTGCCCCATGGGACACCATACTTGGGAATTTCATGCAGAGGAGCTCACTACTTCACAAAGCAGCCCAGGTCAGGTCATCTTTGGGTACTCTCTGTTGTTACTGCTTTGTTCATTGAACTGAAATCTCCCTTGTTGACAATTTTACTCTATAACAAGATCATCATTAGTAAACTGATGAAAAAAATAAATTATAAAAATACTTCTTATGTTTGTTAGTATTTTCAAATAGGTAAAACACCAGATGAGGGATCACAGGAAGGCTAAGAAATTTGTCCAAGGTCTAAATGACAGTTAGTTCTCCAACTTTTATGTCATCGAGTTAATACTCTCTCTATTGACACTTAATTGCCTCTTAAATGGAGGGTGTGTGTGTCCTTCTGTCTGTCGGTCTGTGACTGAGTAACTGTGTCAGAGAGAAAGCATGTGCAGGGACATTCAGAGAAAGATGAATTCCAGAAGCGAATGGGAGGAAAAGCCATTTGAATCCTGAATCTCATGACAGAAATAGGATTATTCGCACAGTTGTTAACCAAACTGGTTGGCTTTGCCCTGTTTAAACCTTGCCAGGGCAAAAAATAATAATTTAATGCTTTCAGTTTAATTCAGGAAGTCTGTCTCCTATAGAGGGAGACTAGGAGTAGGCCAGAGGAGAGATTCCGATATATAAACAAGAAAAGAGACCAGCTGATGTTGGGTTAGATCCAGAGTGTTGGAGTCAGCGTCAAAGTCAGAATTGTCAATGCCACACCACACAACTGAAAAAGCCATGCTCTGTGCTGCTTCTCTGGGGCTCCTTCAGTCTAGAGCAGCACCATCCAGTATATATTAAAAGAAAAAGCCACAAATGACCTTTTAAATTTTTCAGTAATCATGTTTTAAAAGTAAATAGAAAAGTGAAGTTCATTTATATGTTTTATTTAGCCCAAAATATTATCATTTCATCATATCATCAATATAAAAATTATCAAGGAACAATTTTTCATTCATAGTATAATAAATATTTGAAACCTGGTATGTATTTTATACTTAAAGCACAGCTTGATTTGGACAGCACATTTCAAGGACTCAATAACCACTGTGACTAAATGACTACCATAATGGACAGCACAGCTCTAGCATAACTTTCCCACACCCCATTTCTACCATCCCTTTGGATGGTGGAAACTCATCCAATTCATCCCACAAGATGAGGCTTAGCTATGGCCTCTTCTGTGCAGCCTTCGGTCACTCCTCAGCAGTTGCACAACCCTTCCTTTTGGTCCCCACAGCACTTTTTCCATGATACTTACAGCAGAATCTCCGTGGCCTTTAGCATAATGTGTTGCAACAATGATCTGTGTGCATATCTGCCTCTCCCATTAGCCTGTGAGCTACTTGGTGCTGATTGTGTCCTTTTTATCTGTATATACCCGGCAGCTCAGTGCAGTGCAGTGTTAATCAAAGTGCAGTCCCCAGGCCAGAAGCAGCAGCTGAGAGCTTGTCAGAAATGGGGAGTATATGTTTTAACAAGCTCTCCAGATGGTGCACATGCATGTTAAAGTTCAACCAGCTCAGATCTAGTGCGTTGGTTCTCAATCCTACATGTCCTAAAATCAGCAGGACAACTTTATAAAAGGCCAATGCCCAGGACCTTTCCCAGGAGATACTTCATTGATTGATTTGTGGTGGGGCCCAGGTAAGGGTGTGTGTGTGCCTGCTTGTTTGTTTGTGTCTGTGTGTGTGTGTGTGTGTGTGTGTGTGTATTTGTGAGGTGATTATAATGCTTGGTTTGAGGACCACTTGTCTTCTATACCTGAAGAGTGTTCCATTACAGAGGAGTGGATTGTGAACCAATGAACAAACATAAGAAAAGCACAAATTTCTATATTAATATTTGCGTAGATGCCAGTATCCCCATCTTACTCTGGGAACTACATAGAGCAATATTTAATTGATGTTTCATGAGCAGATCTTGCTTCTGTTCCCTGAATGAATAAATAAATCATTAATTCTGCTTCATTTTATAATTAGGAAAAAGGAACCTAGAGAGGTTTACTTGTTTCCCTGGATCACACAGCCTCTCAGTGGAAAAACCGGAATTAGAATTTAGGTGTCTACTCTCCACGTCTGCCTGTCTGTGAATAGCTAGAAGACCATATCTCTTTACTGCTCAAAAAGATAAACACAAATTGCAAACATGGCTCCCATGGAGATTGAGCAGAAAGAGTGGTACCTAATGGCTGCTGGTGCCCACACTTCAGCCAGGGCAGTGCAACCCTCTACCAGGGCTTGGAGAGTCATTCATTTCAACACCCTCCCCAGGCCCACCTATCTGCCTGGGCAGATAGTGCAGGCAGGCTTGGCAAGTCCGGTGTCATCAAGCAAGAAAAGACCTGGACGCAGTGCTGAGGGTACTGGATAAGTCTGTCTGCTCAGAGTACAGTCCCTGAGAAGCAGGGTACAGGATGTTACCTGACCTCATCACTGATGCTAGTCTCTGGTCTGCTCTACCACCACAGTCACAGTCTGCTCCTCCACCACTTGTCCGGGGCCACTAGACAAGCCACTTGACTTCTCCATTTCTCAGAATCATTCCTAAATTATGAGCCAAGTTAGTCTGGATCGGGGACCAGGGAAACAGAGCAAAAGCTGCCTTGTGCTCCAGAGATGGAGGCTGGGGTCTGAATGAGCTGAAATGAGTCCTAGCTTTTCATCTATCTCTTCCTGTATCTTAAATGTGAAACAAGCAGATAAAAGAGGCAGGTAGAACGGAAGGTGAAGTGACCAGAGATTGATTGGTACCATCCATATGTGAGACTGCAGCTGGGGGAAATATAATTGCTTCATGAAGCTTTATCATTATAAACAGGCAAGGATGGCCATAGATGGCTTGGTGTGCAGCATGAACTGTGGCTCAGGAAGCTACCTACCTGTTCCCTCATAGATCCTCTTCAACCCACCTTCACCAACCTATCTCCATTCATTCTTTTCCAGATTATAATTTACAGCCTTGCACATACCACCTCTCATGATTCTGGGAACTTGCAAGTTTCTTCTCTCTATCCAGAATGCTCAGATAATTTCCTACTAATCCCTAGTACCAAATCAAACATTCTGTTTCTGAGATGGTTCCCCTAACTTGCTTAGGTCATTAGTCTCAATCTCATTTATGATTCAACACAATATATTCCCAACTCCATTAAAGTCCTTGTCAGAGTGTGCTAGCAACATTCTAATACTTGTCCATCATTTGAATTGTCCATCATTCAAATACAAGTCTAGAAGCTCCTTGATGGTAAGGATGATATCACATTCACCTGTGTGTCCCCTCAGTGCACAGTATATATAGATTTTAAGTAGATGTTGATTGGGTAAAAGCATAAGTAAGCGAATGAATAAATGAA
The DNA here is from genome assembly GCF_000001405.40 of Homo sapiens. Taxonomy (NCBI): domain Eukaryota; kingdom Metazoa; phylum Chordata; class Mammalia; order Primates; family Hominidae; genus Homo; species Homo sapiens. Next base: position 105,094,461 of record NC_000010.11, on the reverse strand, counting down.
TGAATGAGAAAAGCAGGAATTGCTATAGAACTAGAAGTCAGGAACTATGCCTCCTAGCTTTTATTAACCAAAAATATTAATTTTAGTATTTTTAATACAAACATATTTTTCAATGTACACACAGTGAGTTTTTGGCATAGAGTTCTGTAAGTTTGAACAGATATATAGACTTACGTAACCACCACCACAATCAGGTTACAGAACAATGACATCATCCTAAAAAATATTTCATGCAGCTTTTCATGTCAAATACTTTCCCCACTCTGGAAACCACCAGTAAATTCTCTATCTATATAGTTTGTCTTTCCCATAAGATCACATAAATGGAATAATACAGCATGTAACCTTTTGAGATTAGCTTATTTCACTCAACATAACACCTTTAAAATTCATGTGTTGTTTCAAATATGAGTAATACCGAGTAGCATCCTATGTTGTAGATGTGCCACAGCTTATTAATACATTCACTCATTCAAAGATATTTGTTTCCAGTTTTTGGTGATTATTAATAAATCTCTACAGACATTTGTGTACAGGTTTTAATGTGAATATAAATTTTTCATTTTTCTAGGCTGAATATATAGCAGAAGTGGGATTGCTGGGTTATAAGATGTGTATAACTTTATAACAAACTACCAAAATATCTTTTCAGAGTAGCTGTACCATTTTGCATCCCCACCAGCAATGTATGAGAGTTCTATTGCTTTACTTCTGTGCCAGCACTTGATATTGTCATTTTTGTTTATTTTGGTGATAACAATAGATATATAGTGATATATCACTATGGTTTTAATTTGCATTTCCCTAATGTCTAATAATGTTGAGCACTGTTTCATGTGTTTATTTGTAATCTTTATATTTTCTTTGCTAAATGATCTATTCAAACTTTTATTTAATGAGCTGTTTTTTATTGCTATGTTTTAAGCATTCTTTATATGTTCTGGCTACAAGTCCTTTCTTGGATATTGATTTGCATGTATTTTCTCCCAGTGTTTTAACAGTATCTTTTGAAGAGCAAAAGTTGTAAATTTTGATGAAGCTCAATTTATCAATTATTTATTTTATCAATTTTGCTGTTAGTGTAATTTTAAAAAACTCTGTCCATCCCAAGGTCATAAAAATTTTCCCCTATGTTTTCTTTTAAAAGTTTTATAAATCTATGTTTTATATTTAGATCTATGATCTATTTGGAGTTAAATTTTGTATAAGTTGTGAATCATTGTATAAGTTGTGAATCATAGGTTGAAGTTAATTTTCCCCCAGATTACTGCCCAATTGATCCAATACCATTGATTGAAAATAATATCCTTTCTACACCGAATGTGTTATATCCTGCAACCTTGCTCAACTCACATATTAGTTCTAGGAGATTTTCTTATGGATACCTTAGGATTTTCTACATAGGCAATCATGTCAATGAGAATAACAAGTTTTATTTTCTTCTTTGCAGTCTATATGAATTGTATTTCATTTTTCTTGCTTTATTGCACTGCCTAGGACTTTCAGCATAATGTTGAATAAAAGTGTTAAGAGTAAATATTCCTGCCATTTTACTGCTCTTCGGGGAGAAAGCATTCAGTATCTCATCATCAAGATGATGTTAATTTTAGGTTTTTTGTAGATGTCCTTTATCAGAAGTTTCCTTCTCACTAGTCCATTGGGAGGTTTTTGTTCTAACTTGCTTTTTTGTTTGTTTGTTTGTTTTTTCCTATCGCCAATTAGCTATGTGAATCTGGGCAAATTTGAGTTAAACTACCATGTCAGGAAAAACAGTAAATAAAACATTTTTGTATTTTTGATGATGCTCAAATGATGGTAGAGATGTGTGTGTGTGTGTGTGTGTGTGTGTGTGTTTGTGAATGCACAAGTGTGAGGGAGCACTCATTGCATACCACAAAGGAAAGGCATTATGCATTTTGTTAGGGTATGTAAATAAAACATGCCCAGACTAAGGCAGTTTTGCGATGTGTACTTTCTAAATAAAGTTGAGTTAGGGACAATTTACTAGATTGAAAAAGCATTATTTTAGCTATTAAAAATTGATTTTAAAAACCCTAGAATTCCAGTGGAGGATTTATAATGAAAAAATAAAATAAAATAAAAAACCTAGAAGATGGAACAGAACTAATATATTCTATACTTTAACCTAAGTACAGCACAAGACATTTATCTCTGTTATATTTCTGCCTGCCTTTATTCAATTATTGAATTCTGGCAATAGGCCAGAAACTGTTCTAAGTGTTTTGCATTTGTAATCTCATAAAATTTCACGGAAGTCCTGCACCATAGGCCTCATCCCAATTTGGACCAGAATTCTTGAACTTTCATAAAATAAATTTTAGCTTAATGTAAGAAACTACATTTTTTTAAAGAAGCTGTCCAGCATCAGAAAATAATGTGTCTTAAGCCTGAGCTCACGAAGCCTGAGAATGTACTGTTAGAGTTTTGGGAGAAGGGATTCCTACACCAGGTCAGAACTCAGACCATCCTCCAACTCTGAAATACCATGACCATGACAGATCACAAATATGGCCTAAACAGGTTGACTTAGGAGGCAAAACCCATGCGAGAGTTGTCCTGAAAACTGGCCTGTGGGTCATTTTCTGAGACTGGCTATTTGCTGTCCTCCTCCTGTCCTTCTATGCTCCCTGAAACCCCTACATCTCATTCTTCTCCCAGTTTCTTTCTCAGCCATAAGAATTGGATAATATAATTTTGAATCCAGGCTCCACCACCCTTATGATCAGTAATTTAAGTGTGTGACAGTATCTTCTTAAATTCCCAATAGCTCTTCAGTTAAAAAATACATTAAAAAGAGTGTAGGTCATCCCTGGCTGTCTCACCGATTTACATCTATTTAAGGATCCAATGAGATGAAAAGTAAGGAAGGAGGAAGGGAAGGAAGGAGGGAAGGAGGGAGGGAGGGAGGAAGGAAGGAAGGAACGAAGGAAGGAAGCAAGGAAGGAAGGAGGGAAGGAAGGAAGGAGGGAAGGAGGGAGGGAGGGAGGAAGGAAGGAACGAAGGAAGGAAGGAAGGAGGGAAGGAAGGAAGGAAGGAAGGAAGGAGGGAAGGAAGGAAGGAGGGAAGGAGGGAGGGAGGGAGGAAGGAAGGAAGGAACGAAGGAAGGAAGCAAGGAAGGAAGGAGGGAAGGAAGGAAGGAGGGAAGGAAGGAAGGAAGCAAGGAAGGAAGGAGGGAAGGAAGGAAGGAGGGAAGGAAGGAAGGAGGGAAGGAAGGAAGGAGGGAAGGAAGGAAGGAGGGAAGGAAGGAAGGAGGGATGAAGGAAGGAGGAAAGGAAGGGAAGGGAAGGGAAGGGGCAAGGAAAGGAAGGAGGGAAGGAGGGAGGGAGGGAAAAAGGGAGGGAGGACAGGAGGGAGGGAAGGAAGGAGGGAGGGAGGAGTACAGAGTGGCAGAAATATAGTAACAAATTCTGATTACCTTCTAACTCTTTTAAAAATAAAAATAAATCATATAAAACATATTCCCCCAAATGCACATTTCTGGCATGCATCTACGGTTGGCCTCCAACAGTAGATTTCTCCTGCAGAAAGCACATGCAGTTTTACTTAAACTCTGAACGATACCACAATGCCAACAGCCAGGTCAAAACAGAATCGCCTTCCATTTATACAACATTTTTCAGTTTCTCTAATATTCATCTTCTATTTGATTAACCTATAATCCTGGGAGGTGCTCCGGGCAAGGATGAGTATTCTCAGGTCACAGAGGGAGTTACAGCCCAGAGAGGTTAAGGAGTTTTTCCTGGTATCAAGGCCAGAGGGTAACAGAGCCGAGTACCCCAACTCACAGACAGGTGCTTGTTCTGCTGCACCTCTGCCTCACCACTAGTAGATTATTTGGCTCTGTTCTCAATCTATGCTAATTATATTTTTATATATTTTTGTTTAAGCTGATTTTATTTTTCCTGGATGGAGAAGAGCCCTTTAAGTATAAACAACTCTGAGAAGAATAAAATGCTTAAATTGTTACAAAATGATGCTTTTTCAGTCCAATTTTGTGTAAGAAGTACACAGCTGAACAAGGTACACAGCGGGTCATGTGTTTAAAATCCTGAAATTTCACTGCTAGAAGAGTCCCTTGTTTGTAGGGATAGTATAGAACTTGCTCATCACTTTCTCTCTCTCTAGGGCTTAAAATTATGTCTGACACTTAGCAGGCCATCCCTAAATATCTCGAATGGATGAATAAACAGTTTTGCAAATAATGCCCCATTACATTTTTTGGTAAGGTTGCCTATATAAAGGGTTCATACTTTGAAGCAGGCAGCCCTTGCAATTCGCCATGTGAATGTAAAATACCATGATGAGTTATGGACATTCCTCTTCAAATTACTCTGAAGATGCCAAAGAAATTACAAACAGGAGCCTCAAAATTCATTGCATTAACTCATATCCCCAGACAATTCATTCCCAAGAGTTTGTTTCAATGAAAAGTCTCCCTTAGGAAAGGACTTCTCACCCTTACTCTGGGAATTAAGGATGGATGTGGCTGTAATGGAGCTCAGAGCTTTTCATCTTCCCAAGATATTAAAATGCAAATTGGGGGAGGACAGAGACCTGCAGGCAGATCTCCCTGGGCCTAGCCTGGCTGTAGCAGAACTCACATCCATCCGTGGTCCGCACCTCCATGTGCACCAGGTCCGCCTCCTTATCCAATCCGGCCACCGACCTGGGAAAGGAAGGGAGAGACAGAAGCTCAGTGACAACACCGATAGCAGACAGCAAAGTGGGATGCACTCAGGGCCAACTGCTACTCAGAAATCCATTTTCTCAAAGAGGACCATCCTGCAGTATGGGAACCAGCAGAATGTGGCCACTGGCAGTCCCCACAGTGTGGCTGCTCCAAGGAACTGTCATCTGTAAGGGTCATGAGACATGAGTACTGAATGGTCAATAAGTCAACGATTCAAAGAAAATAGAGAAGAATACAGAGTGCATAGTCATGCTGGTCTACACCTTGCTCCTGGCCTTCTCCATCTTGCACCTTCCCAGAAGTTCTCCCTTCCCCAGTGTCTTCCATCTATCTCCTCTGTCTTAACTTTCTTGACTCCTTCCACCACTTCCTCCTCCTCTGCCCTCCCACTTTACCTGCCTGTTCTACCCGATGGGGAACACGGTATTGCCTCAGTTTGGGCTGTTTGCTTCAAGATATTCCTTCCTTCCTGAGTTTAATCCTAGGTCTCCTTCTTTATTCCTGCCTTGAAAATAACAGAAGTTTGGCAATAGACATTCAAAATCTGGTCTGACACGGACAAAATTCTCCTGGTGAGAAAGATGGAAAACCTTAAAGGTCTCTCTGGCCAACACCTAGAAGATGGAGGCCTGAGAATCCCTACAAACAATCCTCGTGGACCTCTGACCTTCCACACATAAAGCCCAGTCAGCTGTCTCCTAAATTAGAGACCTAGGCCAGAGTAAGGCCCAAAAAGTCCACTGAAAAGAGCTGACACACACATTAAAAACTCATTTACTAAAGATCACACAATCCACTCTCTCTGGCAAGCTCTTACTTATAGTCTAATGACTCAGAGTTTATACACTATTCTAAGATTTGTATTCTGGTTTTCCAGTCTTCAGCAGAGAAGCAGCAGCAAGTTAGAAATGGAAAGTAGAATTGAAAATGGTGAGACCCAAGAGCTGATACTTGGATAGCAAGAGAAATGGAAAACTTATGAAAAACAGACCTAAGAACTCAAAACCCAATCTTCCATGCCACAAATCCCTACACTTCTCAACAGCCCTGGGGGCATTACTGTAACACAGCACAGTTCAGTGCTGACATCTATGTTGCGGGGCTGAAGGCACAGAAGAAAAGAAACAGGGGCTGATGGCATCCAGGGTACTCTGTTTAAGAAATTAAGGCTGCAAGTGGTATGTTTTAGAAAAACTAAAATGATTTTTATTGGTTAAAATAAAATTATTACTTCGGCAGCAAGTGGTATGTTTTAGAAAAACTAAAATGATTTTTATTGGTTAAAATAAAATTATTACTTCTTGAAAGGTCGAAATTTAGTCATCTGAAAGTTCATTTATGTAAAACACTTCTTTCCCCAAAGAGGCTGAATAAATGAGGCTTTACTCTAATGGGTTATTTTTCCCAGTGATCATTGACATTCTATCGTTTCCTTTTTCTTTACCTCATTTTATCCTAACAGCAGACCCCTAAGGTAAGGAAAGCAGGCATCATTAGTCATGTTTGACTGAAGGAGAAATTGAGGCACAGAAAAAAATGGATGTCTGCCTAAGGCCACACAGGGACTAGGCCAAAATTAGAAAGACTTCCTGACTTCCAGCAGGAAGAGCTCCAACGTCCTTATCCACTCATCTCCCTGCCCCTCTCCTTCCCTAGTGAACTCTCATTCCTCTTTCCAAGCTCACTGGGCCTTGCCCCTCCAGCAGTCCTTCCTTCCCTAGTATCACTGCAGAGCCCTTTCCCTGCTCCCAAAGCATCCTTATCCCAGTGGTTCTCAGACTTTACTGCTAATGACAGCCCTGGGAGGTAACTCTGAAATATACAGATGCCTGTGTCCTCTTCGCCAGACCAATGAAATAAAAACTTTCACAGATGGGACCAAGGTGTCAGTATTTTTTAAAGGTCGCAGGTGATTTCCATGTGCAGCCATGTTTGAGGACCACTGCTTTGCACAGCACAATCAAATCATGTATGCAATTGCTAATTCATTTCTGTGTCTTCTCTATTTGGATATAAACTTTAAAGTGGGATCCTGTCTTATTTATTTTTGAACCATTGGGACCTATGTGTGTAGTACATATTAGGTGATACTGAAGTGTTTACTGAATTAATAAACAATCTGATCTACCTGTGTTAATGCCAAAATTTCAATGTAAAACACTTGAGGCCAGACACGCAGAGGACTGAGGGTACCACAAGGGACTATATGGATACTTTATTTGTTCTGAAGCCACCCGGTTTCTTTCTTTCTTTTTTTTTTTTTCCCAGAAGAGAAATGTCTCATTTTGTTAACCCAATGTATCCCAAATATATCTGACCACTGTAATATTTTTAGAATTTTTACTTTAAGTTCTGAGATACAGGTGCAGAATGCGCAGGTTTGTTACATAGGTATACCTGACTTCAAACCATACTACAAGGCTACAGTAACCAAACAACATGCTACTGGTACCTAAACAGATATATAGAACAATGGAACAGAAGAGAGGCCTCAGAAATAATACCACACATCTACATCCATCTGATCTTCAACAAACCTGACAAAAACAAGCAATGAGAAAGGATTCCCTATTTAATAAATTGTGCTGGGAAAACAGGCGAGCCACATGCAGAAAACAGAAACTGAACCCCTTCCTTACACCTTATACAAAAATTAACTCAAGATGGATTAAAGACTTAAACATAAAACCTAAAACCATAAAAACCCTAGAAGAAAGTCTAAGCAATACCATTCAGGACATAGGCATGGGCCAGGACATAGGCATGGGCAAAGACTTCATGACTAAAACACCAAAAGCAATTGCAACAAAAGCCCAAATTGACAAATGGGATCTAATTAACCTAAAGAGCTTCTACGCAGCAAAAGAAACTATCATCAGAGTGAACAGGCAACCTACAGAACGGGAGAAAAATTCTGCAATCTATCCATCTGACAAAGGTCTAATATCAAGAATCTACAAGCAACTCCCTGTTTCTTTATATCATGCTGGTACTCTCAGGATTAGAAGTTTCTCAGTTATTATTCTTCCATTCTCTCCCTAAGGTCACTGGCAGAGTAGCATTCAGAGAATTGGCACCATACTGACGAAGCCTGATTGTGGTCAATAAATACTATGCTATACTAAAAAGAAAGAAAAGTCTCTGCCTCTTGGGAGCTTAAAACAAGGCAACCAAACCAATAAAACATGCAAAGAAACTCTTCCCTCATCAGGAAGGCTTACTTCCTTCCACCTAGTTAAAATCTCACACATCTTTCAAGGTTGAAAGCAAGAATCAAGTCCTCCTGGAAGCCTTCCCTCGTCACCAGCTCACACTGATCTCTCTCCTTTATACTTCTAGAGAACCCAGAATGTAGATCACACATCCTCCAGCACTTGCATTATTAAGTTGTTCTCTTGAGTTGCTCTTGGCTCACTAGAGTGGACACCTGTGGTTTGGGTCTGCTCAGTACCCTTTCCTGTCATCCTTTATGGAGCTGTCTACCTGACTCCAGCTATGTGCTTTTGGCCAGGCTGGTCAATCACAGCAGCCCATGCCTCTGAAGCCCTGGAATGTCACGTGATCCAGTAGGGTCATGAGACATCTTGGCTATGGTGATCAGGTGATCACAACTTAGAAGACATCCTCAAGATTTCTCTTACTGAAGCTGTTAGGAAAGAATTGTCTCTCAAATCTTGTCACCAGGAGAAATATTCCTTGCCTGATAGGAATATCAGGTCTATAAAAACGATGTACATATACAGAGAGAAAAAAAAAATTGACAGTGTGACAGAGAAATAGAGAGAGAGGTGGTAATATGAAGACAATAGCCAAAAGACAGAGAGAAACAGAAACACACAGAGATAGAGAAAGAAACAGAGAGAGACAGAGACAGTTCATGCACATGTGTGCAGCTTCACACACATTCACCACCCTCCCCTCCCACACACACATACATCTAGAGAATCAGAGAGTCAGAGGTTCACACAAACAGGGAAATGCTCTAAGAGACAGACAGACCACTAGACACAGCTAAAGGTCCTTAAATCTGAATCCATTTCTTAGTTCCATCTCAGGTTTGCAGTTTCTTGATACATACAAGCCCATAGGGTGCCTTTGTTTGTGAAGGTGTGTGTATATTTATTTGCTTAAGCTATCAATTAGAAATAGAATGATTTTTATAAATATATGCAACTCACCAGACAGTAAACTTCCTAAGGCCAGAGACCCTAATTATCTTTCTTCAATATTTCTCCTGAGCTCCAGCACTGCTCAGGATTAGGCTCCCCTTTGGATGAAATGATAGGGGTAAGAGATTTGTACTTCAAAACTGCTCTGTCCCTAGGTCCACAGGGGAGGAAATGAAGCTGCTCAGCTGGCCAGAGGTATAGTAAAATAACTTGGCTGCTGAGGGTAGGAAGAACATTCTTCACCACAATCTGAGCTGTGGCCTGAGGCCCTCCTCCAGCCCACAGAGGGAAGCCGCCGCCCACCTTCTGCCATGTTGATGGCGTTAGCCTAGGGCTTTTCAATGTTGGCACTGTTGACATTTTGAGCTGGATAATTCTTTGTTGTGGAAGATGTCCTACTCATTCCAGAATATTCAGCAGCATCCCTGGCCTCTACCAGATGCAGTAACACTCTCACACAGTTGTGGCAACCAAAAATGTCTCTAGGGACTGCTAAATATCGCCTGGTGGGGATGGGTGGCAGAATCACACCCAGTTAAGAAGCACTGCCTTGGCCGGGCGCGGTGGCTCACGCCTGTAATCCCAGCACTTTGGGAGGCCGAGTCGGGCGGATCACGAGGTCAGGAGATCGAGACCATCCTGGCTAACATGGTGAAACCCCGTCTCTACTAAAAAAATACAAAAACAGCCAGGCATGGTGGTGGGCGCCTGTAGTCCCAGCTACTCGGGAGGCTAAGGCAGGAGAATGGCGTGAACCCGGGAGGTGGAGCTTGTAGTGAGCCGAGATGGCGCCACTGCACTTCAGCCTGGGCGACAGAGCGAGACTCCATCTCAAAAAAAAAAAAAAAGAAGAAGCAGCACTGCCTTAGCTGGACACGCTTAATTGCTGCTTGCACTCTGCGCCTCCCCTAGTAACAAGGCAGCACAAATAGGCATTCAAGAACTGCACTTCCTCACCTAACACAAACTGCTGAGAAGCCCATGAACTTATTGTTATTTAGAACCATAACAACTCACCAGGAAACTATCTGACATTCATTGGGTGTAAGCAATCAGGTCCCTCGTCTTAAAGTCCCAAGTCTCCACTTGTAGAAACTCAGTGCAAGGGAAGTACACACAAATACACCAAGCAAAGAAATACATGATGCAAACATTCAGAGTTTTCTTCTTTAAGGAAAAGTGGAAATCATAAGGGTTAAACTTGTGGAAATGTTTGGGAAAGTATATATAATAATGGTAATAAATGCTAATGGGTATTGAGACCATTCCTGTGTCAGGCATTGTGTTTGGTGTTTATAAGCATTATCTTCATTAATCCTCAAAATGAACTTTTAAGGAAGGTATCATTTATCTAATTTTTCTCTTCAGTAAAATGAGAATATCACATAATAACAATTCATTGATATTGAGAGTACACTATGTGTTAGCTATATTTAAAATGTAAATGTTGATTTTGTTTAATCCTCTCATCAACTCTATGAGTTAGGAATGATTTTTTCTCTACTTAAAAAGGCACAATTAGTCATAAGAGCTTAAACAACTTGCCCAAAGACATGTAGCCACGAAGCAACAAAACTCAGACTCAAACCAGGCAGGTGGCTTTGAGCCATAAGCTTAACTTCTCCTGTAAGCTGCCTCTCCTAGCTGGCGAAAAGAATGGGATTTGTGCCCATCCATCTCTCCTAGAGTAAGAATCATAAACATCATGCCTCATTGCCTCCCTTTCTCCAACATGTAAGTCCCTTTAAAGCAGCATTTAGGAAATACGAATGCATTCTGTATACATTTTCAATATTGCAGAAAATTTTGGTTCTAGACTACATGAACTGGAAGTCACTCATATTGAAGGTAATTGGTAAGAAGGAAAAGTTGAGAATAGAAAAAGGAGGTTGGGCCAACAGTAGAGGAGTAGTGACTGAAGATTTTTGCAAAGAAACCTTAAGAAGGATTAAACATGGCTGAAGAAAAGAAAACTTGGGGCTTGGGCTTCACTTTTTTGAGGTCTGTGATGATAGAATGAGGTGAGGCATGTGTAAGAGGGTCCGTGACATTGCCACAGGTATTAGGGAGGGGAGGAGAGGCATGCCTGCTCAGATATGCCAAGCAGGTTAATAATTGCCCCTGGCACCTCTTCCCTCTCAAGCATCCAAGTTCCTTCACATTTCTAGGACCAAATTTAGGCCAGGATAGACCAGAAGGCCATGAGCAGTATTCAGTGCAGAACTAGCCTCAGGACACATAAAGCTCCCTGTGCTTAATGTCTGCAAAAGAGTAAAGATGAATTTTCAAGCATCCTATTAAAACTGCCTGAAAAAAAAAACTCCTAGAAAGTTTCTAGAAAGCATCAGATAGTAAAGATAAATTGTTTCAGTATATATTATTATTGCTAATGTAAACAAGTAATCAATAATGCCTTTATTTGAGTATGCTGTATTCCTACTTTTAATTAAATGACTATAAAACAAAATTTTATAGGACAAAATAAATATGTGAAGATCAGGTATGAATTTATGAAAATCCTATGAACATTTAAAAAGTTCATAGGCCGGGCGTGGTGGCTCATGCCTGTAATCCCAGCACTTTGGGAGCACTTTGGGAGGCCAAGGCGGGCAGATCACGAGGTCAGGAGTTTGAGACCAGCCTGACCAACATGATGAAACCCTGTCTCTACTAAAAATACAAAATTAGCCGGGTGTGGTGGTGTGTACATGTAATCCCAGCTACTCAGGAGGCTGAGGCAGGAGAATCACTTGAACCTCGGAGGCAGGGGTTGCAGTGAGCCAAGATCGCACCATTGCACTCCAGCCTGGGTGACAGGGTGAGACTCTGTCTAAAAATAAATAAATAATTTAAAAAAATTACTCAATCATGAATTCTACCACAGGGATTTTCTGAAGACTAACATTAATGACTGGGGAAAAACTAACGTTTTCCAGTAGATTTTTCCAGTCTTCTTCAAGAAGGGAACTAGGATCAGGCCCTCTGTGTAAACTCTTCATCACATGTGTGCAAATAATGATTTTTAGTTTCCACATCTATAAAATGGAAGTTCATAATACCTACTTCATAGAGTTAGAAGAATTAAAATGAGCTAAGTAGTAATCCTTGAGAACAGTGTCTGACACATATAATGCAGTCGTTACATTTTAGCTATGACAATATTATTTTCTATTTGAAGGACGGATAAACTAATATACTTTCCTGCCTGTCTTCTTCCCCCAGCTCCCCGACTGATACTTCTACATTTGTTAAGTAACTAGTAATGGTAGTGTTTTTCAAGGCACTAGATATAAGAAGCCCCTGCTACTAAGAAGTTCAGTTTAGGCACCTTCTCCCTCTCTAGATTGAGTGTACATCACAAATCCTTGGAACCAACTCTTCACAAGGCTCCTGTAACAATCTGGTCTCCTCCCCAGTGGAGAAATCTTTGTACTGAGTTGAAATTACCTTTATTCCTCCTTATTAGACACAATGCTTGACCTCACAGGCTTTCACTGGATAGTGTATCAATTGATCCTATTATAGCACTTGGCACATGGTAGATCATCAGTAAATATTTGTTGAATGAACGGTTATAATACTTTCATTCTGTTAGATAAACTTCATAAGCATGGTGTTTGCATCTCAAAGACAAACTGTCTTATGGCCTAAAGAGGTCTCACTTTCCTGCCTGTGTCCCATGTCATGTTTACCTTGTAGATTGTTCGCCTTCCTGAGGGTATTGTCATTAATTGGATAACAATTAATGAGCTCAATAATAGCATAAGAATCATCTGAAAATCTCCATAATTGGGAGCCCTTCTGAGTTCTGACCAAAGACCAAGAAAGGATGCAGGGAACAAAAGGAAATAGGAAGCCACAGCCAAAACTCCAGGGAAGAAATGGAATCAGCTCCTAGAACCACAGACTCACAGGTGCTACTAACAGAAGTGCCAGAAAAGGTCAAGTGGCTTCAAACTTATTTTTAGCAACTTAACCCTTTGTGCAAACAGTCTCCAAATCCTACCATATAAAATAGGTCAGACAGGAACTTCTTGGGAACCATAACCGCTCACCCAGCCACGACAGTCCTCAAGAGAGCTGGACGCTACAACCTCAGAAACATCACAATCCTGTCCAACCCCATTCATGCCATAGACCAGAAACCAACCCTTTGCAAAGACACAGCTAGAGCTTGTGTCAGTGGCCCTAGAATCCAACTTGGAACATTAGTACCAGCCTCTTCATAACACACTTAGCTCTTGGTCTTGGAAGGGGGTGGCAGGACCAAGATCCTTTGTGTTTTTCTTCTTTGTGAGTATTATTTCCAGGGCAAAAACTTCCCCAGGAATTAAAAACACTGAATATTGGGGTATGCATGAGGGAAATATTAAGGGTAAAATACTGATAAGGTCAAAGTATGAATGCTTTATAAACTGATTAGCTAGATTTTAAATTTAAAAATGATAATTTTATTAATATTATTTTAACCGACAAATCATAGTTGTATACATTTACGGGGTACAATGTGAAGTTTTGATATACTGTATGTATATGCTGTAGAATGATTAAGTCAAGTTAATTAACATATCCATTACCTCATTTATTTGTCATCTTTTGTGGTAAATAAATTTGAAATATACTTTATAATTTTGAAATATACAATACACCATTTGTTGAACAGGGAGTCCTTTTCCCAATGCTTGTTTTTGTCAGCTTCATTGAAGATCAGGTAGTTGTAGATGTGTGGCCTCATTTCCATGCTCTCTATTCTGTTTCATTGGTCTATGTCTGTTTTTGTACCAGTATCATGCTGTTTTGGTGCTGGGATAACTGGCTAGCCAAATGCAGAAGATTGAAACTGGACCCCTTCCTTATATCATACACAAAAATCAACTCAAGATGGATTAAAGACTTAAATGTAAAACCCAAAACTATAAAAAAAAATCCTGGAAGACAATCTAGGAAATATAATTCTGGACATAGGAACTGGAAGATTTCACAATGAAGATGCCAAAAGCAATTGCAACAAAAGCAGAAAATGACAAATGGAATCTAATTAAACTAAAGAGCTTCTGCACAGCAAAAAATCTATCAATAGAATAAACAGACAACCTACAGAATGGGAGAAAATATTTGCAAACTATGCATCTGACAAAAGTCCAGCATCTACAAGGAACTTAAATTTACAAGAAAAAAAAACATTAAAAAGTGGGCAAAAGACATGAACAGATACTTTTCAAAAGAAGATATATATGTGGCCAGCAAGCATATGAAAAACAGCTCAACATCATTGATCATTAGAGAAATGCAAATCAGAACCACTGTGAGATACCATCTCATGCCAGTCAGAATGATGATTATTAAAAAGTCAAAAAATAATAGATGCTGGTGAGGTTGAGGTGAAAATAGAATACCTATGCACGTTGGTATGAGTGTAAATTAGTTCAGCTGCTGTGGGAAGTAGTGTGGTGATTCCTCAAAGAGCTAGAAACAGAACTACCTTTTGAAACAGTAATCCAATTTGTGGGTATATACCCAAAGGAATATAAATCATTCTATCATAAAGACACATGCGCGTGAATGTTCATTGCAGCACTATTCACAATAGCAAAGATATGGAATCAACCTAAATGCCCATCAATGGGAGACTGGATAAAGAAAATATGGTACATATACACCATGGTACACCATGCAGCCATAAAAAAGAACAAGATCAGGTCCTTTGCAAGAACATGGATGGAGCTAGAGGTAATTCTTCTTAGCAAACTAATGCAACAACAGAAAAACAAATGCCACATGTTCTCACTTCTAAGTGGGAGCTAAATGACACAAAGAGGGGAACAACAAACACTGGGGCCTACCAGAGGGTGGAGAGTGGGAGGAAGGAGAGGAGCAGAAAATATAACTATAGGGTACTCGGCTTAGTATCTGAGTGACAAAATAATCTGTACATCAAACCCCCATGACATGAGTTTACCTATAAAACAACCCTGCACATGTACCCCTGAACCAAACATAAAAGTTTAAAAAAATAAAGGCACATTGAGACCAATTAAAAAAGAAATATACAATATGTTACTATTGACTATCATCACCCTGCCGTATCTCAAGATATTTCCCCAATTCACATCACAAACTTTCTCCTCCTTTATGTCTTTGTTCAAGCTGCCTTTCCACCTGAAATATTCATTCTAGTCCACTCTACATATTCCCTGCTTATGGCCCAGCTCAATATTTAGCTTCTGTGAAAGCTCATGACCCGGGCTGAATATTAGTATCACTTGAGGAACTTTCCAAAAATATTAAATACAAATGCATAGGCCCTACTTCCAGAAATCCTGGAGTAATTGGTCTGGAGCAATAGTCCTCTCATTCTGATTCTGATTGTAGCAGCTAGCATCAGAATCTTCTGGTGGGCTTGTTGGAACACCGATGCTGGGCTCCACCCTCAGAGTTTCTGATTCTGGAGGTCTGGGTGGGGCCCAAGAATTTTAAGAAATACATAGATGACATGATGATGATGGTCAAGATTCACACTTTGAGAATCATTAACCAGGAGTCAAGTCCAGGAATCAATAGCTTTTAGATGCTCTTGGGTGATAGGAATGTGAAGTCAGAGCTGAGAATCATTTATTAGAGCCCAAGATACAATCTCAGACTGTAACAGGTGCTCCTTTTCACAGATCACTAATGCAGCTCAGAGCATAAATTCCAGAGCCAGACCCTGGGTTAGAGTCTTGGCTCCATCACTCAGTCACTGGGGGATTCTAGGCAATTTGCTTAACTTTTCTATGCCTCAAATTTTTTCATCGGCACAATGGGGAGGTAATAATGGCACCCTTGTCATTGTTTTTATGAGAACTAATTGATTAAATGTATGTAAAACATTTGGAAGAAAGAGAGGCACATGTTAACACTTTGCAGTATGTAACACTTAGTATGATAGTGCTCAAAATATCGTAAGTGCAACTAATATTTATAGAACACCTTTAACGTACCAAGAATTTTACTATTAATTTAGATATATGACCTCAATCTTTAAACAAACTTTGAGATAGTAATATAATCTTTTTTTCTTTTTTTTCAGATGAGGAAATGGAGATTTTGAAATTTCCAGTTGTGTAACTATTGACACAGAGTGAGAAAGAGAGATGGAGCCTGGATTCAAGCATAGTCTATCTCACGCCACCTTTAGTTATTTGTACACCTGATTTTTGTCTCCTTCTTGATTTCATTCTTCTTAAAGACAGGCTCTAGATCTGACTAAATTGCATTTTCTTCTAGTGCCTAGCACCGTGCCTCCCTGTGCATTTCTTAAATATCTGTTAAGTAGCTGAATAAATACATGAATGGGAACAATAACCCCAGCAGTATGTTTAGGATAAATGTTGAAAAGAGTCCCATAATATGGTGAAACAGATTTCATTCATTTAATTAATCTCTAGGCAATTAACTGAATAAAGTCTTCATTTTATATTATTATGCTGCTATTTTCACCATTTATCCTCAAAGCAATATTGGAGCTGTCAAACACAGTCATCTGTGATTTGCTTGACAAATGTGATCGTCCTGTGAAAACGCTAGGGCAGCAAGAACTCAGGGATCTCATCCAGCTCAAATGAACACGGCTTCTCTCGTGGGCACTTTGGAAGATTTCCTCCCAAATTATAGATATTCCCCCTGCCTCTGTCAACTGCTCCCTAGCCCCAGATTCACAGATTTTTAGGTGCAGACACTGACACCCATGTCTGTACCATGAGGTCCTGCCTCTTGTCAACAGCTGAGTAGATCAGGCTACACCCACACACCAAGCTGCATCAAAGAATTCTTTTCCCAGACATTAGGATTGGTTTACGAGACCATAACATGAGACTTGAAGCAATTAGTCTTGGATATCTTAAGCTGGTCTTCCAGATAGAAGAGCGAAGCAGAGACAAGAGACAAAAAGAGATCACTCTGTGAGGTCCTAGGATAGGGTTCTGCCTAAAGTCTAACTATATGTATTTATTACTTGGATCCTAATACCATCCCTCTGTGTGTGTGTGTGTGTGTGTGTGTGTGTGTGTGTGTGTGTGTGTTTAATTTAGTCAGTTTCGTGCAACCAGAGAGTCATTACCGATACACCCCCTAGGAAGTTGCTCAGAATATGCACGATCTTAATGACACCTGGATAGTTATTGCCCCTTCATCCTTCTGGTTTCCCCAGCAAATTAAAAAGTTCACTGCCTAGATTAGTGTTCTTCAAACCATAGGGTTGGGACTTATTAGTGGGTCATGAAATACACTTAGTGAATCACAACACAAATAATGTTTCATAAAATAGAAGAGACTGGAATAGAAAATATTAGAGTGCATCTCATGTGGTAGACTAAGTACTTTTCATGTAACTTTTGCTTACATGATAAAAACACATAAGTTTATATTGGGTCACAAATATGACACAATTCCTACTAGGAAAGAAGGAAGGGTGGAAAACTATATGGTCTAATTTAATCTGATATCTTTATACATTCTATATGGCTGGAACCAAATGCAGCAGCCACATGAAATATTTTCAGGGCAAAGCATATGCATGTCAAGAGGCCAATCCCCACGGGTAGAGAAATTCAATTTGATTAAAGAATCTCAGTGAACTGTAGCCACCACCATGTCATATGCTGGCAGTAGCCATTTTAAATGGAGATTTGGTCCCTGGGATTTTATGATTGTGTTAAAGTAGTGAAAATCCACGAAAATTTACCTAAAGACAGCTGGACAACTGCTCTACTAGGAATAGGACAAACAGTCGCTTGGCA
Organism: Homo sapiens; assembly: GCF_000001405.40. Lineage (NCBI taxonomy): Eukaryota > Metazoa > Chordata > Mammalia > Primates > Hominidae > Homo > Homo sapiens. Next base: position 105,076,804 of record NC_000010.11, on the reverse strand, counting down.
AATACCTACTGAATACCTACTGTGTGTAAGCACTCTGGGAACTGTTACACAGCCTACCACATGGCCCATTTGTTTACAGCATATGTGTGAGTTACAGCCTAGCATAGCTCCAACGAACAGTTCCACAAAGGGTTGGGGCTTCAAAAGTGGGTATAAAAGAGAGGAACATCTACATGAGGCACAAATCGTCCTGCTGGCCCACCAGTTGGCCCTGTGTCTCCTAAAGCAAGTACTTCCCGAGGGCTGCCTGTGCACCCAGCATGGAGTCCAGTGATGATGTGAAGGTCAGGAGGCCAGGGTGGATGGTGGGGTTGGTAAAGTGGAGAGTATGCAAGTTGAGAGAGAAACAGGTTTATAAAGGCCATAGAGACGACTTAAAGGAAAACAATTAGGAATGAACAAAAATCTCACCGCCCTGCAATTCTCAGTCTCAAGCTCAGGATAACAGGGTACTTGTGGAGATTTCACTTACACACTGGGCATCATTTCTAACTCACGTGCATTTTTAGACAAAAGTTCGTCTCTTCTATAGTCCAGTGGTTCAGAGAGGAGCTTTGGTATCATAGGTCCTAGATTCTAATCTCAACTCTACATTTATTAATTGTGTTACCTTGGGCAAGTTATAGTTAACCTCTCTGAACCTTCAAATTGATATAACAATCAAAAATCTTCCTGATTTGGTCTTGGAAATGATGAAATGAAATGATGCAAGAACACATTAATGAACATGTACACCAGGTTCCAAGCACTTTATGGAACATACAGAGACACACAGGCACACATGTGCACACACACTCATTTCCACACTTCCTGATTATGTAGAAAGTGACTAATAAAAACTTGTGTTGGAACGTAATGGAAAGAGCACTGGACTGGTATAAAGACCTTGATTCTGACCACGTTCATACTGACCAGCTGTGTAGTTTTGACTAAGTTACTGATCTCTTTGGGTACAGTCTCTTCCTCTGCAAATTGAAGAGGTTGCTGGGGCTGGGAGCTTTAAGGAGACTAGGGATCCCTTCCCTCTGTGGTCTCTGGTGTTCAGTGACTCCACAGCTCAGGAGGAAGGGGGCATTATGATTTTCCCCTCTGCACTGACAGCTGTTACACTGTTGATTGTTAGAAAGCCTCCTGTTCTGCTCCACCCCTTCTCGCCCCCCTTCTTTATAGGGAAACTAATGAAGCAAGTATATTAAAAGGAAAAGGAATTTCCTGCTGGTGAGGTCCCCAAGGTGTCACTCCCCATCAGCAAGGACCACACCCATTAGGAGAGGGCTTCTGTGAACATCCCTGTGCTGCCAGAACCCACCTGCACCTACCCCTAAGCAGGGACCAGAGGATGGAACAGGGAGGGCATGGGCAGATGAAGGAGCTGCTGGGATCAATGCATAGGAGCTCCCAGCACTTGGTATTTCACAGAGCATGTTCACATTATCTAATGTTAATAGCCTTCATCTTAGGAGGTAGACATCATTGCTCCCATTCCACAGATGAGCAAACTCAGAAAGCTGAGTCACTTAAGATCCTAAGCCAGGTGAAGGCAGAGCTGAGACTCACCCTGGGCTCTGCTGACTGAGTCAGTGCTCTCCTTTCAGTAATGTGGGCTTTCCATGCTACCTCTCAGATGAGCCACCATGCCACATGTAATTAGATGCAAGATTATGTGGTACTGACTGGAAGTGCTGGAGGAATTCGGGGAGTTAATTATAAAAAGGCAAAGGGCATTAAGGAGACAGCTTGGGAGGATGGGAGGATGTTTTGTGGAAGTTCTGGAGAAGAAAGAAAAAGGAACCAGGTGTATTTATAGGCTAATAATGTGCAGAAGGGGGAAAAATGTGCTGCCTTGGGCAATTTTCATCAAGTTAATGGATGTTGCCAATTACTGTGGTAACATTTTTAATTGTATCTCAGCTCTGAAGAGAATAAAATCAGAATTTCCTAGTCTTTGCCTCGGGACTGCTAGGGGCATGCATTTTGGTACATGATATTGGTGTAGACAGACCTGACCAGAGTCTACACTGACAGCCCACTTCCTGGGAAAGCCTTACTTACAGCTATCCCAGACCCAGACTGAGGTTGGAATCAATGGTAGAAAATGGGCATCTGCTTTACGGGTTCATAGTATAAGTGGGAAGACAACAGGGAAGAGGTTGTAACCATATGGGGACCCCCAGGAAGAAGACAATAACCATAGTAGCCCCAAGGGTAATGTAACGATAGCTAGAGATTTGTGCACTATCTTATGAGAGACATGTTCCTGCGACAACATAATGCTCTGTGTGTGTTATCTCACTGAATTCATGATTTGAATACTGCCTGCCTCCCCTCTAGACTACACGTTTCTTGAAGGGAGGAATCTTGGCTGCTGTGCCCACCATGATAACTTCACCTCCTAGCACGAAACTGGCACTCAATTATATTGTTGAACAAATGATCAAAATTCCGACAAGGAATGTACTATGTTTGTCTGCATTTTATCAATGAGAGACTAGAGACTCAGATGAGCTAGGGACTTGTCTAAGTCACCGCAGCTGATAAATGACAGCTCCCAATTCAAACACAGCTCACACGGACTTGGCTCCACAGCACATCTGGTGATGCACCGTGCAGGCTTGTCTGGACAAGACAAAAAGAGAGCAAAGAAAATGCCTGGCATGTATGAATGACCTACTCTGTGGCAGGCACCTTATTTCTTTATATCATTTAATGTGAAGAAGTAACCTATAAAGTATGTATTTCCCACAAGTTGAAAATGTGGAAAATGAGGTCTTTACTGAAGGACAGTTTAAGTGATTTTCCCAAGATTCCTCAGGCAGCAGAGGAAAAGTGGGAGGATTGAAATGATTCCACAACCTAACCTCAGGAGACTTCCCTTTACTTCATGGCTTCTCGGACAGTTACACACACACAGATCAAACTGCATCCTGAAATCACAAAACACTGAGGGAAAGAAAATAAACGTCTGTGGTTCCCTGTTCCTTCAAACAAATCCTTTAGCGACCACCTGGGAACAAACTGTGACACGAGTAATTCTTTTCTGATGCCACACCCCCACCCAGTCCGAGGTACCAGCTCCCCTGGCAGAACTCTTCCCTCTGACCTCTACATCCAGTGGCTCCATGCTTCTCACCCCCATGCCTCCCACGCTCATGCCTCCACTCCCTGCCCCAGAACTGAAGATAGTTCCCCACTTAGGACTGCCCTTGCTGCCTAACATTCTGTGCTCTAAAATCAACTACCAGTAGCCTCATGGAAAGGCCCAAGCCCACAGCCAAAAACAGCCCAAGGAAAGAAGTGGAATAAATAAAAAGATCTTCAGCAACAAGCAAGGGCATCTTGGGTGGGGCTGCAGAGCACACCAGCATTAATCAGTTAGATCCTCTACGTGTGTACCAGACTGAACACCCTGTGTCCAGCGTCATTCTCTAAGCAGGAGAAACAAGGGTGAAATATCCCCTTCGCCTAGGCCTGGAAGGGGTCACAATCTAAGTGAACATAGGTATCCAAATCCCCCTGCAAGATCTCCGCACCTGGAACCTGCACATAGAGCTCATGTCACAAGCCCAGTCTTCCTGGTGTAGAAAGCTAAACCTGGCTGATCTGAACAACAGCCAGCTCCAATTAATCATCACTGGTCCTTTCCTGTCTCTTCCTCAGTGTGACCTTGTTCAGTACATTTTATTATGAGGTAGTAACACCGTATAGTAGGGTAAAGTATGTAGTTCACACAGAGAGAACTGGGTTTAAATCCTGGCCCCACTACCCAATAGCTATATGACCTTGACATGCTTCCAACCTCTCTGGGCCTCAGAATCCTTGTCTCTGAAGAGGGAATAACAGCAATATTTACCTCGCAGGGTTATGGTGAAAGTTAAACCAGATAATACTGTGACACCCTTAGCATAGGCTTAGGAGTACTCACTACGTGCCTGCCATCAGTGTTTGTGGTCTTCCCAAGGGATCATCAGTCCTTGATCCCAATTATTGTCATGTATCCTCAACCCCATTTTGCCTGCATAAATCCTGCTGTAGACACATCATCTGGCTACGGGGGGAAACAGGCAAAATTGCCAGATCCTATTTACACACAAGGCTATTTAATCTACCTCCTCACCACCAAAAAAAAAAAAAAAAAAAAAAAAAAAGAGAGAGAGAGAAAGAAAGAAAAGGTTTCCTCCTAAGCCCCAGCACATTCCAGTGGCAATATGTGAAAAAATCTAGGCCCTGGAAAACAGGGCAAAATGAGCATGCATAGCACACGCATAGCCCTGGCACAGAGCGGTTAGCCTCCTGTGAGATACTGCTCATGCTTGTATCCATCAGCCTGGGAAGGGCTGCTCAGGGGAAGATCAAGAAGTCACACCCTCTGGGACAATTAAAATTAAAATGAACTAGACACTCAGGAATCCTCTCTTTGGAGTCATTCTGCCTAGTCTGGGGCTGGGGCAAGATCACTTAATAGGCGCTTTTTCATCTTTAATTTCTCTGATTCAGAAAGTTTACAAGATCAATTGCTAAAAGGGCTAACGTGAGAAGATGAGGCAGCAAGTTGCTCAGAGCCCAGAGTCAGCTAACTCCTTAGCTTCTAATTAGAGCCCACAGGGACCCGCTTATATAAAGTCCGAGAGCTCACCACCTCCCATGCCAAACTCTCTCTAAATAAAGAATTTGAATTGCAACCCAGCAAGAATAGCATATCAACCTCCAGCCAGCCAGCACTTCCCAGGAATCTCAGTAATATCCTGCTTAAAATGCTGATACTTCTGCCCAAAGTAGCGCTCATGAATTCAGAGGCTGCTCTTCTCAGTCTTTACACCAAGAGACCCAGGAACCTTGCATCTTCAAGGGCTATCTGAAGTGATGCAACATGAAAATAAAACCAATGAGCTTTCAAGCTGCATTAGTTTAAATCTCATTTCTATGTCTTTCTACCTGTGTGACTTTGGAAAAATTACACAAACTTAAGCCTTCGTTTCCTCATCTATAGATGGGGATAAAAGAGAGCTTTGTGGGTACAAAAAAATAGTTAGAAAGAATAAATAAGACCTACTATTTGATAGCACAACAGGGTGACTATGGTCAATAATAACTAATTGTAAAGTTTAAAATAACTTAAGGAGTATAACTGGATTGTACATAACTCAAAGGATAAATGCTTGACGGGATCGATACCCTTTTCTCTATAATGTGCTTATTTCACATCGCATGCCTGTATCAAAACATCTCACGTGCCCCATAAATATATACACTTACTATAAGCCCACAAAAAATAAAAATAAAAAAATTTAACAAACGAGAGCTTTGTGAGCATTTAATTGATGTCAGCAATGTGCTTAGCACGGTATCTGGACTTACTAAATGCTAGATTCACTGCCCAATATGCTTAGTCCACCTGGTGCCAGCACACTGTACTCCTCCAAGGAGCAGGTCAAGATGGACCAATACCAGGAAGCTCGTGTGCTTCATGAGGAAAACAGAACTATACACAGACTTCATTTTAGCCAGGATTCTAATAGCTGTTCCATCACATGAGAGTAGTGACAGCCTTTCATTCATTTTATGCTTTTCTTTGTTGCCTTTACTCTTGGAGTAAATTAACCCTCCATTTGATTCCCTCCCCATGGGGAGGCACAGAGAGGAATGATGCTGACTGATGACAGTTTTATTATACCACATGATTCCTGGAAACAGGATGAAAGAAGAAAAAGCTGATCCCTTCCAGGAGTCCTACACTCTCCAAATGGAAACACAGCCCAGAAGGGGAATAGCTCATCCCAACTGGACTGGACAATACCTCTCCCAGGACTCTTCAATTTCCCTAGCAGGATACTTGCTTCTCTTCTCCCATCACTGTCTGCATATTTTCCTTAATGATGGCAAATTAAACTAAACTTTTTCTGTACAACTGGCTCTGGGGGATTCTAGAAAGCCTGGGAAGGAAGTTTCAATTTGTTCACTTGCTGAGAATGAATTCTGCTTCATATAACTCCTGACAAATTGCCATTTTTAAAGGGTTTGTTAATTTTCAATGAGCAAATGGCACATCAGATATCTTGTTTATTCAACAGATGCTCCTGAGCTAAACAAATGGTTCTTGTTTAACAAACATGGAAACATCTTGTCAGCTTTGCTGAGATCATCCTATTTAACTATCAAGGGAGGGTCCTGTGATTTGTAGAGAAAATATGAACTCCCTCTCTTCCATGTAGAGTTCTTAAAAGGGCTGGGACATTGGTTCCATTGAAAGAGATGATGTGAGGTTCCTTGATCACAGGCTGGGAAGCTGTTCTCAAAGAAAGAACCTAGGATTTCTCCCTTTCTCTGAAGTTGTCACATATATCTGATTCAGATCTACTTGATCCAGAAACCTCCCTGGTGGTGAATCTGAAAATAGCCTTGAAGGAGACACTCACTGGAGACACCGAGGTGGTATAAAATCAGAATTAAAATCTCAGCTTTAGAGTAAGCCTGCATTGGATCCTGGCTGTACCACCTACTAATTAACTTGGACTGATAACCACTCTCAACCTTAGTTTCCTCAACTATGATATAGGTCTAGTAAGACATGAAAGGTAAAGATGCTGATGATATTGATAAATGTCCATACCTTTTTTCCTAATTACATTTGAGGGAATTTAAATGGAGCAGAACTCGGGAATCAATCTCAGGAGCGGAGAGAAGAGACATTGGGAGAAGCCCAGTTCCTATGTCCTCCATTATTTAGAAGGAGTATATGTACATGTTTGATAATGTGGTAGCTCACTGACTCCAGTCAGAAGTGAAATCTGAACACAGTAGAGCCCTTCCAAGCCTCAAAACTTCAGCCTGATATCATAATTACTTTCAGCCAGAAAGCTATGGATCTGGCTAGACTGGGGGATAGGTTGGGATCGGGGCGGGGGAGACTTGGAAAGAAAAAAGGGAAAGAGACCAACTTGCCAGGAGTATGCAAGGACACATGGAGAGAGATGATGGCTGACCTCTGTCAAGTCTGAATGTGTAATGATAAATCCATCTGTTGATAGGTGCAGCACAGTACAATGTATTAATTATAAGAGGGACGACATTTCAAAGGCTCCCTGCTGGAAAGTATCACAGAGAATTACCTTGGGACAACATCAAAGTCACTGAAAATTAATTTACTCCACAGTATTAGATGCTTCAGAAAGATGCAAAGTGAAGTTGACTCCAGCTGAGCGTGGCAGAGCCAAGCACTGTCTGAAGGAGTTGCGGATATTAACAGATCTAAACTCAGGAAGAGCTGCAGAAGAACTCCCTAGGCATGGTTAATAATCTTATGAAATCTTTACAGCAACTCTATGAGGTAGATGGCATTATTATCGACATTAGGCTGATGAGGAAACTGAAGCTTAGAAAATCTGACCCAAATATTAGAGCTTTCAATAGAGAAGCCAAGAGGTTTGTCCCAGAAACATGCTCTTGGCCACAGTGAAAAGGTGTTAGAGAGGGTTCAGGGAGTTTCAAAAGTTTTGAGCAGAACTTTACAAGATAAGTGGATTTCCTGGATTTGCCTAGAATTGCATTCCCTGCCTTCATTGGCCTGGCAAAAGGAAGGCTTGCCAAAAGACTTGAAGGCATACAATCTTATGGCATGTAAGCATAACAGTGATTGGTGTGGGGTATGGGTGGAGAGATTAGGATAGTACATGACTATGAGTTTGGAAAGATGTTCCAGAAATTTGTTATGAGAAGGCATTCTGTGTCATGCTAAAGGATTTGTATAATATTGAGACTAGTTTTTGTCTATCTTGATTTCCAAAACGATCTATGGTAGATGCTGTTCACATGTAAGAAAATCAGGTGAGCATATTCTGATTTTGAGCAAATCTCAAATAATCTTTAATGAAATCCTGCATAGCAAAAACAATGATTTACATTCAATATATCTCTTTATGATCTATAAAGGCATCTTACTATGGTCAGTAAGAAATATTAAAGAAGCTGACACATTAGTTGTCATTCCATTGATTTCTATTCATTTAGGAATGCAAGTATGTAAGAATGACATCATTTTACTGATAACCTTGAATTGCCTCAAATTTTCAAAAAGAAAATGAGGGTGATAACTCATCAACATCAGTTCTTTATTACTGGCCACAAAATTTTTGTGACACACTTCACAAGGAATCATGACTCACTAATGTGTCATTACGCTTTAATTTTTTTTAAATAATTCTCTCGACTTCAGCAGCAGAAGTTTTTAACCAAATGATAACCTCATTTAGCCGGTGTTTTAGGAAACAAGAAGAAGCCATAAAGGACTGACTCAAGTTTTGGCAGTAAAACTGAAGGCAGAGAAACAGAGAGGAAGCTGGTCCAGGCAAAAGAAGAGGAGGACCTGGCTGAAGGAAGTGCCAACAGGGAAAAAGCAGATGCATCTAGGGAAGGGGTTTGAAGGTGTAATAAATTCAACAAGGGGGCCAAGAGGGTGTGAGCGGCTGGACCCTGCTGTTCAGAGGGACTGATGCAGTGAATAAAGGCAGTCTGGAGTTATTTGAGATTTCTAGGTCAGACAATTTGATGGATAGCGATATTGTTAACTAAAATAATCTGAGAAATCAGGAGAACTCATTTAACCAAGTTGGGGAAAGGAGGAGATGCAGTTCTTCTACATTTGGGGAATGGCAATATGTTCTGTTATGGACAGTTGGGTTTTGAGGTATATAGTAGAGCTATCTGGCAGTATTAGAGCCATATCAGGGTAGAGATGTTGCGAGGGGCATGAGAAGTATGTGTCTGAAATTCTGGAGAGAGTAGGGTGTGAGATAGGGTTTGGTAATCTTTAGAGGGACTGGAAGCATTGATGAGAGTGGGGAAATGTGTCTCTTTGCAAGCAAATGAAACAATGAAGAGAGCATCCTGGAAACACTGACATGTATAAGATCTCCAACCCAAGAGAAGCAAGCAAAGATGCAGCAGAGGATGGTCAGGAAGGTAAAAAGAAAAACAAGAAAATCATGATCAAGGAAGGACAAAGACTCCTGAAGGAAGTAGACAACCGTGTTAACATCTGCTGAAGTCAAGTAGGATGAGAAATTAAAGGAAAGCATGGGATTTGGCCATTAGGAGGTGCCTGATGGTTGCAGTAAAGGAAGTAGTGGTGGAGGAACCAGATGGGAGTGGGTTTAAAGGTGATTTGAAGGTAAGGAAGCACATTCATTACAACTAATTTCATACAATTTAGCAATGAAGAAAAGGAGGCAAACAGGAAAGTCACCTGAGTGGAAAAGGAAAAAATTGAGGTTTATTATTTATTTGAGACGGAGTCTCAGTCTGTCGCCCAGGCAGGAGTGCAGTGGCACACTCTCAACTCACTGCAACCTCCGCCTCCCGAGTTCAAGCAATTCTCCTGTCTCAACCTCCTGAGTACCTGGGAATACCGGCGCCTGCCACCACATCTGGCTAATTTTTGTATTTTTAGTAGACATGGGGTTTCACCATATTGGTTAGGCTGGTCCTGAACTCCTGACCTCAGGTGATCTGCCTGCCTTGGCCTCCCAAAGTGTTGGGATTACAGGCTTGAGCCACCATGCCTGGCCTTGTTTATTCTTTTAAATTGACAGATAGAGTTGAACATATTTATCATATATAATATGATGTTTTGAAATATAGATGCACAGTGGAATGGTTTCTTTTTGTCTCTTTTTCAAGATGGAAGAGAAATAATGAGGTTTTCAGTGGCAGAGAATAAGAAATTTGAAGATAGTGAACCAAGAGAGAGTTAACGGATGAAGCAAAACCCCTAACAGCTGGGAAGAGACAAGATTAAAAGTGTACCTGGAAATTTAAGTTCATAAAGAAGGTACAGCTATTCTTCCAACACCTCAGAGAAATAGGGGGAAAGAGCAAGAACTCTGGAGGGCAGTTCAGGGGCAAAGGAAAGCTGGTACATTTACGTCTTTTAGGCTCTACTTTTTTGGTGAGAGAGAAGGCTCAATGATTCCTGGAAGGAAGATGAAGGGAAGGACTGGGGGCTAAGGTGAGTAGTAAAGAAATGGTCATGATTTGGAGGAGCCTGACTCCTCCAAATAGGAGGAATAGGAGGGGAAGCCAATTAGAAAACAACACCAGGTAGCTAGAGCAAAGGCTTCTTGGCTAATCAAATAAGAAGAGTGGAAGGGAGCAGTCTTGACTGGTGCTGGGCTATTATGATTCTCTTTCTTCCAGAATGACATGACATGCTGAGGGTGCCTAACACACACATGGCAGGCAATAGTGTCAAATACAGTAAGGTCTCTAGATGTAACAATCCAAATGTGAGGCAGCAAATCCAAGACCCCACACCAGCTCTGCTCCTGGCAAGGAAAAAGCAGCCTTTTGTGGCCAGTGAAGGGGGTGCCCCAGCCTGTTCCTGATTCATGTTCAGCTTTTCCAAAACCAACTCTCAACCTCTAAACCCAGATCTTTCTCACCCCGTTCATCTCTGCCTCCTCAAGTCTACTGTTTCCCAGTAAGATCACAGGTCTAGAATAGATGCTCCTGCCCTGAATGTTGAAGAAGAGAGAGCTAAGAAATCAAGGTTCACAGGGAAATATTTCAGGAGGGATGGGACAGGGGAAGGCGTGCTTCTTACTGTTAATGCAGGCCTTTTGTGCAACGTGGTCACAAAATGTCAACCATGCATTTTTCCACCAGATGAGCCCATGCATGAATATTAATTTTTAAAAACTCTTTCTGAGTATTAGCTTTTTATAAAGCACAGTGTTTACCCAAGGGACCATCCATAACAGCAGTTAAACAGAGATACTCCAATTCATGGTATTTCTAGGGTCTTGGGAAATAGAAATCCTTTAAGTACCTTTATTCTGCTTCATGGGAGCTACTTTTCAAAGTTTAAATCGTTTTTATTTTAGATGACTCACTACCTAAATTCCATTTATAAATCAAAGGAGCTTTTGAGCAATTTGATGGGACTTAAATGGATTAGGAAAGAACAAACATCAAATATATGTATTTGGTTATTTGAGTTTATTGGATTTTTCTTTCTTTTTTCTTCTTCCTCTTTTACAAATGCTCCAAGTTAGGTCTGGTCTTTTAAGCTTTAGCCTGGAGATTAGGTGTATTGCCAGTAAATGACATGGTGTGGCTGTCTTCTTAGAATGACCAACTTCTGACTCTGCTGGTATTATGACTTCTGTGTTCTAGACCCAGGCTAAGAACATGTTCTTTCTAAAATCACATCGTCTCACTCATAACCACTCAACTCCAGCCTCTAGAACTTACACTGAGTATTTTACAATGCTGATCTAGAAGTTTCTACCCCCATCCAATTAGAGTATAAGGCTTTTAGCACTGGAAGGGTTCTCAGAGGTCGTCGTGTGCAGTTGGTTCTCAAGTTACCTGGGATGAATTCATTTTCCCAGACTGATTTTTTTTTTGTAAATGCAATAAAATATTAAAGAATGTCAAATTGCTACACGAGTTTCCACACTCTCAATAGATATACTTATCTGTGCACTTATCTCATCATAGACTAGTAGCAGTTTGTGAACCAGCACCCAGTTTCCTGACCACACACTGAGTAGGTATGATTCTGGTGCAAACTTCTCACCCTTTAGGTAAGGAAGCTGAAGTGCACAAGGAGGAGGCAATTAACCACAAGCACATCATTTCCTAGTAGGTCAGTTAGGCTACTAACCAGGGCTACTGATGTCAGCCACAATGACTGAATCTCCCCATATTCACTCACACAGATCAAGAGAGATGGATGCCCACCCCCAACAAAGACTCATTACCTGCACCCTACGTGATTTAGTTTTGTTAAGTATGTTTATATATCTGACTAGGTTAGGTTCCGGTTCCCTGTCATATATACACTATGATGTTTAATTTTACATGTCAACTTGATTGGACTAAGGAATACCTAGAGAATTGGTAAACTATTATTTCTGGGTATATCTGTGAGGGTGTTTCCAAAGGAGATTGGCGTGTGAGCCAGTGGACTGGGTGGGGAAGATCTGCCCTCACTATGGGCAGGCATCACTCAGTGGGCTGGGGGCCTGGAGAGAACAAAAAGAGGAAAGGTGAATTCTTTCTCTCTCCCTTTTTATCTCCTTCCCTACCTCCTTCTCTGCAGCTATCTCCCTCCCTTCCCCAAAGCTGAGATACCCTTCTTCTCCCACCCTTGAACATCAGAACTCCAGAATCTCTGAACTTTGGACTCCTGGACTTCAACCAGCAACCCCCCGCCCAGGTTCTCAAGCCTTCGGCCTCAGACTGAGATTCATACCCTCAGCTTCACTGATTCTGAGACTGTTGGACTTGGACTGAGCCATGCCAGCAGCTTCCCTGGGTCTCCAGCTTACAGAAGACCTATTGGGGTACCTTTCAACCTCTATAATTGCACGAGCCAATTCCCCTAATAAATTCCCTCTCATCCATCTATATCTATCTATCAATCATCCATCCAGCTTTGTATCTATCTATCTCCTATTGGTTCTCTCTCTGGAGAGCCCTGACTAATTCACAGACGATTAAGGAAGGCCTTTCGGAGTTCCAGTCTACACTAGATCCCTTGGTTTTACACTCACCATGGCAACCTTTAATCATCTTAAATTGCTCTTACCACAGTTAGTAATCACAACTTTAATTGTCTGATTATTTGATTTCTTCCTGTTTCCTTGCTACACCATAAGTGCTAAGAGGGCAGAGACGGTGTCTGTTTCACCCACCATTGTTTCCTAATGCCTAGTTCAGTGCCTGACTCCTAGCAGATGTTCAACAAATGTTGCTTGAAGTAATCAATTAATGAGTGGTGAAGTCATGCTCCGGCAGCACTCTGGGGCCATCTGCAGGCACTATGGGGAACTAGCAGCATGCTCAGAGCTGCTACCATAGAGAGGACTACAGGAACACCGCAGAGCTGCGACTGGCTGCATAGGCTACTGGCTGACTTGTTCAGCTTTCTCTAGCTCAGTAACTTTAGGCTAACTACTTCTCCAGGCTTCTTTCAATAGTCTTTTATCAATACAGCATGTGACACCCGAGGATCAGGTCTCCTGGCTGGATTCTGAGCTCTTTGAAGGAGGGGACATGGCTGGTGTCTATTCAGCATCCCCACAGTGCTCCAAGTGTGAAGGTGCAAATGCTCTGGTGGAAATACCTTGCAAGGCCCAAACAATTATTGTCAGTCAATTTACTGGGTCTACCTCCACCAAAAACATGTAAAAGCAAATTCAGGGCAACAAATGTAAATAGGTGTGACCGAAAGGCATCACACCTTATCTCACAAGTGATTATATTTGAAGTTATATACAAAAGAGTTTTCCAAGATTCAATTTGCCTTTTATTAAAGAGAGACAGTAGGGATGGCTGGGAATAACAGGACAAATAAATAATTATTAGTAACATCAGCACAACAGATACAGTGTGGCCACTTTGTCTACACAGTGATTCTGGTTAAGTCACTTTATCTCCCTGGGGCTCAGTTTCCTTATCTGTAAAATGAGAGTGTTTTAACTCCAATTGTCCAGATGTCTTAGAAACCAGCACATCTCTCAGGTTGCCAAGGTCGGTAGCTGTTCCAAAAATGGCTGCTGGTTTCCTGAGAGCAGCAGAAAGGAAGGATTCTTAGTCATTATACAGCCTCATAAATCATCGGGAGTCCATAGGATGTTTAATATGGAATCAGTTAATTTAATAGTCATTTTGACATAAGGAATTGTTTTCTTAAAGCTAGCACAGGCTGTAAAACCTCAAGTGATATTTTATGGCTGCCATATAATAAAATCATTCAGCAATTAGCGATTAATGACATACAACAGTAAGTTTCTTCATGGTCACTTCCCCCGGCTGCTGTTTCTTTCGTTCCACCCACTTCCTAGTTCAGCAACCATACGTGAGGTGACAAGCCTCCTTATATAACCAGAGTAGATTTCTGAGCCTAAAAGACCATCATCTCCACCAAAAGGTGTCTGATGGAGCCTGGCACTGTGGTGGGGCTAGATGAAAGTGCCTCACAAGCATGATCCAGGCCATGGAGGACAGTCAAGAAACTGGGCACTTCCTTGGACAAACAATCAAGGGTGGGGTTCAGTACAGAAAGGAATGAAGTTTTGAGTCTTTAGGTTTTGTTCTTTTTATAATGGGGCTAGCCCTTGCTGGGAAAGACAGGTAAACACTGTGAGCTTGACGGTCTTCCACACCCTTCTGCCTCTTACCCTTCTGTCCTTCACTGCACTTTTAACCTTGACCTCTCCAACCGCTGAAATACTCAACACCCTCCCACTACACCGGGTCCCTATCGTGGCACCTGCTCTGGTCTACCCTCCCACAAACACCAAAAGTTAAATTTGACAACATGGGCTTTGAACCCAGAAAGAACAGTTCTCCCACTTTCTAGCTCACAAACCAGCTCCACTATTTTCTGATTCGTATAACACCACAACCCTAGGAGACAGATTGCTGTTGTTATTAGAATACCGTTTTTTCAATGAAGAAACTGAGGCCCTGGGTGCCCAAGACACACAGCTAATTAGCAGTTTAAACCTACACAGTCTGCGGCCAACCCCATACACTGGGCCACTACATTATTCCACCTGCATGCTTCTTAAAAACATAAGTGCAGTAATGCATGCTGTGGACTTAGCACATTGCTTGACATCACATAAGCCCTCAGTAAACAATAATGTCTTATTGTTATTGCTATTCATGTATTATTTCATTGTTATTTACCACCATTATTATCAAAATTAATCTTGCCTCTTAGGAAAATAACAAGAATTTGAAATAAATAACTCTCTCCAAAGGTGGATGCCACCTGAATCCCCCTCTGTCCCAGGAATTTATCCTAAGTGTTGAGGTGTGGGTGGCTCATGGCTCTCAGCTGGGTCACTCTCTGGGAATTTTCCGCAGCTGATGACAGCCACCTCATTAGGGTCACACCCCTCCCCTGGTGGCAGCCCACATCTCATGGCCAGTCACTGTGGAGATATAAAGACCCAATCCTTTGGTTCAAGGCTGGACATTTCTGAAGGGCCATCCCAGCTACACAAGTGCTATAGGATCAGCTGCTGCACCTGTATCACAGGCAGCCTCTTTCTCCACCCATGCCATATCCCTCATTCCTCAAAGGTGGTGGTGTTCCTGAGAGCTCCTAAACCTCCTGAACACAACTTTTTTTTTTTTTTTTTGAGATAGGGTCTCGCTCTGTCACCCACTCTCTATTTGGAGGTCTATTTAAAAAAAGGGGGCCAGGCGCAGTGACTCATGCCTTTAATCCAAGCACTTTGGGGGGCCGAGGCAGGTGGATCACGAGGTCAGGAGATCGAGAGCATCCTGGCTAACACGGTGAAACCCTGTCTCTACTAAGAAATACAAAAAATTAGCCAGGTGTGGTGGCAGGCGCCTGTAGTCTCAGCTACTTGGGAGGCTGAGGCAGAAGAATGGCATGAACCTGGGAGGCGGAGCTTGTAGTGAGCCAAGATTGCACCACTGCACTCCAGCCTGGGTGACAGAGCGAGACTCCACCTCAAAAAAAAAAAAAAAAAGGAACACCACTTAAAACATCTCTCCCACCCTACCTCACCCCCACAAAACAAACACAAAACTACTCAGAGAACTTTCTTCAGTGCTTTCTTACCCTGGGAGAAATGATACCTAAGTCCAGAGCACAGCTTTCCAACAAATGTGTAAATATTATGCTGAATTTGAGCCCTTGTTTAAAAAATTATTTGTAAAGTCTATAAATTGGTGGCCACCATAACTTGTGAATTTGTTTCCAAGTAGAACTCTAGTTTCTAGATGTTACACATTACAGGAAACATTTTAAGACTGCAAACGAATTTGAATTTATTTTCTATACTTAAATTGTTTTTAACTTTTTTGTTTGTTTTTTTTTTTTGTTTTAAGACGGAGTTTCACTCTTGTTGGCCAGGCTGGAGTGCAATGGCGTGATCTCAGCTCACCACAACCTCCGCCTCCCGGGTTGAAGGGATTCTCCTGTCTCAGGCTCCCGAGTAGCTGGGATTATAGGCATGTGCCACCATGCCCAGCTAATTTTATATTTTTAATAGAGACGGGGTTTCTCCATGTTGGTCAGGCTGGTCTTGAACTCCTGACCTAGGTGATCCGCCTGCCTCAGCATCCCAAAGTGCTAGGATTACAGGTTTGAGCCACCGCGCCCAGACTTTTTAACTTTTTTAAATTGCAAACCACATCTTCTAGAATTCCCTGGATTTCCATCTTCTCTTTCCAGGACTCACTGCCCCCAGTAATGAATAGCCTTTTAATTGGCCACCTCGTCCCCAGCTCTTCCTTGTGTAATTTGCCCTTCACCCTGCTGTAAAAATGAGCTTCCTAAAGACCAGTCCTGAGCATGCTCTGCCCCTGAGTGGAACCCTTTAAAGGTGCACTGTATTAACTGCAAAATCTTTAGCCTGGCATTTAAAGCCTCTAAGTTATCACTTTAATCTTCTTTTCTAGGCTTATCGGCCAATCTCTCTCTCTCCAAGCATAGAATCCGAACTTCTTGACAGACTGACCTACTAACAATTTCCTAAACACACCTCATGCTTTTCTGTTTCTCTTCTTTCTCCTTCCTGTGACTGAAATGTCCGCCATTACCCACCATGCCAGAGGATCCACAAGCACGCACACAAGCTTGCCTGTTGAAATTGAAACCATCTTTCAAACCCCCCTCAAATTCCAACTCCTCCATGAACACATTACTGATGCCACTCCTCTGACACCTCTATCACAGGCTGTATCTGTCTCCTGGTACCTAACAATCCTTTGTATCAGCCATTTGTCCAGTTGTCTCAACTTGTCTTTGTCCTACTGTATCAGCTTAGCTTTTGCTGCATAATAAACTACCTCAACATTCAGCAGCTTAAACCAACAGTTATGTATTTTGCTGGTACATCTAAGGCCAGCTGGGATCAGCTTTTCTAGGCTGGGCTCAATGCGAGGCTCTGCTTCATGCTATGAATCCAGCAGAGCTTGGCATCCCATAGAGGGGAAGGCTCAGGTTGCTCTGTGGGTTCGTGATGGGGCCTGGGGTGAGGGGCCACAGCTACAGTGCAATGACAGAGCTTCCGCTTGTGTCACATTTGCTAAACTCAGCCAAAGCAAGTCACATGGATGATCCCAAGCCAAGGGATTGGGGAAATTCTCACTGCATACAGTGGAAAAACACTGAGAGTCCCATGGCAATGGGCTTGAATGCATAATTTATTACCTTAGAGAGAGTCAGAAATTGGAACAACCCCTACCTACCGTCCTTCATATCCCTTTCTATGTATACACTGTTCAAAGAGTAGGGACTCAAAAGTGTCTTTTCAATGGAATTCCTAAGTACATCTAAACAGGCATAGATAAAATCAGTAACCTCATTCATGTCATAATGTTAATAAAAACTACAGGCATTATTTTAATAAAGTCTAAAACAATATAGCATTTTACAGTTATGAAGCATTTTAAAGATTCTTTGCAGCCTGCAAAGCACACGGAAGTATATTATCTCATCTAGCAGGGAGTGTATGTATTTTGAAAAGATGCCTGGAGGTGCCAATGTCTTCATTGGTTGGAACAACCCTTTCCACTGTGTATTTCAAGCACGGTGGAGAAAAGAGGGGGTTTTTGATAAGGGGGAACCAGTTTGTACTACTCAAAGGGGAACACCTGGGACTCCACTAATTTGTCTCCCTGGTTTTCAAAATGACCTCTTAACTACCTCCTCTGGTTCTCAAAATCTAGTGTACAAAGGCATTGCCAGGAGAGCTTGTTCAGATGGAGATTCCTGAGGCCCAGGTCCAGAGATCCAGAGCAGGGATTTCCAGGTGGGGCCGAAGAAACTATCGGCATTTTTAAAATTTCTTTTTATTTGTGCAAAGTTGTGGGGTACATAATTTTTACATGTATATGATGCATAGTGACTGAGGATATTTAGGGCATCCCTCACCCAAGTACAATATATTTTTTAAGTATAGTTATTCTACTCTATTCTATTGAACATTGCATTTATTCCTTCTATCTAGAGTCTGCATTTTTAGCAAGCACCTCAGGTATTCACTGCCGGTTCTCCCTTGGTCATCACCCCTTTGAATTTTACAGATGAGGATGCAGAAAGCCAGAGAAATCCTACTAGTGCCCCAAGGCCTGGCTGCCCAGTGGCAGGAGTAGAATTAGCAACCAGAAGTCCTGTCTCCTACTCCAATGCTCTTTCCATTACACTGCAGAGTCCATGAAGTGTTTTCTTCTCCCTAACCTGTTGAGTTTCTTTCAGCTCTGGAAAAATCCTAACAAATCTCATTTAAAAAAATGGATGAAGGTATGTTTCCCTCAATAATGTAACTCATGTTCTAAATTTCCCTTTCTTTAAAAGTGGAAAACAATCATATAACCCAACTCCATTTGTTCTATTTCACTGTCACATCCTTCCATGACACTCGTTAAATGAAGATAGCAATGTTAAGAAATGTTAGGAAGCAGGATGGGATCTCAGACCTCTCATTCCCAGTATCACTTGGAGAAGCGCAAGGCCATCCCATTTTAAATCCCCCAGTGCTTTTAGCCCACTCATTGACAATTATTGCACACTGTGGTGCCTTTTATAGATCAGACTGGTTCCAGGGTCTGACCTTTTCAATGCTTCAGTCTCCTTGCATCCATCCAAAATGCTAAGTCTGCAGAGCTGGGATCCCCCAGGGGTTCCATCTCTCTCTGCCTCCATTGTGCACAGTTCTGCCCAAATTACTTGACAGCTCTCTTCAACACACTGTTAGGGGAAAAGGTTGGAGAATGTCGGAATATGACATGGCTGTCCAGCGGGGAGATGAGAGGAGGTGGGACAAGCCCCTAATCCATCATCCAGATTGTCTTTTCAAACAGCAGAAGCAGGTGAGATGCCTAAAAGGGGAGAACGTGTCCTGATTTGGAAAGATTTCAGGATTCCTAAATGAGAATTTTGTCCCTCATTGTATTTGTAAGCAATGAGGATTGAAATGGTAGAATACGCTACGTTCAGAAATACAGACATGTATACAGGAAGAAGGCCAGTGCCTTTGACAAGCAATACACTGACAGCTGAAAAAGCCTAATTGCTTGAAGAATCTATTTTAGGCATCTCTTTGAGAACAAAACAGGCTAGGGTGAGAGTGGATGATCCTCAGTGCCATTCGCCACCAAGTAAATGAAGGGGTCTATTTCTTCCAATCCAGTGCATTAGCACCAAACTTGCCAAAATCATGTCCATGTGAGTGTGGCCAGTTTTCTTCTTGCCAAATCAGGGTGAGCCCACTGATAGAGCAATGGGTCACCAGGTGGCATCCTCCTAAAACAATGGTTTGGGTAGTTTAGCAAAGACTTTAACCATTCAAGCAGTGTCTACGCTATGGAATTAGACACTTCAGGGTGGTGTGGGCACTAAGGAAAGACAACCTGGAGACTGTTATACCCATATGTAGCTTGTGTGAAATGAAAAGACCATTCTAGATCAATGATTTTCTAAACATTTTCATTTGCTTCTTTAATGAATGGTCTTCTGTCATTAAAAAAAACTTATACAGAAGTCCAATATACAAAGCTAATTAAGAATCTGAGTACTTCTGGCTGGAGCAAAAATGAAGGGTGTAAGAACTTGATCACTAAGCATCCCAAGCCTTCTCTATACCTAATGTAGTCCCTTAGGCAATGCATCAGACTACCCATAAGGCTTCCAAGAGCACTGTTGGAGAAATCACTAGACCACATAATCTCTCATGGTTCTTCCCACTCTAACTTTTCTATAACTCTTTAGTATAAATGAGAGTATATCAATTCAGTGGAATATTCTGCCACTACCAAAATGATCCTTATGATTACTATGTACATATGCAGCAAACTGTTAATGTTAGGTGTAAGTTTTTTTAAAAGATGTAAAATAGTCATACAATCTAACTGAAATTTTGTGAGAAATTATTTTCATGTGTACAAAACTTAAAAGAGAGCAAGAAAGGAAGAAAGTATTGTGTTAAAATGATTATCTTCAGTTTAGTTTTTAAAAATGTTTAATGCTGTTTTCAATTAAACAAAAATGTATGGTTTCAAAAAATGTACATTTGGTACACGCATTTAAAGTGTACAACTGTATAATTTTTCACCAGAGAATGGAACTTGAGATCAGGATGCTTTAGAAGATTTGCATCTGTCATAAGTCAGTAGCTCATCTATTGACAGAGAGTGGCATATAAATGCACTTAAGCATCACAAGAAAGTGCCAAATGTTAATAAATCTTCATAAAACATGAATATCATGCCATTCTCTTGCACAAAAGATGAATGTCCTCTATTACCAAGATAGACAAGTCCAAACCACTTATCTGGCATGTGAGGTGCTTCACAATCTGAATCTGGTCTATATCCCTGCTTTATTTCTCATTGCTCCTCGACACAAACTTTTTTTTCCTAACAGAGTTGCTGGGAGTGAGGGGCAAAATATTTTGTGCCTCAGAGAACATTCTGCACAACTAGAGGGGTGCAGAAGGCACTTACTGAGTAGAAACCAGGGATCTGGTCAACATCTTAGAATGCAAATGACAATTATCCAGCCCAAAATGTCAAAAACATAGAGGTTGAGAAACGCTATTCTAGCGGATCAACTAACTAACTACTCTCCAGACATATGACCTCAGCTTTGATCCAATTGTTCTTCCTTCCAGAAGGATCTGTTTCACTTTCTTACTTGCCAATTCAAACCATTCTTCAAGATTCTTCCATCCTATCTCCTCCAGGAACCCTTTTCTGGGAACACCAGGATGATGTGAGACCTTTACCTTCTGAGCAGTCCTAATACTTCCTTCAATACTCTTTTGGTGCTTTCCATTTCTGGCCATGGTCCCTCTGAGACATGCAAGAATTTGTCTCAACATTTGCATCACATCTGCTAAAGTACATATGATCTGATACAACACAATCTTTAGTTTGATGACTTTTGAATTTTATTTAATTTTGTTAACATCAAGCCAGAAATATTTTTCCTCTAAAAATAGTAGTTTTAGCAAGTATAATAATAAGCCATATGCTGATTGCTGGAAAAACAGGTCAGAAATATGAACTCTGACTATGAGGCAATGGGATTTGAATGTTGAAAAAAAGTGCAGATGCTTTCTAACTTGCTTAGTTTCAAAGTGATGCTATGTGCCATTTGCTACCAAATTAACAAGGATAGTCATTTATTCCAATTATCTCCTCTTATTATAAGCTGTTTTATTATTAATTTTATAGCTGGTATTTGTTAAGCACTTACTGTGCTCCAGGCTAAGAAGAATGACATTCAGCCAGGAGGCAAAGGCAGGATGTAGCATCTGGTATCCTTTCTGACTGGTGGAGCACTGGTCACAAAGGTTAAATGCAACTGCCAAAAGCCACATAAAACTATTAAGGGCAGAGCTTTTTATTTAGATCCCAAATATCCCCGCAGGTGTTTATCCTTACTCACATCACACTCTTCTAATAACTTGAAGTTTATAAAGCATATTCTCTCTGTAGTCTGAAGAATTTAAGGGTATCGACTAGCAACTATATGTGTCCTTAGGCAAATTACGTATGTATCTCAAGGTTACCCTGTTCAGTCATGCCAATCTGAAGAGAGATGCTGTGTGCAACATGTCTTTACTTACAATAGCACCAAAACTGAACATTCATAGGAATAACATTAATTAAAAACATGTAGAGCTAATATGAAGAAAACTTTACTAAGGAACTCACAGAATGGAATAAAAAGAGAGACAAACCATGTGGCCAATACTCAAAACTGGATATTGAAAAAAATTCCATTATTTTCAAATGAATGTATAGCTTGGCTGCGATTCTAATCAATAGTCTAATTAGTTGCTTTATGGGGAGGAAGATATTTTAAAACATGACAAGGTGATTCTAAATTCATTTGGATGAATCAATAAGTAAAATAAGCCAAGAATATTTTGAAAAAGAAGAGTTCTATTTTGGTTTTATTTGGTTGTATTTTGCAGAGAGGAGACTTACCCAGCCAGACACTCTATTGTGTTATAAACCACGATTAAACACAATGTGTTCTGGCCACAGGGCACAGAAGACTGACCAATCCAGTAAAACGAAAGCTGCGAAATGCCACCAACCTTGAGACCTCGAGGGCTCCTAACCTCTGACCAGAGTTTATCTTATGTAAAAAACCGTCAGAGGAAACCAGTCCAAAATATGGGCACAGAATTAAGTGAAAAGATGTTCACTGCATTTCATTTTACTTAAAAAAAAAAAAGAAATCCTATAAATCTTAAAAATATCCATTGGTATGGAAAATTATTAAGTTATTAAAATGATTAAATTGTTATATAGTCACTAGATGAAATAGTTAACTATTAATATGAGATTTCTAAAATATATTGTTGGAAAATACTAAATATTTTTATGCCTTTTATATATATCTAATATCTAATATATATGATTGAATAAGGCTGCATTTCAAATAAAAAGTTTGTATTTACATGATCACAGGCTATGGGTGTTTGATAAACATAAAATAATAAAAAACATTATAAAGGGAAAATGAAAGATTCGATAACATAAATTTTTGTAAGTACAAAGTATGCTAAAAAGCATAATGCAATTAAAAACCAAAGAATAAACGTTATAATATTGAAACAAAATGAGAGACAATATAAAGAACCCATAATGAAGAAGAAACAAAAACAGATGGTCACATAAAAGAAAATACAATGGTTAATAAATACACGAAAGCATGTCTAAACTCACTGGTCTGATAAGAAATGCAAATTAAAACAAGGAAAACCCATTTTTGCATATTAAAATGGACTACTTCTTTAAATTAAATTTTTATGTGGTATAGTGAAATGGTATTTTAGTTGTAGTGGAAACAGGTGTAAACTCTTTGGATTTGACACGACAATATTTTTATATATATAGTTTGGTAGTCTATCCTAAAAAAATCATAATAATCAGACCTTGAACAAATAATTACTTAAATGTTTCTAAAACAACATTATAATGTTTACTTTAATAGTAAAATTTCAGAAGATCAATATCAAATAACAAAAGAATGATTACATTTATTATATATCCATAGATTAGAATATAATTCAATACAAGCTTTAAAATGTTTAGAAAGAGTAGAGGATGGCACAGGAGAATGTTCAATTTCATTTTTAAAAGATATAAAATTTTATCAACAATATGATCTGAATGAAAAATATTTAAATATATGTTTAAAATTATACTATATTATAATAGGGAAAAAAGGCTATGAAGACGTACTTGATTTTTTAAGAGGTATTTTCTGGGCAGTAAAATTATAGGTAATTATTTTCTTTTTATTTTCTTGCCTTCCCTTGAATGATTATGAGATATATTGTGTTTCCAACCAGAAAAAAAAAATGGCTAGTGTGTGTCTGTGTCTTTTAAACAATACATTTGTATTTCTGGCATTGCCTCTCCACTTCCCCGACAAGCCTTAGCCACTTCTGCTCCAGGACACCTCTTGGTGGAAGTGTCTCTAGAAATTTTGCATTCCTTCCCAAGTTGTTCCCTGTTTTACATCCTGCTATGGACTGAATTGTATCTCTCCAAAAAAAAAATATGTTGAAGCTCTAACCTCCAAACTGATGGTATCTGAAGATAAGGCCTTTGGGAAGTGATTAGGTTTGGATGAGGGTGGGGCTCTCATAATGTGATTAGTGCCCTTACAAGAAAGTGCACCAGAGAGCTTGCCCTCTCTCTCTCTGCCATGGGATGATACATCCAGAAGGTGGCCCTCTGCAACCTGGAAGAGGGCCCTCACCAGAAACCAACCATGCTGGCACCCTGATCGCACACTTCCAGATTCCAGAACTGCAAATTTCTGTTGCTTAAGCCTGGAACCAGTCTGTGGTATTTTGTTTTGGCAGCCAGCACTGACTAATGCACAGCCCCAGACCAAACTGGAGCAGAACAATAACAGATTTCCTCAACAGGGAAGAAAGGATGGTTTCTCCTCCGTGCAACCAAGTATCCAACCTGCATTTCAAACAGCCTCCAAGCCTTCAATTTGGTACTTTCTCCTTGGGCGCCGAGCTCAACATTGACCTCTTCTCTCTCTAGGCCTCTCCCTAGCCCTCCAATTCTCCTATTCCTGCTCATGGAAGTGAACAACTCATCACCACCAACCTATTCAACTCTCCCCATTTTTTAATGTAACATGCAAGTACTGAAGGCAATCTGAGTTCCAGGAAGATGGCAGTAGTCAAAGTCTCTTTATGTGGGGGTTTTTCTGACCCACCACCCTCATAGACAATAAGGCCCTGAAATCTCACCCACTGTGACAAAAGTAAAGTTTGCTCCCCTCTGCAAGTTTATTATCAGTGAGTGAAAATAAAGTTAGATTTCACTATTTCTGAGCGAAATGAGTATTTCTCATGCCCTTTGCATAATCATCTGGGTGGAATAAGTATTTGGAAGCCATGTGCCTCTAACTAAGGAATCACTGGCCACAAAGCCAGAGAAAGAGAAAACAACAGTGTTTCCGGTGTTGCCATGTGCACTATGGAATTTTTGCTACACTGGATTAGGTGAGTGGATGTGGCTGTCTTTGAATTCCATGTTTAATGCACACAAATCTTTTCAGATCTCCCAAGGCAGGACCAAACATGACTCCCACTTTTCATAGCAAAGAAGTCATTAGCTACATATGCCTCCTACCTCACATAACTCACAGGTACTCAGCATAATCATCAAGGGTCCGGCATGTCTTGACTTCTTCCAAAGAGTTGACCATTCTGTCTTGCTCAGTGCCATGGCTAACTACCACGTGCACCATATGAACACTGCATTTTAGTCTTAGCATTAAGACAGCTCTTCCACAGCCAAGATGCAACCAGACATACAGCATGGGTAGCCCCCATCAGCAAAGTAGAAACTGATTTCTGCTTGCAAGCTGAGCTTTCACATTTCCCCTCCTGACCTTGCATGTATTATTTTAAATGTAATGTATTTTTAAATTGCTGTACCATTTTAAAAATGTAAAGGAGAGCTGAATTAAATATTATTTGTAGCATACCCTGGTTTGCAATAGCCTTAAAATCTGATCCCTTATATCAGGTTGATGCCTAAATCCCATTACTTGAGATTGCAAATGACTGTGTTTGCAAAATCGTAGATGCACATTTAGAGGCAGCTTCAAAAATTCAGCCCATAATGTTAACTTTGTTTGAAAAGATCTTCATTTTCCAGGAAGCCATCTCAAGCTATTCTGTCTGTTCCTTAACTCTGGCTCTGTCATGGATAATATATGAATAGCCTAAAAATGACTTGGCAGCTGAGTCTTTAAGAACCATGGTCCAGGGTCAAAAGAAGTTCCTAAATGAATAGAAGGAGCCCACTTTTGAAGCAAATTATAGGATATATTCCAGAACAGGTGAGATCTATAGAGCTCAAATTCAGGGAAGAGGTGCAAGAGTATTCACTCCAACCACATTATCTCAAGGTAACCATCCCCAATTTTCACTTCCTGCTTCTCTGCCCTTCATCCTCCACCCACAGCTGCTATTAGGCTGACACGGGTGTCTAAAATCCAGACAATGTGATTTATATTAGTACTTCTAGTGAAGTATTTGTACCAATGAAATTAACACTTCTCTAAATGAGCATGTACATACATGCCTTGTGTGTGTATATGTACATACACAGATATTTACAATAAACAATATTCTTAGAAAATGCAATCCTGCCATCAAACTATAAAATAATAAGGTATAACAAAGTCAGGCAATCTCATGATATTAAGTAAGCCTCACTCAGGTTGAGGATAGGGCTCTGAGGTTTGCTGATCAACTGTCAAATCCCATAGAGTCTGGGCATAGGTGTCAGGAATACCAGAACATGGTGATAATTTTCTATTTCAAGGACACACCCAAACAATGGGCAAAATGAAATATCTAAAGTTGATAACAATGAAGAGAAAACAGAGGAAGTAGTCCAAGACAGAAGTAGTTGTATGTAGACAGGAGGCTACGTGTAGACAGAAGTAGAACATTATGTTATAAAATAAACAAGCAAAGAATAAGGATCAGAGAAAAGCATATTGGTTATCTCTTAATAATTCTGTGTAACAGATTACTACAAAACTTAGGAGCTAAAAACAACAAATACGTATTGTCTCACTGTTTCTGTTGGTCAGGAATCCAGGCACAACTCAGCTAGGTGCCTCTGCCTGAGGAGGTCTCTTACAAGGCTTCTATCAAAGTGTTTGCCAGGGCTGAAGTCTCATATGAAGGCTTGACTGGAGAAGGATCTGCTTTTGAACTCACTCATGTGACTGCTGATAGGATTCATTTCTGCATTAGAACTAAGCTGTCAGGCCATTAGTTTCTCATTGGCTTTTGGCTGGAGATCTCCCTCCATTCCTTGACACATGGGGCTCTCAATAAGGCAGCTAACAACATGGTAGCTTGCTTTGAGCAAGTAAGCATGAGAATGCACCCAAGATGAAAACATTGTCTTTTGGTAACCTACTCCCCAAAAAAGCTCGTTACCTCTGCCATATTCCATTCACTAGAAGCAAGCCACTAATCCAGTCTATACTCAAGAAGAGAACACCATAGACTGGCAGGATTTCCAGAAGGCAGAGATCAGTGGAGCCCACTTGGAGGCTGTCTCCCAAAAGGAAGAAGTAAATATTAACTAAATAGACTGATACTGCCATATGTTACAGGTGGGAATATACAACAGAACACAGTTTGGGTAATATTTTGAATGACAGGTTTTAAGATGTTCAAAATGTGTGTGTGTGTGTGTGTGTGTGTATGTATATATATACACATACACATATACACATATATAGTTTTTCTAGTGTTCTATTTATTTTTAATGTCAACTTTTACTTTAGAATCAATGGGTACATGTGCAGGTTTCCTACAAAGGTATATTGTGTGACGTTGAAATTTGAGATACGACTGAACCTGTAACCCAGGTAGTAAGCATAGTACCCAATAGGTAGTTATTCAGCCCTTGCCCTCCTCGCACCCTTCTGGTAGTCTCCAGTGTCTATTGTTCCCACCTTTATGTCCATATCCAAGGTTTAGCTCCTGCTTATAAGTGAGAACATGTGCTATTTGGTCTTCTGTTCCTATGTTAATTCACTTAGAATTATGGCCTCTAGCTCCATCCATTTTGCTGCAAAGGACATGATTTTATTCTTCAAAATGTGTATATTTTGATATGATAAACTTCTTCTTATAGTAGTGATTAAACCAAAAATACTAAACCTTAACTAATATTAAACCCTAACTATTACCAATTCTCCCTCCTCCATGTTGTAAGGAATGTGCACCTAAGGGATATTACATTTAATTTCTGGGATGGGTGAGGGTGATAGATGGAGGGTTAAGGAGAGAGGGTAGATTGTTTTACATAAGAAAAGCTATGATACTTGGGGAGAAGTGTGTGGGTGTAAGGGGAGTTCTGGAAGGGGATGGACTGTGGACAATAAATCACTGACAGAATAGCTTTAGAGTCCATGAAAGGGAAGGAGAGGATGAGAAAGTAACTCCCATGATGGTCAGGACAGATATGAACAGAGGAGTTTTAGGAAGACTCGTGTGTTGGCTGATGTAATGCTTCTTTGTAACCCTCTTCAAGAAAAGGTTCAGTAAAAAGCTACTTTGCTGAAATACTTTTAGTGTTGAATTGGGGTCTTATTATTGAAATGTGACACTGCAAAAAAATGCAGTCAAGTCTTTACTTGGGCTACCTAAAACACTGGTCCAAGAAAATAATTCTTGATGTTAAAGACCTATGCATACAAATGTCAATAAAACCATTACTTATGATCATCAAAAATGTGAAAATTTTCAATGTCTGATAAAAAATAAAACAGAATAAAGCATGTATCTTTGTGTAATAAGATATTGCACAAATTAAAAATGGTTATAAAGATTTTATAATGACACAAAAATTGTAAGGATAGAACATTAAGAAGAGAAAGGCAGATTATACACACTCACATGTATATATTTAGGCTACATATAAAAGAACATATGCATACAAAAAGAGACTTGGAAAACTAAGAACATGAAAGATTGGAAAGGAAAGACTGTCTTGAAACGGTTTTTAGTCTGTCTTCTTTTTCATTATCACCACTTTCTCTTTTTTTTAATTATACTTTAAGTTTTAGGGTACATGTGCACAACATGCAGGTTAGTTACATATGTATACATGTGCCATGTTGGTGTGCTGCACCCATTAACTCGTCATTTAACATTAGGTATATCTCCTAATGCTATCCCTCCCCCCTCCCCCCACCCCACAACAGGCCCCAGTGTGTGATGTTCCCCTTCCTGTGTCCATGTGTTCTCATTGTTCAATTCCCACCTGTGAGTGAGAACATGCGGTGTTTGGTTTTTTTGTCCTTGCGATAGTTTGCTGAGAATGATGGTTTCCAGCTTCATCCATGTCCCTACAAAGGACATGAATTCATCATTTTTTATGGCTGCATAGTATTCCATGGTGTATATGTGCCACATTTTCTTAATCCAGTCTATCCCTGTTGGACATTTGGGTTGGTTCCAAGTCTTTGCTATTGTGAATAGTGCCGCAATAAACACACATGTGCATGTGTCTTTATAGCAGCATGATTTATAATCCTTTGGGTATATACCCAGTAATGGGATTGCTGGGTCAAATGGTATTTCTAGTTCTAGATCCCTGAGGAATCGCCACACTGACTTCCACAATGGTTGAACTAGTTTACAGTCCCACCAACAGTGTAAAAGTGTTCCTATTTCTCCACATCCTCTCTAGCACCTGTTGTTTCCTGACTTTTTCATGATCGCCATTCTAACTGGTGTGAGATGGTATCTCATTGTGGTTTTGATTTGCATTTCTCTGATGGCCAGTGATGATGAGCATTTTTTCATGTGTCTCTTTTAAAGGGCATTTCCCTAGGACCTCTTGTCTACACACACCAGGAGGGACACACTTTGTTTTTCCATTCTTCCTCCCTTCCCTCATGGCCTTTCTGAAAAACCAGATGAGAAGCTGCTGGCACAAACACCACTAGAAACCCATAGTGTGTAAGCCGGCCTTAAGCAAAGTACAATAAAGACCTACAGCCCAACCTACCTACCTTTACACACCAGCCACTTTTCATCCTAAACCAGGCATCATAGCAGATACAGCAGTCTTCAAGATACACATTCCCTGCATTGCCTAACATGGCCTGATATAGAACTTATAGTATGTCTGTTGTCTTCTTAAAGGTTTCCTAATGCTCAAGCCAGTCCATGTTGCAATCCAAATATCTCAGAAAAGGGGTAAGAATTGAAGTTCCTGATACCTTAGAGTACATTACTTTATCAGCACAATTTCCTGCAGCAATGATAAAGAAGAGGGACAAAAAAGGGACCTAATTCTTTCAAGAGAAAGAATAATTAAGGAGCGGAGGAGGGAAATCAGTAAAGAGGACGCATTGGAGACATTCCTTCCGTGTTTTAGGATACCATACAAGTGAATGCCATCAGAGACCAGAGGCACTTTGAGGTCATTCTAGTTACACAGAGAATTCTGGAAGGCCTAGCACACCTGTGACTTCATTGGAAAAGATGCCCAAAGAGGCTGAGCATGTTAGGAGAGTGCAGAGTCACAGGAGCAAAGCTGTGAATCACAACAAGTATTCACATTGGATGTGCAAAGGAAAAAAAAAATCTTCCCACTGCAGAATATGCCTGCCTGTTAAATATCCCCCAAGGGAAGAGTGGAATACTATTCATTTGTAGCTCAGTAGGATATATTTTTTTAAATATTAAAAAAAACAGAAAAGCTTTTCCCCCATGACAACAACTCTGCCATAGCAGAGCCTAGGAAGAATGAAGGGAATATGTTAAGGACACTTACTCCATTTATCTGCTCTCCATGCAAATTACAATTTCGGAAGCAGCTGAGGTTAAAAAAGTGGGGGAAGCATTAGACAGCCCTGGTGATTACCTGGTGACCAGGTATCAAGTGAGTGGAAGGGTCACATATAAACAAGGAATGTTCATGTCAGTTGTCTTTCTTCTTGTAGCCTGAGATTGATGGCTGAGTCACTCCACGGTGTAAGATTCCTAGGTGACCTATCTTGATTGGATTAGAACATCCAGAATTCATAAAAATATTTCCAGGTGAAGCTCTTAGTATTGATGCTAATGAATATTATGTTCCGTGCTCTGCCTAACCCACAAGAAGGGTGGGGCACTAATGAAGAAGCGGATAATAATGATAACTCCTTACAATTTCCAATGTATTCTAACAACCATTACAACAATCATCACTGTAGATGACGGAACAGACGAGAGACATGCACGGGGTTCGTTCTTTCTGCTGTGTCCTCGTCAGAAATCACTTCTGGAGCACAGTGTCCTTCTGCACAAATCCCCCTCTAAGCTGCTACTTGCCAACAACTGCGAGTAGCATGGGAGAAGAAACCGGACACTCATGAAGGATCTATCCTTTAGACACTTGCAAATGTGCAGCTTATAAATAACAATATTTGCGCAGGGTCACAGGAGCAAAGCTATGAATCACAACAATCAAATATTGTTATTTGTAATATTTCTTCTGAATCCCATGTTCACTCTATTTGTCTACATACCACAAGTTAAAAGTCTTTTTAACATCGTCTCTCATTTCAATGTCTTGTTTTTACCATGCCTGCTTTCCACTCAGCGTTCCCCAACCACCCTCAATACCTCTTCCCTCTACACCCTCTCTCCCAAAGAAATCATTTTCATGCATGTTATTGTTTTGCTTTGGTTGATCACTTCATAAGAATTATAAGAATTATGACTCAACAAAAAGTAGAGAACAATAATGTTCAGCTGAGATGTGGATTCTTGGCAATAAATCAGACCCATTCAGTTGTTATCACATGCCCATGGGCACCAGCCTTACCGTACACGAGATTCACATTTGTGCCCAGCAAAATGACAATTCACTTATGTGACATGTTCTTGAGTACTAGTAATAAACATAGTACTTAAATCAATGGAGAAGTGAAATAGCCAAGTGTCCACTTGATACATCTGCTCCTTTCAATAACCTTATGAAATTGACAACAAAAATACTGTTCCCATTAGATGGATGAGGGAACCATAGGTTAAAGAGGTCCCACTTAAGCCAAGGTTTGTTCTATACCCAGAGAAATGCATATTTTGTCTTTTCTCAAGGAGATAACAAGTTAATATTTACATCCCTAACCTATACAAAACATATATCTTCAATATAAGCGGTTTAGAGCTTTAGAAAACCCTGAATTCTGTCTTTGGATTAAAAAAAAATGTCTATGTAAAATAAGCTCTTTTGCCATGACTCACACGACACCTAAAAGAATAATCGCGGTAATTATATATCAGAAATGGAGAAGTGATAATTACAAAAATTGAATATTCAAAACTACCACTTGACTATTCAGCACAGGCATAAACTGTTATATTTCCCCTTGGGAGCATATATGAAGAAGCACAGAGTGGAGAAGAGACAAAACACAATTATCAGGACCTAGGGACTCGTTCTTTTTTACTGCATAAAGGAAGAGGGTGGATGACAGAAGCTAGAACCTTCTCCTCTTGCTCTTTGCAAAATATAGGAAAATGTTGCTTCTTAGGCACTTAATTTCATTCAGACACAGTGGCATGGTTCATCTAGCCCAGTGTGCTTTCCTCCTCTACTAACCTGACTTTCTAGTTGGCCAACTGCCTTATCATCTCAAGAGTTTGTTCCAGAAACAGCAGAGGGCTCTTTCTTTCGCTTTCTTTCTTTCTTTCTTTTTTTTTTTTTTTTTTTTCGAATTCTGGACTTCTGAGTGGTGGCATACTGAGAAACTGGACTATCTCAGCTCAGTAAAGGCTGTAGTTCTATAAGTGAAATAGCAGAAAAACAAATATTTCCTTTTTCTGCCTCAGTCTATTGAAAAACCTCCATAGTTCCAAATACAGGCAAAATAATAGTTGGAATAACAGCTACAGATGAAATAATAGTAGGCCTGTAAGGGGCAAACATGCTGGAGATAGTCCAGGTGTTGAGTCAAGAGCAATACTGCCAACTCCCTTTTCTCTCACAACTACTCCGAACCATGTACAAAGAACAAAACAACACAAAACAACAAAACAAAAAAAAAAACAGTTGATTTTTCATAGAATGCTTAGGCAATCTTCATTTAAAATCTAAACATAGTTTTGTGGATGCAGACGGAATGGGTTGAAGCCATTGCTTCCAAAGATGTTGGTATGAATGTGTGTATGTACAAGGTATTTGTTACCACCATCTTCAACACACACACAGCACATCCCTAAGTTGTGTAAGGCATAAACGGCTATCACATGAGTTTTTAAGGGAGTGTTCATAAGATATTTATAAGAGATACGGAATGAGTACAACTTCTAACAAAAATTTTTTTTTGAGACAGAGTCTCGCTCTGTCACCCAAGCTAGAGTACGGTGGCCTAATCTCTATGATGGCAGTAGCCTATTCTCTGTCACCCAAGCTAGAGTACACTGCAGCCTTGAACTCCTGAGCTCAAGTGATCACTGCATCTCAGCCTCCTGAGTAGCTGGGACTACAGGGGCATGACACTGATGGCCAGCTCATTTTTTATTTATTTGTAGAGACAGGGTATCACTATAATGACCAGGCTGGTCTTGAACTCCTGGCCTCAAGCAATCCTCCCACCTCAGCCTCTCAAAGTACTGAGATTACAGACATGAGCCACTGTGCCTAACCAAATCTTTTTTTTTCATTAAGCATATAATTAAGCATGCTATATACTTTGGTGTATGCCTCTTAATCTCCCTTCCTTTAGCCATCACTTCTGCTAAAATGAAAGCAAGATAAAAGTAAGAATCATTTTCATGTTATAGCAAGCAAGTGTAAAAGGCAAATTTGTACAAAACTTGTTACAACCAAGATAAAAATAGTATGCATGCATAAAGGAATACTAATTAATAAAACACTTCCTGATTAGGAGGAAGGGCTTATATTCCATTTGAAACATGTATTCATTCCCATAAAAGGTTTTTCAAAATATGCCCTACAGAGGTAGTTCTGAAGGATTTATCACATGTGACATGAGAAAAGGATTCTGTAGTGAAATAAGTTTGGGAATCAGTGACTTCAAGTTTGGCAGAATTCTTCATTCAGCACTTCTCCAGAGTCTTTAATATCATAACATGAATCCTGAGTTTCCAGGAGTATAAAATTGAATTATCATAACCTGAATTTATTTGACCACAGAAACTCTTATGAAAGAAGAAGCATTTTGTGGAACTGCTGTTCTCCAGAGTACATTTTGGGAAAATACTGCTTTTTAGAATATGTACATAAAATATATGCACTTTTCCAAAAAGAGGGGGTTAGTACATAGCAAAGAGCACCTGATCATGACCCTTCTCACAGAGCTCTTTAAGCCCAGTGCCTCTCAAACTTTCATGTGCACATGAGTCAGCAAAGGATCATGTTAAATGCAAATCCCAGTTTCGTAAGTCTTAATAGGGCCTGAGATTCTGCATTTCTAACAAGTCCCCAGGTGATGCTGATGCTGCTATTCTACAAACCACTCTGTGTAGCAAAGGACTGGAACACATTTGTCTGCAAGAACTGCAACTGTCCAGAGCTGTCTAGAGTGCTACGCTGTTTGATAATTCTTTATCTAAGAAGTAATGAGTGTGTGGATAGGGCTTACCAATAAAACCTGTTGGGTGTGATGCGTTCATGCATGAGTTGCCACCGTCTTCCAAAGTCCATGGAGCTGTAGAGCTGCAAAACAATGAAGTGAGAATGTAAGTCTCAAGGAACCACTGCTGGGCATGAATACAGATGTTTTCCCTGCAGCATCCCAACACCAGAGTGCCCAACACACCCAAGTAGGCATTTATTTTATCCAGATAAAAAGGTAGGAATATGACTGCTTATCATGGTATCTTCTAGCATTACGTGGGTTCTCAATATACATCCAATCAACTGATACTTTTGAGGAGAGTATAAATACACTTCTGATGGCCATCACTGTCTCCATTGTCATGTAGACAAGAAGAGGCAGATTCTGTGCTCCCAGGAAAAATAAGACTACATATAAAAATGCTCATCAGCTGATATATGAGCCAATATTACATGCAAAATATCATGCTTTTACTTTCATTTCTTACTGCTCTATAGATCATCTAAATGAAATGGAGCTCTTCATTGTCACCAAAAAGACCAGGCTCATTCACACTCCTATGTTTTTGCAAGATGGCTAGGCCACTCTTCTTATTATTCCATGTTCACTTACTTTTTGAATGTAGAGTCTGACCCCTTTATAACACCTTAGGGATAAGCCAGCATCCCTATAAGTGACTAACTAGGAGTATTGGGTATATTTTCAACTGAAAGTCTAGAAGTAAAACATCTGATTCTAACTGCCAATGGAATAATAATAATAACGATAATAATAATAATTCTACCATGTTGTTCTTTCATATACATTTAAGCCTTACAACAATCCTGAAAGGAAG
Source organism: Homo sapiens (assembly GCF_000001405.40). Taxonomy (NCBI): domain Eukaryota; kingdom Metazoa; phylum Chordata; class Mammalia; order Primates; family Hominidae; genus Homo; species Homo sapiens. The sequence goes on along the minus strand of NC_000010.11, from coordinate 105,042,317 downwards.
GTAGGACAGTTATTACTAACTTAAATCCCTGCTCTTAAGCATTCTGCAATCTGCCCAGGCAGAGTTAGTTACTAAGCTTCCACGGTGCCACCACTGTATTCACTGCCTGCCTCTAAGAAGCTGTTCATAGTAATCCATTGCTGGTTGGCATGTCTCTACCCTGCTAGACTATGAGTCATAAGGGGGCAGGGATCATGCCTTAGTCACCTTTGTGCATCAGTAGTTTTACAATGCCATGTGAGAACATAAACACCTCTAACAGGTGAGAACATAAACCTCCTATTTCACAATTAACAAAACTTAATCTTGGAGAAGATAAGTCTTGGTCAAAGAAACTAGGATTTGAGTTTTCTGATGCCTGGCTCAAGTCTCCTTCCATGGAATCATGACCCAAGTTTATCATGAGAATTCCACCATCCTTATGTTTTTCCCAAAAACTTTTACAGATGGGAGCATTGAGGAAGCCAGAGTGGCTATCAAGTTTATAGAAATTGGACCACATGAAGTATATTCCTGTGATCACATCCCCAATATCTGCTCTCCTATAGGGCTGTTCTTCCCAGCACACCACAGTTGGATAACTTCGCCATCTGGAAAGTTCTAAGTCGATAATGTTACAACTCATACAGAAATAATTTTTTGTATAAACTTCCGGTAATCTCAAAAAAGTTTTGTGGGGCTCAGAAAAGTTTTGACTCATTTCAATTTAATTCAGCAAATATTTATTGAACAACGGAGCCATAAAACTATTTTTGTCTAGTAGAGACAGTTTTATATATGTATATATACACACATATAATTAAACATGTATGTATGTAGGTATATATGTATATATAGTTATATATGTACATATAGTTATATGTATATATATAGTTATATATATGTGTGTGTATATATATATATATATTTTTTTTAATCCTCAAAATAGCCTGTAATGTTGTCAGGTATATACAGCTGACTACTAGCTGTGTTATAGGTTTGAGTTGCATTTGGTTATAAAACAATTTGTTGGGAAAAGTGTGGGGAAGAGGACCTCTTCCCACACACACATGGAGACAGATCCCAATTGGTCTATGATCCTGTTTGCAAGAAAGAGATTCTGCTGGTTGAGTGCCTAAAGAGAAAGGTTGGATGGCCTTCAGATTATATCAGCTTAGCTAGCATTGCTAACCAACTGTTGCAAGCTCTGAAAATAAAAGATCTTGAACCCATTTTATATATATATATAAATATATATACATACATACATATATATTTATATATTTCTTATATATATGCTAAAAATGTATATAAAATGAATATGCTAAATATATATACAAATATATATATTTATATATGCTAAATATATATATTTAGCATATTCATTTTATAGATGAAGGTACTGATGCTTGGTGCTGCATAGTGACTACATCAACTATACAGAAAATATATACATGATTTGGCTGATCACAAGTTTCTGCTATACCACACTGACTTTACACTAACTCTCACAGTATTTATCTAAACTGGGCTCTCAGTACATGAGTAAGTACTAACTACAATATATGTTCAATTATGCATGCAAGAAATATCTTACCACCCTCTAGTCACTTTCTTTATTCACCAACCTGGTGAATAAAACACTACAAAGCTCTACAACCACTAAATTACATAGTACACAAAACCCATTCAATTGTTTAGGAAGCAAACAGAGTAGCTTCTCCCTGATCTTCATATACACTTACAGACACACCATGTCAAAGGGAAAATTGGGGCAAGGGCTAAAGCTCTAGAGGTTGACAGATGGGAAAGATTAACCGGGGTAGAAATTAAACAATGAGACCTCCTGGAAAAATATGTTTTGAGCCAGGCCTTGAGACAACAGGAGCAAAGGTGCCAATATGGCCTAGTGTTCGAGGTTAGCTCTACGAGCACCTTTAAGAAAAAGAAGGGATATGATGACTGTTGTTGGCCAAAAGCGGTGGACACTGTTTGTCTGTCTGTCCTTCCATCTGCCTGTCTCTCCTTCTATCCCTCTGCCCATCTATTTGTGGATATTTCTATATCTTGTATGTATATTTATATTGAGAGGTGGGGAAAAGCAGCAGGTTTTTAAGGACCAGACCATCCCATTGGGAAGAATATATCCATATATTTTATTGCAAAGACTAAGTTTTTCATGTAGGGTTTTAAAAAATGGATCACTCTCCTTCCTATGACAGGTACCTGAGGGACAGATGCTTAGACTTAAGACATGTTTTCCAATTACATATAAAAGAGACTTTGGATGGAACCTTCTATAACCCAAAGTTCAAAATCTGCCAGCCCTGATTCCAAACATAGCAAAGTACCAAATTCTTTCAACAAAACCCAACATGATTGTGTCTTCCTCTGCTGCAAACACTTGAAACAGGCCAGGTAAAAACCATGAGGGTCACACTGACACTGTTAGAGTCTCCATCCTCAGAGAAATCATCAGTTTCATCACGGACGACCTGGTGGTGGCAGAGCTCTTGCTGGGTCACCCTTGAGAGCAGCATGGTTCCTGTCCTCTCACGCTCTTTCTAACATAAAGAGAGCGAGAACCTGGGTGCAGTGGCTCATGCCTATAATCCCAGCACTTTGGGAGGCTGAGGCAGGTGGATCCCAAGGTCAGGAGATCAAGACCATCCTGGCCAACGTGGTGAAACCCCATCTCTACTAAAAATACAAAAATTAGCTGGGCATGGCAGCAGGTGCTTGTAGTCCCAGCTACTGGGGAGGCTGAGGCAGGAGAATTGCTTGAACCTGGGAGGCGGAGGCTGCAGTGAGCCAAGATCACACCACTGCACTCCAGCCTGGGTGACAGAGCAAGACTCCATCTCAAAAAAAAAAAAAAAAAAAAAAAGAGAGCGAGAGAGCCACTGCTGATCTCCTCACTCAGGCCTGTTTCACCTCCTACCTTGCCTATCTCTGGTTTTGCTTTTTCAGCTCTTCAGTTTGACTGATGGAAAAAAAATTAAATTGAATTATCCTCCTGGAGGCTGATTGAGATGAACAGAAAGAGCAGGCTCCTATTCATTAAGGGCTTTGAGTTAGCTACCTTGTCTCTCAATCTGCAGTAAGTTGCTGAGTCTGAAACATATTTTATTCTACCACGAGTTGGATCTTGAAAACCTCTCCACCTACACATCTACTTCTTCATTTAATCACTTATTCATTCAGTCACTAAAAGTGTATCAAACAACTACTATGCTCTAGGAACTGAACTAAGAGCTGAGGTTACAAAGGTCAAAAATGCCATGATCAGTGGAAACAGAAATGCATGCAATTATAATGCCATGCAAAGTAGGCCTTGGTATTGATATTAGTTATCTCTGCAATGGCAAGACTGTGGGCAATTAGTATGTTCTTCTTTTTGTCCTCTAGATTTCTTTAAATTATTATAAATAAATATTACTTTTGTGATTACAAAATTATAGGTCTAACATTAAAATAGAAATAAAACACATGTGTCAACATTTAATAGTAAGTTTTAGAAGATTATTTAAGGATATTAAAATTCTCATGACATTATTAATTTAAAAATATGTTATAAAACATGCATTTATTGATATCGATGTTAAAGTATTACAAAAACTTGAAACATATCAGAAGGAAATATGCCAAAATTTTAGCAGTGGTCGCCTCTGAATTGTGAGATTACGGGTAATTTATATATTTTTGAAGTTTCCATCATTTTTAGATGTTTGAACAATAAATATGTATTATATTTCAATAGTAACTTAAGCCCACATTTTATTCTATTTATATTTTTGTTACAGTAAATTTCTAATTACCATGTGTATATTTATCTCTCAAACTACCTTTTAAAAGGCCATGAATTAAAGTTCTATTTTTTTCATGAGGAAACTGGAATTAGATAAAGCAATATTGAATTTTCCAAAAATAGGACAATGTCCCAGAAATTATCACAGTTAGTGTTGAATCCTTCCTTATACAGGCAATGCATCAGCTCACAGGATGTTTATACAGTCCTGCATGGCTTCAACTCAACATGTTTCATGCAACATTAAAATAAAGTGTGTTTTCCAAACAATAAACATCTTTAAAAACTTTCCTTGTTTATACAGTTACATAAATGAGGCCATGTTCTCTTCCATATCCTGCCACATGATACCCTCTCCCAGCAAAGATGTCCCTCCTGGACATTACCAGAGACCAATCGAGATCCTCTCCTTTCCCTTCTTTCCACTGTATGTCATGGCCACATATCTTTTAACAAGCACAAATTCAGCAGCAACAAACACAGAGCGAGGACTAAATGAATCACTGGAACAGCTGGAAAATATGAAAGAACATACTCTTTTCCTTATTGATTCCGTTATTAGTTCCCTAATTACATTGGCCTGCCAGAGAAAAGCATCTGATAGCTGAAGAACTAAAGAGGCAATTTAATCAATAGAATATTCCACAGGAAGAACAAAAGACTGTACCCGGAAAGCCTGTTCAAAGAATAATATGAGATCATAGGAGAGTCACAGGCATTGTTATGGGTTGAATTTGTGTCCCTCAAGAAAGATATATTAAAGTCCCAGCCTCTAGCATCTCAGAATGTGACCTTACTTGGAAATAATTCTTTGCAGATGTAATCAAGTTAAAATGAGGGTGTTAGGGTGGGCCCTAATCCAGTATGACTGGTGTTCTCATAAGGAGAAATGTAGGCTCATAAGCAGACAGGCAGACAGGGAATCCTACGTAAAGACACATAAGGAGAACTCCATGAGAAGATGGAGGATTAGAGTGACACATCTACAAGCCAAGGATGGCTTAAGACATGTTTTCTAAACCAGCAACCACCAGAAGCTAGAAAAAGGCAAGGAAGGTTTCCCCTAAATGCTTCACAGGGAGCATAGCCCCCACCTGCCAACATCTTGATTTTGGAATTCTATGTGAGATAATATATTTCTGTTACTTCAAGTCACCAAGTTCATGGGGCTTTGTCACAGCAGCTCTAGGAAACTAACATGGGCATCTCACACCCCCTGCCAGGACTAGGCAGTCTGGAGAGAGACAGCAATGACAGAGATGCTACATTTCTCTGTGGCTTCCCTGTCACCACCTAGGCATTTAGTTGTGAGGCCAGATTTTTACATCTGTGGCTGGAAGTTAAACCCTCATTTGCCTACATTTCTTTGTACTGTGCATTTTCATCATGCCTCCACCCCCAGGATACTTTCTAAGAAATGTGAATTTATAATGATCATATGAGGGTAGACCAGACTTAGTCAGAAGAGGCAACAAAATGTGACTTCATGGGATCTTTCAGTGTTCAGGTCAGTTTCTCTTAAGCCAAGGTATCTCCCCGGTAGAAGTGAAAGGATGGGCTGAAATAAACTTTCCTCATAGGAAAGTTAAACTTAATGTATAACTGTGCTGATTCTTTACTCAAAACTTGTGGAGTTTAGGTAGCATTCTGCTGTATTGTGTTCATGATGGTCTTTTGTCTTTCAAATAAAATGAGGCTGGTTCTCTTAGAAATGAGGTCTCTGCCTCTCTTTCCCTGGAGGCACAAGTGTAGAGTAGGAAAGCTTGGCTGGGCTATACGGAGCTGCAGGGAGAATCCCTTAGTTTGTGGTGGCATTTGTAATAGACAGGAAAGAAACCAGAGTCTCACAGCAGCAGGGAGTCCTTTCCAACCTGCGTCTTCAGTTCCTTCCTCAGAAAGTCTTCAACAGATCTTGATAACTGGTGGGAACATTTCTAAGCTCTGGGTACCCAGACAAGAGCTTCCATCTCCAGCTGTCACCTGACCTCAGGTGATCCACCAGCCTTGGCCTCCCAAAGTGCTGGGTTTACAGGTGTGAGCCACTGCTCCCAGCTGGTTTCATATTAATTAAGCACCCAGCATGTGCAAGGCTCAGTGCCAAAGTGTGGTGATACAAAGGTGAATAGCACAAGGTTCCCTGATCTCCAGAAACTCAAAACTTAGATGGGAAGAAACACACATCAACAGGTAAGTGCAGCACAGTGAGGCTCGTGCCAACGGAGGTAGAAGACCACTGAGAACTCAAAGGAAGGAGTGATCAGTTCTGCTGGGTTGGGCGCAGGTCCATAAGCTGAGTCATGATGGATGAGCCAGAGTTGGCCTGAAGGATATGTCCTTCCCCAAAAATTGTGGCTAAAATTCTGGTCATTAGGAAAAAGTTTGGAAACCTAACAGAAACATGATCTCATCTTCCTACAAAAGTACCATTCACTTGGCCCTGGATCAGTGTGCATTGGTCTAAGTGCCACATCTTAAAGAGAAAAAGAGCAGAAGTGGAAAAGGATCCAAACAAGGTCATCTAAAGGATTCAAGTAGAAGGGAAAGAGACAACTCCATAAGAATGTATATGTTAAGGACAAAATGAGGACTTTAAAATGAGCTGTGACAGCAAAGGCTATAAAAGCAGAACAACGTAGGTAGATGCACACCTGGTTTTCAAATTTCAACACATCTCCCCTTGAAGCCTGAAAGAGGCAATATTATAGCACCAAAAATGAAAAAGTACTTTTCAAGCAAATTCACAAAAATTACTATAAGCACTTGATGGCCGGGTGCAGTAGCTCACACTGGTAATCCCAACACTTTGGGAGACCGAGGCAGGTGGATCACAAGGTCAGGAGTTCGAGACCATCCTGGCCAACATGGTGAAACCCCGTCTCTACTAAAAATACAAAAATTAGCCAGGCCTGGTGGCGGGCACCTGTAGTCCCAGCTACTCAGGAGGCTGAGGCAGGAGAATCACTTGAATCTGGGAGGCGGAGGTTGCAGTGAGCCGAGACTGCACCACTGCACTCCAGCCTGGGCAACAGAGCCAGACTCCATCTCAAAAAGAAAAAAAAAAAAAAACTTGGTGAGAAGGGCAGGGTATTTTATAAACAGTATCAAAACAAGACTAAATTTAAAAAGATAGCTTAAGGATCACAGCTTCCCAAAGTTTTCCATCAAAGCATCTCCAAAAGCCAAACGAATACAGCATCCCCCAGAGAATCTGGAGACTTGATCTTAAACACAAGTGCAAATATGTTTAGTTCTCTAATAATTCTCACCTTAAAATTCCATGGGTATTTTGTAATCTGTTCTATACTGTACCCATGCTCAGAATACATTTCTTCATAAATCTTCAGTTAAAGCAGACCCTCCAGAAAAACACTGTGTCTATCATACTCCCTTTTTACCACTGTCCCCCAGGGGTATGTTTTTGAGCCCCAGTTTGAGGAGGATAGGGCCAGTGACAACAAGATTGCTGACATGTGATTAGGGAGCAGTGATATCCTCATGATAGGGAGCAGGTGCTAATGCTTGGGTTGACTCATTTAATTGTCTCAAGTGTGTTTTGTGCAGGGTGACTACAAGAGGGGACTAGGGTCATTCCTTAGTGCCTATGGCAATTAGAATCCTAGACTTGAATATGAAGAGATACTGTATGGGCAGGGTTTCCACTTAAGTCTCCTTAATTATATGAACAAGGGGGAGGGAAAGAAACATGGAGTCTTAGGCAGTGTCATACTTCCAAGAAAGCAATTCTAGCAGACTGTGCCAGTTAATATGGCAGCCTTATTTTTGCCATGGCTTTGTATGATTCTTCAGGCTTATCCTTCTGACTTTGCCTCCAATTTCAAAGGACATTTGTATCTTTGGATGATCAAACCTTCTGTTTCCCAAGTCAGTATCCTCCTCTCTGGAAGACGTGCTTATGCACCTCAAAATCCATTTGAGATCATAGATGAGGCTTGCCCCATATATATACCCCAGTGCCTACCCTATGAAATAGAGTGATTTCCTTCAGTCAAGCATGCAGAAACTGGCTTATACTAACACTGATGTTTACCCTCTGTCAAATGGATGACATCATGCTCATCTCCCACCTGCCTTTTCCTCCAGTATTTTCCCCTCCCTGACTTATCTTCCAAGTTCCAGCCACATTGGTTCCCATTTAGTTTCTCAAACATGCCATGAACTCTCTAGTCTCAGGGCTTTTGCACATGCTACTCCCTCTATCTAGAACACCCTTCTTCCACTTGGACTTCTTCCTATTTCCATTTGGTGTACTGAACTCCTACTCATATGTCAGGTGTCATCGGAAATAACACTTCCTAAGGGAAGTCCTCTTTGGTCACTTCCCACCCCAGACAGCACCAGGTCCACTGTCATCTGCTCTCACGGCTCTCCGTTCTCTTATTCCACAACATTCATCAAAGCATGAAAACATGTATTTGTATAATTTCATGATCAATGTATATCTTCCTTTCTAGATAGTGGGAATTCCTTCCTTAATAACCCCAAGTGCTTAATACTGTGCCAGGTATGGGAAGAGCAGATGTTCAATGACTATTTGCTGAATGAACACATGAATATCCCTTTTCAGATCTTTTAAAGGTCTATTCTTTCTACCTGAAAAAAATCCTCCTTCCTTTTCCGAATTTGTAAAAATTCTATCCTTCTCTCAAAATTAGTTCTAATTCTCTGTTTTCCATGAAGCCATCCTTGGCCAAAACAGGTAAGAGTACAATACCAAAAATTATGAACTAGTTCAGAAAAATTATAAAACCATAGGAAGTCGGTGAGGAAGAAACAGTATCCTATAAACACCATCTCTCTTTTTTGATATTTAATGACAGTGTCCAACTAGCTTCTAATAACAGGCTTCTCTTATAGCTCTCTAATTGTCTCTATGTAACTCATCCAAACATCAACCTACTCATTCATTCACTTATGCATCAAAACTCCAGGCTGTCTCTTCAAGTAGAATAGAAGTTCCTAGATGAGAGGAATCCCATCTGAAATCTTAATCTCCCCATAGAAACTGCCACTGAGCTGCTTAACAACATAGGATCAGAGAATCATAAACATGGCCTTAGAGATAACCTGGACAGTTCTTTTCACACATGGAGACTCTAAAACTCAGAGAACCTAAGAGACTTGCCTAGGGTCACACAGCTAGTCAGCTGTAGAGCTGGAATTTGAACCCAGAGGTCCTGACTTCACTCAATGCTCTTTTTACTACACCATACTATCTTTTATGTTACCTTCTTGCTGTTGAAAGAAAAACAAATTAATATAACCTCACAGGACTAATGTCTCATTTGAGTATGCTGTGCATGAATGGCAGTGTACCTTGAATTTATCTAGCACCTTTATTTACAAATCATTTCCACAATTCCTTTTATCCTCTTTATACTGAAGAGTATTTTCTGAGCTAATAGTCACATAAGACAACCTTACAATTTACACAGTATTTACTGAAGTCCATTCTTTTGTCTCCACAGTCCAATTCCCTCAACCATTTTCCTCTGCAATCAGATTTTATTCATTTTATATGCTGCAATTCATAAATATCTCATATTAAGCCATACCCTTTGAACAAAAACTGATACTCCTCCATGAGATGATGGGCCCACATTCCCACCCCACCCTCTACCTATGTTTTCTCTTTCTCTAAGGGTTTTAGTTTCACATCACATCCTATTGTTAATATCTACTTTATTGCCTGCTTTCCTGGCCTCCTCACTGTGTTCAATTTGTCCTTAATTATTTTCCAGGTTCAGATTTGTTTTTCCTTCCCAAAGGCCTGAATCTAAAAGAAGTGAGAAGAACTTAAATCTCTTAGTTTTAGGTCATTTATTTAATTTAAATTACTATCTCTAAGTATCAAAATAATAATAGCTACGTTCAACTTGGAAGAAATGAAAACCTTGCTATTCCTACCACATGAAATGCCATTTGAAACATAATTCCAGAAGGACATTTAAATATCCTCATAATTTTAGTATTAGTAGCGCTCAGAAAATCTGAGTTCATTCAAATTCAAAATATTATAGGAAGAAAACTTGTACTTCAAAGGCTATTCTTTCAGAGGAGTAAAAAAGGAAAGAAACTCATATATATGGAGGATTTCCCTGACAGGCATTTCTATGTATGTTGTAGTGGTTAACTGACACAAAATACATACTGATGGTGATTTCCGTCCACACTTCCTGAAGGAGGATACTGAAGTTCCAAGGGTTTTAGGAACTTGCTCAAAATCTCAAAGTAAATTTCAGGGTATCTGATTCTAAAACCAACGCTCATCCCAAAATCCTTGGCTGCCACTGAGAAATGTTTTCTTTCTTTCTTTTTTTAAAATGGAGTTTCACTCTTGTTGCCCAGGCTGGAGTGCAGTGGCGCAATCGTGGCTCACTGCAACCTCTGTCTTCCGGTTTCAAGCGGTTCTCCTGCCTCAGCCTCCCGAGTAGCTGGGATTACAGAAGCCTGCTACCACACCTGGCTCATTTTGTATTTTTAGTACAGACGGGGTTTCTCCATGTTGGTCAGGCTGGTCTTGAACTCCTGACCTCAAGTGATCTGCCTGCCTCGGCCTTCCAAAGTGCTGGGATTACAGGTATGAGCCACTGCACCTGGCCCTGAGAAACATTTTCAAGGAAACAACCTGAATTGTTGAGAAAGCTCAAAACTATACGCCAGGGAAAAACTGTAGAAACTTGGATTAGCTGGTAGAGAAGACTGAACAATAAGGAAAGATGTTTATAACTGTTTTCAGGTGCAGGCAAAGGTTGGGAGGACAATGAGACATTCTTCCATGTAGCATTGGAGGGCAGAAGCAGAAACAAAAGGTGAAATCTAGGCAGAAGCAAATGTTTGCTTAATGTAAGAAATAATATCCTCTTGGTAAGAATTTCCTGAGGCTGGAAGGAGCTGCCTCACACGGCAGCAAGTTCTCCAGGGAGTAATGTGATGTGTTTCAGCAGAAGATGGATGAACATTTTGATTAAGGGGACATTAACAGGAAATTAAAGTATCTGCTAGGGTTTAAAACAATGAATTCTTAGGTTCCTTTAGATATATAATTTTTGATTCTTCATCCAAAAGCAATAATTCTAGAAATAGAACCCAAGGGAATGTTCACTACTGATGCTCCCTAAACATTTGTAAAACAAACATACATGTTTTTGTGTGTGTGTGTGTGTGTGTGTGTGTGTGTTTGTGTGTGTGTGTGTTGTTTGTTTGTTTTTTTGAGACTAAGTCTCACCCTTGTTGCCCAGACGGGAGGGCAGTGGCGTGATCTCGGCTCACTGCAACCTCCAACTCCTGGGTTCAAGCAATTCTCCTGCCTCAGCCTCCAGAGTAGCTGGGATTACAGGCACCCACCACCAACCCTGGCTAATTTTTTCATGTGTTTTTACTAGAGACGGGGGTTTACCATGTTGGCCAGGCTGGTCTCAAACTCCTGACCTCAGGTGATCCGCCCACCTCGGCCTCCCAAAGTGCTGGGATTACAGGCATGAGCCACTACACATGGCCAAACATACATGTTTTAAAGGTACTTGAATGTTGTGGAAAAGGCCCAGGACTCTGTGTAACAGTCTCTGGTAGATTCATTCAGCCTCCCTGTATCTAAGACCTTTGTAAAAAGGATCCACAGGCCAGGTGCAGTGGCTCACACCTGTAATCCCAACACTTTGGGAGGCTGAAGTGGGCAGATCACCTGAGGTCAGGAGTTCAAGACCAGCCTGACCAACATGGTAAAACCTCAACTCTACTAAAAATACAAAAATTAGCTAGGCATAGTGGCACATGCCTGTAATCCCAGCTACGTGGGAGGCTAAGGCAGGAAAATCGCTTGAACCCAGGAGGTGGAGGTTGCAGTGAGCCAAGATCCCACCATTGCACTCCAGCCTGGGCAACAAGAGCAAAGCTCTGTCTCAAAAAAAAAAAAAAGGATCTTCAGCATCTTCTTTGGAGAGCTAGGATTTCTTTCCTCACCCCCTAAGTCTAGATTGTCCTTGTTCCTTGTTTTGGTATCAGAATTCAATGTAAATGACAGTTTCCCTGTTTTGTGCAGGAGCCTTGGACACTTCCAATCTCTCAGAATGTTGTGACCATTAGGTGAGCACAGCCATGCTAGCCTGCTGGAGGTAACAGACCATATAGAAGAGAATCCAGACATCCCAGCTGAGACCATCTCAGACCAGCATGCAGCCAACCTACCCAAATGTAAAAGAGAGCCCAGCCAAGATCAGCAGAACTGCCTACTCAACCACAGTTAACAATAAGCGCAGAAGTGAATCTCGCTGAGACCAGAAACATCACCCATATATATGTGAGCAATAATGAATGTTTACTGTTTTAAAATCATTAAGTTTTGGGGGAGATGGTTACATAGCATTAACTAGCTGATACACAGAGTCAGACCCAACTCCTAGCTTCAGCAATGAACTAACTGGGCTGTTTTGAAGAAGACTTTAAATTCCTCAATCTCAGTCTTATGTAAGTAGGGTGAAGGGCTCACCCCAGAATAGCAGCTCTCAAATTTCAAAGTTATCCAGATACCTTGTTAAAAATGTACATTCCAGTATCCCCTCCAGAAAATCCAATTCAGTGGGTCAGGAATAGAACCCAGATGTCTGCGTTTTAACAAGCTCCCAGATGATTTTAATGCAAATGGGGAAGAAGGGAGAAACTCTGTTCAGGTAATTCTTGAGGAAGCTTGGATATTTATGACTAAGTTTATCCCCCTGTCTTCAGCTAACCTCTACCCCTATATCAAATGGGGGATGACAACTAGCTGAGTATTTGAAGCTTCTTAAAGAAGGGAATGTCATAAGCTTCTTCTAGGACTCATTAAAGAAGAGTACCTTGGCCTTAAGACAGAGATCTTTTGACTCCTGGGAGCCCACTCCCAGCTCCATCAGAGAAGCCACGGCTTTGACAAAGGAGATTGGAAGACTGTTTCCACTCAAAACCATTCTAACTGCCAATGCTGAAAGACAATTAGACAGCAAAAAGCACAGCCTCAGCTAAAATGCAGAGTAACAGCTGGACTGTATTTCCTGAAAGTACAATTCATTTATTAGACAGATAATTAGGTTTCCCTCTAGATACAAAAGGGATATGGTCTGTGCATTAAGCAAAGAAGATTTACTGAGACTGGCCAATTCCTACCCAAAGCCCTCAAACAATGCTTGTCCTTGGATTTTAAAATGGGGTGAGAAAGAAACTTGGGTGGAGACAGGAAGACAGCATCTGCTTTGAGACTCTTCTACCCATGGCTTTAATGATCCAAATCAGTGGTTCTCAACTCTGCATTAGAGTTACCTGTGACTTGTAAATCATATTGATACCTAGGCCCCACCCCAGAAAAATTAAATCAGAATCTCTGGGAATAGAATACCTGGCCAGAGGTAGCTTTAAAGTTCCCCAGCTGATTCTAATGCAGAGGCAGGGTTGAGTAGCCTTGATCTAAAGCAGAGGTTGGCCAACTATGACCCACCCGTTTTTGTAAAGATAGTTTGATTGGAACATAGCCACACTTTCATTAGAGTTGAGCTGTTGTGGCAGAGATCTGATGGCCAATAAAGCCTAAAATATTCACTTATTCAGTCCTTTACAGAAAAAGTTTGCTGACCCCTGCTCTTAGGTACCGATCTTGAGAACTTGTTAAGGGCTGCTGACAGTGGAACTTTATCCTGAGTGCCTCCTGGCTTGGTTTTGCATCTCTTTGACCTCTAACACCAGGGGCCCAAAGCATATAACAATAAGAACTAATGTCTAAGAAATACTTATTATGTGTCAGGTGCTAGGTTAAGTGGTTGCATCATCCCAGTTAATCCCCACGACCACCCTGTGGAGGACGTTTGATTATCCTCATTTTATGGTACAAAAAAATAAAGTTTTGGAGAGGATTAATTCCAAATACACAGACTAAGGGTTGAAGTTGGATTCAAACCAGGCTGTTTGATTTCATGGCCCATGTGCTCAAACACCACACCCACCAAGATTCACAAGGTGGATATATGGAGTGCCTGAGCCAGACTGTCCTGTGATCTTGGGTGGGCCATTTCACGGGGAGGTAGTGGAGAAGCTGCTAATAATACTTACTTTGCAAAGACATGGCAAGACTGGAGATCAGCATGATGCCTAATAAAGTCCCAGGAAACTGTTATTTTGTCAGAGTTTCTTTCCCTGAGACATTCTTGACTACATTTCATTCATTTGTTCAACCATTTAATCATTCAGTAATTGAGTGAGCACCTTCCATGAGCCAGGCATGGTTCTAGATTCTGAGAAAACAGCAGAGAATAAGAATCTGGGAAAACACAGGGTACTGACCCCTGACTCCATGGAGTTTACATGGTAATGAGAGAAATGGGCAATAAGAAAACCTACTTATATATACGTAAGTAAGCAAATACACACACACAATTGAGTCTCATTATTTGTGGTAGTTATGATCTATAAAGCCACTGCAAAACCTGATTTAGTGAATACTGACTATAGTTCCTAGGGGAAATACAAGGTTAAGTATCTACGTGTCTCTGGTCACAATATTTTTATAAAAGCAATCAATATGCGACATTGTTTTAGGTGTTTTCTGTTTAAAGATAACGTTTTAAATACATATAGTGATTCATTAACATTGAACTCATGGCCAACAGCAAGGAAGCTGCTCTACCACATGTGTTTCTCCACAAGGGACATCACAGTCTCCTTGTGCTCAGGAGCACTAGGAAGCCCTTCAGCACCATGTCCTGGGCCATTTTAAACAAGGAGATTACCAAACAAAGCACAAAAGTGCAAAATATGTGGCACAAAATAGACCATCAAAGGACACTTGTGGACAGCATCAGAGCTGGAGCCAGAAGGCAGAGTGTTGCTTGTTGAACCTCAGCTGAGTATGTGCCCATCATGTGGCTCACATTTTTTGCCACTCTCTGCATGTCTGTGAATGACCATGAAAAAAAACATGGTGAGTATAGATTTTAGGCTTACAAATAAACTGCAGCAGGTAGGCAAAGTCATAAATAGGGAATTGCAAATAATGAGGATCCACTCATTATTATATAGTGTCATGAAGCAGTAGCTGCTACAAAGAAAATTAAAGCAGAGAAAGTGGATAGAGCATGTCAGTGGTACTTTTTTTATTGTACATTGACAATTTGTACTTGCATAAGTTTATGGGGTACAACGTGATATTATGATCCGTGAACACAATGTGGAAGAATTAAATCAAGCTAATTTTCATACAGTCCAGTGGCATCGTTTTTAAACAAGCCAGAGGAGACTTCTCTGAGGAGCTATCATTTGAGCAGAAACCTGAAGGAAATGAAAGGGCAGGTGATGTGGACATCTGAAGAAGTCACCTAGGATGGAAGGATGGGAAGGATACAGACCCACAGCGTCTTGAGGAACAGTATGGGCCAGTGTGGCTGGAGCACAGCGAGCAGGAGGGAAGTAACAGAGGTTAGGTTAGAGAGAAAGCTGGGGACAAGATCACGTCAAAGGCAGGTTTTACCTGGACAGGGTCTTGGCGTTTCTGTTTGCTTAATTTCAACTTTTCTTTTAGATTCAGGAGGTACATATGCAGATTTAAAGGGGTATACTGTGTGATGCTGAGGTTTGGGGTACAATTGAAGCCATCACCCAAGCAGGGAGCATAGCACCCAATAGGTGGTTTTTCACCCCTTGGTCCCCTTCCCCCACCCACCTCTTGTAGTCCGCAGTATATATTGTTCCCATCTTTGTGTCCACGTGTACCCAATGTTTAGCTCCCATTTATAAGTGAGAACACGTGGTATTTGGTTTTGCATTTCTGCCTTAATTCACTTAGTATAATGGTCTCCAGCTGCATTCCATGTTGCTGCAAAGGACATTATTAACTTCTTTTTTACAGCTGTGTCGTATTCCATGGTGTATACGTACCACATTTTCTTTATCCAGTCCACAGTTGATGGACATCTAGGTTGATTCCATGTCTGTGATATTGTGAATTGTGCTGTCATGAACATACAAGTGCATGTGTCCTTTTGGTAGAACAATTTATTTTCCTTTGGGTACTTACCTAATAATGGGATTGCTGGTTGAATGATGATTCCATTTTGCTTCCTTTCATGCATCAGGGAAGTCTACTGATGCATTTAAAGAGAAGACTGCCCACAATCTGATTTAGTGACCTGTAAAGATCACGGGCAACTCTGTGGAGCAGAAAGTGGGGAACCCACAGAGTGGAGCGGCGAGTCTAGAGAAGACTGTGGCTGTCCAGGGGAGAGGGCTGGTGGCTTGGACTAGTGTGTTAGGCATGGAGGTAGGGATGTGGAGGGATTTGCAAAATATTCTGGAGGTAACACCAATAAGATGTGTAACAGAATGACTGTGAGGTCTGAGGAAAAAAGAGGAGTCACAGATAGCTCTGAGACTGTGGGCCCCATTGACTAATTAGTGGAGGAGGATAGGAGAACTGATCGCATCCGGGATATTTTTTGAAGGCAGAAGTGACAATTTGCTGCTGTACTGAAGTTGGGTTTGAGAGAAAGAGTCAAAGATGACTTCCTGATTTTGAGCCCGCAGAAAGGGGTGTCACTTACTGTAACTTAAATTTAGGAAAGTAATGAGTTGTGAGGGTGTCAAGATTTGCATGCATTAACTTGTTCTTCAGGTGTGTGTGTGTGTGTGTGTGTGTGTGTGTGTGTGTGTGTGTGTTTGAGAAGACATAATTATAAAGCAGTACAGGCATCGGATATTCACCCAATACTTATAAATTGTCTATTGTGTGTGCTCTGCTAAGGGCTGGGGATAAGGCAGAAACAAAACACAACCGCCCTGGAGGAACCTGAAGTCTATTTGGGGAAACAACCAAACAGGCGACTATTAAAAGAAAAAGCTCTCAATACAAGTTCCGAAGCTAGAAAATGCCAGGCAATGCTCGAGGCTGCACAGAAAGAGCACTGGAGTGAGATTCAAAAATCCCAGTGTACAGAAACTCCAATTTATCTGAAGAAAGACACGAGAAAGTATAATTTTGCTGGCCTCAAACACACAGTCAAAAATTTTCAGCTCAGGTGGTTCAGCTGATGATTAAATTGCTTCTAGAATCTCCTTGGGAAGAAAGGATTATGAGAAACCTAAACAGGCAAGCCCATAGCCACCGTAAATGTAGTGCCATAGACATGACTTGTTGCTCAAAGGACAGCCCACAGCTATCAGGACCTGGCTCTCCTCCCCATATTCATTCATTCTACCAGCTGATCTTGCCTCCAGATGTGCTTGTTGCTTTTAAAGTGTAAAGGGCCACTCTCAGGGAGAGACACCAACAGAGCTAAAAGCCCTTATGCAAGGGAATTGCCTCCACCAACAAAACACAAATTCCTCCAAGGTTTGAGCAAGGGGAAAACAGCTCTCTTGAGGAATATCTCTGTTGAAGGAAGGGTACTTTTTCCTCTGAGTTTGTTTCTACCCTTCTGTCTGGTCCCAGCACCGGCAGAGATGAAATGGAAAAATGAGACAAAATCCTTTTCCTTAGTTCTCCCGGTACAGCAGCTAGAGGCCAGCATTTTCAAAAAGAACTCACTATAGAAATTCAAGAGGGAAATAAAGAAAGTATAAAATCTGTAAAATCATTGCACTTAACAAAGCAGAAGTTCCTGACCTTACAATAGCTAAGAAATGTTACTTACCAGGCACACAGGCCTGTTTTGTTACACGTTCGGTCTGAAAGCTTCAAACCCAGAAAACACCTTTGTTTAATTCTTAGGCAGGTAGTTGGTGCACATGCATACATTTATATATAAAAAATAATGAGGCTTGCTTTGCTGTCTCCATTTTGGATGATGCCTGAAGTGGAAACTCCAATCCAGTGACTATTTGCAGGGTAATGAGTGGGGAATGGGGATTGGGGCTGTTGGAGCCTCCCTTGGCAAACAAAAATGCAAAACTCATATGCCTTCAAACATGTAACAGTAAAGACACAGGTTAGGCAAAGATCTGATCTCCTCTTCTCCATTTCTCCTGCCCCATTCTCTTCTTATTTCAGGGCTGTGGGTTCCCATGAAATCAATGCTGGAGTCCTTTTCTAAAACTAATAACCCTGACAGATGGGCCTACATCCTTGTCTGACTGCACAGTGACCCCACACCTCTCCAATGTTGGTAACATGACACCTCAAAGAACAGTGAGAGACAAAAGTCAAAGGCAGCTATTTTAATGGACATGAGAACAAAACAAACAACAACAAAAAAAAGAGTGTGCCACCTTTTGAGGAAAACCAGTAAGGACACTCACAAAAGCACAGTAGGGTCCATGGAATTTACTCTCACTCACAGTTTACTTTTGTGTTATTGAATATCACAAACAATACAGTGTGAAGAACACATAGCTACAGATGCCTCCTCCCATCACTTTGCTTTCTTATTTGACATGAACATTATTGCACAAAGAACACTGAACACTGACAGTGTTTCCATGACAAAATCAAATTACAAAGATAAACATAATTCGGCTGGGACAGGAGAAGCTGGCTTCTCCTTGGGCCAGTGCCTTCCCATCTCCTTGCCTGCGTGAGTAAGTGAATTGGAACTACTCTGCATGTGATCTTGCCCTCCTGTTTCCAACTGGATTTTACGGTTTGATAATTTCATACTATTTGTCTCCCCACCATCCTATCCCTATCCAGAGTTCATAATTTGCCAGGAAACTTAGCATTTATTTTCCATTTCTTCCTCACTGCATTGCTCAGCAACCACAGAGACGCCTTGGACTGATTTTGCAACACCCCCCACCATTGTCCCCAGGCGAGGAACACAAGTTTCTATTGGACCCATCATTTGGATGTGCTCACTCTCTGTGGCATGATTTATAGAAAGGCAGCCTCAATTACAATTTCTCTTACTCTTTGCATTGACTAAAATGCTGAAAATACAGAATTGCCAAGATGGCATGGTGCACAGCCTGCGACTCAAACAGCTTACTGCTGATAGCCCCAAGCAAAAAACAAAAAAAACCACTGCTCTGCCAAGAACAATCACTCAATCCATCAGTGCCAAAGATGGGAAGACCAGGAGATGTTTTCCTAACTCAGAAAGGAGGCTCCCCCCACAGTTCTCCACCCTCCAACCATTGGAAACTCTCTGATCTCTTTCTTCTGGCTGGGAGCTTAGAGGCAGTCATTGTCATGGGCCAAGCAATTTCAGGAGCAGCAGCCAGCAGACAGGAATTGGGGGATTAAAAAATAAATCTGCATATGTGCTTCTATTTCCAGACCTTGTTTACACATAGTAATAAAAAAATGAAGCCAGTAACTGAATGAAAATAAATAGACCCATATATGTGTGGGCTTTGGCTTCACTTAATTCTGTTGATTTGAGAATGGCGAGAACTCCAAAATTGTGCCATCTCACCAAATAGAAGAGTTTGTGGGAACAGCTTACACTAGTGGCATATAGCCACATTCTCCTATCAGAAGGTGAGCCTGAGAAGAGGCAGGTAGTGGAAAAGGTACCTTAATGTGGGTCATTAACTGGTAGAGGGGGGAGCATATTAAAACCAGGCCACCCTTGAAGTACCCTCTGCAGACCTCCCACTCTTATTTTTTTTTAAATCCTATTTCTTCTCAAGTCCTTTTTATTATATCACAGCCTCAGTGATCATCAAGGCACCTTAGTGCTGTTTTAAAACTCAAGTCCTGTTTTAAAACTCAAGTCCTGTTTTAACTCAAGTCCTGTTTTAAAACTCCATGTTTGGAAGAGGTGCTTAGAGGATGTAACTCATTTTGGGCTTACTGGGTATACTTCCAAATCAAGGTGCCCACGGTCACAATAACAATGTCCTTTCCCCACACTCCCAGTGTGTCCCACAATGACATTCTGGATAAAATTTCTAAGAAGTCATTTCTTGACAATTGGGATACATCTTTATTGTCTTAATGACTTAAATTGAGAATTGCTTCTAAAAAATTAATATTTTTGGAGACATTTTAGGCTCATAGAAAAATGAGTGGAAAGTACCTGAGGTCAGGAGTTCGAGACCAGCCTGGCCATCATAGTAAAAACCTGTCTCTACCAAAAAAAAATACAAAAAATTAGCTGGGCGTGGTGGTGGGCACCTGTAATCACAGCTACTCAGGGAGCTGAGGCAGTAGAATCGCTTGAACCTAGGGGGCAGAGGTTGCAATGAGCCGAGATTGCCCCATTGCACTCCAGCTTGGGCAACAAGAACGAAACTCCGTCTCGAAAAAAAAAAAAAAAAGAAAAGAAAAATGAATGGAAAGTAAACAGATAGTTCCCATATGCCCTGTCACCCCACAGATTTGTAAAATTGATGAGACAACATTGATACATTACTAACTAAAAGTCTATAGTTTGCATTAGGGTTCACTTTTTGCCTTGTGCATTCATACAGGTTTTGATAAAGGGATGACATGTAGTCGCCACTGTACTATAATGTGGAATTGTTTCACTGCCCCAAAAATCTTCTGTGCTCTGCCTATTTATCCCTCTTTCCCCACAACCCCTGGCAGCTACTGATCTTCTTACTGTATCCACAGGTTTGCCTTTTCCAAAATGTCATAGTTGGAATCATACATTATGTAGCAGTTTCAGATTGACTTCTTTCACTTAGCAATACGCATTTTAAGTTTCCTTTGGGTCTTTCCATGGAAGAACTGCTTTTTGTTTGGTTGGTTGCTAGAATAGGAAGCTTGTAAGCACAGGGCTGGAAGTAGCAGCTTTTAAAATTATGAAATTTCTCTCTCAACTTTCTCCTCTCTTAACTGCAAGCTCTAAAGCAGAATGGAGACACCATGAGAAAACAGATGAAAGCTGGTGGCTTCCTGGTACTTGTAAGGGCAAAACCACAGAGATGGATGTTATATTATGCGGTATGTATTTATAAATGGGTCATGTGAGTCACCCAAAATTATCCCATCTCAGGGAACATTATTACAATTACTAGTTCTTCGAATTATTCATTATTAAAATTGGAATGTGTCAGAGTTCAGGTAGAGGAAAAGAGCGCTTGAATTCTAAAAGAGCAAAGAAAAGATATACATTCTATTGACTGGTTAATAACATTTTAGTTTATGCTATGGTTTGAATGTGTCCCTCAGAAAACATGTGTTGGAAACTTAATCCCCAGTGCAACATTATTGGGAGGTGGGGCCTAATGGGAAGTTTTGGGTTCATAAGGGTTCCACTCTCATGAATGGATTAATATAGATCATACAAGGGCTTAAGGCTGAGAGTTTGATTTCTTGCTCTCTCTTGCCCTCTCTTTGCCCTTCCACCATGGGATGACACCACAAGAAGACCCTCTCCCAATGCTGGCCCCTCAGTCTTGGACTTTCCAGCAGCTAGAACCATGAGACAATAAATTTGTTTATAATAAAATACCCAGCCTCAGGTATTCTGTCATAGTAGCACAAAACAAACTAAGAAAGTGTACATACATGCTGATGGCTCAAGTGCCAGTCAATGGGTGCCATCTGAGAATCTAGCAATGGCTAGGCTTTGTGCAATGCATTTGGGCATGGGGATGCCTAAGACACACACTCTGAACATTGCAGTATATGATCTCCAAGAAGAGGGTGATGCTTGCAATAATTACTACAAAGTTAGACATTATGTACTGTGGCCAAGGATATAGATGATGAGTATCATACGAACTCAGACAAGGAAGGGAAATCTTTCTGGCTGAGTGACATGTGATGTGGTATCCCTCCACGAATGGCAGAAAGTCCTTCATAAACAATGGCACAGTAACAGCACAGCATAAGGTAAATGGAGGTGACGGTGAGAATCAGGTACCTTATTTGTTTATTGATTAATTGGTACAGAATTCTCAATACTGTGATCCATGGGCCAAACATAGTTTTTATTATTTGTCCGTGATAAGTTTTTTGGAGAAAGGAGAGTTGTTTTGGTTTATTTATTTTTATGTTGCTGAAGTAGTATTTTAATGAGTTTGAATATCTTTAGGCAGAATATGTGCTCTCTAATTTACCATAGTGTGAAACTATTCCTATCTATATGGTCTTACTATCCCCAATATTCATCTGACATAAACCTGGGGTAGAGGGTTTGCACAGAGAATACGATGACACACCTATGTCATATAGATGAGTGACACTTGTATGATGCAAACTGTGAATAGATGAAATTGTAAGTTTATAAGCTTGTAGTTCATCCTGACAGCAAAGGAGAGCCAATGAAGACTTGGTAACTTCATTTGGAAGAAAGTATTCTATGTGGTCAGTATTTACGAGGCCCTTAATTTAAAAGACTTTCTTTCCATAAAGAACGAGTCCCATGTCTTGGATGTCCAGTGACAGGTATATGAACAGCCCTATGGATACCAATAACAGAGCCAAAAAGCTTCCTGATGCTGAAACAAGACCACGGCCACTAGGTCTTGGAAATGAGACAGTGGATTTCCTAGAGAGTGAAAACTTAGGCTCTGGTTTCGTCACTTGGTTTAAGTAAAGCCATAAAGCATTGGAGCTCTAAGGCCTTAAAATTCAATTGTAAGTAGCTGCTACTGCTGCAAAATTCATGGAATGGAAGGCAAGAGAAGTGAATGTATTTCTATGGTAATCAATGCCCTTTTAATACAGAAGAGAATCATCTGCAACCTCAGTCCAGAAAAATGAGCCCCTGCAACAAGCTAATCTTTAATTCAGCAATAATTACATTTTCTTTATTTATTCACTTATTCACTCATTTAACAAATGCCTATTGATGGTCTTCTGTGTGCAAGGTATTGTGATGGAAGAGTCACAATGATGATAAGACAAATTCTCTCCAACATGATTCTTATGTGAAAATACAAAATGTGCATCATGGAACAGGGTAGAATAATTGCCTATCAAAATATTTGTGGCACATAGGAGACACTTGATAAATAGCCACGCTTAACATTGATTAGATGAAAGGAAGAGAGGAATGTTCAGCTTCAGAGGGGTGTGATCAATTTCACTGGTGACTGAAGGAAGCCTCATGGAAAAGTGGCACTTGATCATGGAAATATATTAGCAAGTGAGTTGCAGAGGTAAGAGAAGAGATGGAAAGAGGAAGGCTAGCAAATGTTTACAGAAAATAATGCAACTCAAACATGTCTAAAACATGAAGTATATGAAGAGAAGTAGAAATGCTAGGTGGGATCTAGACTGAAAGACTCAAATGCCAACCTGAAGTGTGGGCAATGGAGACAACTGGCCATTCTCCTATGTGGAATGACATACTATACGATATAGAGTAGCACAAACTGATTTAATGACATTAAGTAATGGTCATATTCTCCCTTCAGTTTTTTCATCTGTAAAATGAACAAAGAGTAGAAATGGCTTCTGAAGAAGGGTCAGATATGTAGTTTTGTAGAAATTTTAATCTGGTGTCAGTACATAAAGAAGCTTAAATGGAAGAGGCAAAGAGGGACATCTGAAGAATTAGCAAGCCACTACAGGTGTTGTCAAACAAAGATAAAAAATGAGGTGATAACAATGAAAATAAAAAGGAAGTGAAGACAGTGATAGGACAGCCAGATATAATAATTTCAACATGGAGGACAAGGAAGAGGGGGAAGTCCCAAGATAGTGACAGGAAGAATGGATGGAGCATTGATACAACTAGGGGAGATAAGGAAAAAAAATCAGATTGGAGTTTGGCAGATGATGTGGATGATTTTTAAAATATTTCATAAGTGTAACCAATAATATAAGTTTGAGAGAGAGAGAGGTAATAGAAAGTGAGAGAGAGATTCACTTAGAGTATATAACTATAATTAGTCAAGGGAGAATTTGAAGGAGCAACTATATCTATGGCCTCTTCTAGCCTCTCCTGAGGGAGACAATTCAATTCAATTTTGTTGAGCCTGTAGAATTATTGCTATATTTTGTTTTCAAAAGTTAGGGAAGAAGAAAAACATAAGCTCATATGTAATAACCTTACAATTTAATTCAGAAAAATGTCAAATCCACATTTCTACAAGGAGCAACATATCTGTGTTTTATATTTGTTGTTTTCCTGCCCTATGCCAACTTCTGCATCTACCAGCAACCCCTAATTGCCCTGGGACCACTCCTCCTCCAATTAGTTCATGTGATTTGCATAAAACTCTCCCCAACCTTGAGATCTGGATTAGCACATCATCCAGGTCCAATCCAACTGCAGTGGCCTTGGCCATTAGTTTAGGGTGGGCATGCCACACAGTGAGAGGCAGTCAGAGCCAATCCCAAGACTTTGTGCTAGAGGAAGGAGCTCTCTTTCCACCAGAGTTACTGAGAGACTAGGACAGAAGCATGGAGTTGATAGCAGCCATCCTGCCCCTCTGAGGGGAACGTCGCCTGAGAACAAAAACACCACCAGAAAAGAGAAGCAAAGCATTGAAAGAGCAAAACAAGACAGCAACACTGGCACAATATTTGCTCTTAGACCTGGCTAAACTTGAAGCCAGGTCTTCTCTTGAACATCACAGCTAACTTAGCCCATAAATTCACCTTTGGCTAATTCAGTTGAGGTATCCTGTCATTTTCAACTACCATTCCTTACTCTACACAGCATACAACCACATGTAAAACTTAGAAACTAGGTCCAGAGAAAGAAATGCATTCCATAGATTACATCAGCCAGAAAACACCCCATGAAAGAGGCCAAGTCTTAGAGGCTGGTCCATTGTGCTTTGGCTGATACAATTCTTATTCCACTACAGGGAATATAAAAAATGATCTCAGTGAGTTCCTTCTAATCAAGGACCTCATGATTTCAAGTGGTAAACAACTGCATGTTTAGACCCAACATAAATGTGAGCAAAGTTTAAGGGATAAGGAGTGGATCATAACAGACAAGGATCCACCCTTGTGAAACAAATGAAACTTAAGGAAGACCATGGCACTTTAGAATGCAGCATTTATTGAGCAACATTTTATGTGCTAGGACTTCTCACATCTCTATCTCCATATTCTATTTCCAATAATAATACTACTAATAATAATAGAAGCCATAAAGCCCATGAGTGCCTCCCCATTTTTTTAGACTGGACTGTGCCATCTTTAAAAGTCCATGTTTTAACCATATCCTATGCTGCTAGCAAACCCTTGCAGACTGGCTAATCCAACCAGACTTTGTGGTTAATTGATACTCTTTCTCATCTCTGAATCAGCAGAGAAGACTCTTTATTTGTCAGCACCAGTTGGAAGTGGGAAACCACCTTCCTATTCTTTCACTGCATCTTGGAGTCCTGTGAGTCACTTAAACACAACTGCCCCCCTAAGGCAGGGCCTTTCTACTGGTACCACCACCACTTCCTGTGTGGGGACCTCCATCTCCACCCCAGCTACAAACCCCAATTGTATAATCATTTCATGCAGAGACCAGCAGAAGCAGACGGTTCCCTCAAAAAAAAAAAATCCCCTTCATTATAACGAATAACTTTGATAATTACCCAAAGTGGCAGAAGGAAATATTACTAGCATGGGAGAATAAGTAAAACTGAATCTTTAAGTGAGATGTAATGGAGTTTCTTGTATTGCATCAAAGTCATTGTTAAAAATGCTGTCCTCCAAATGAGTACACTGCTCTCTTGATTCCAAGAGTCAAATCAGTTTAAATACATCTTTCCCCCAGGCAGTTTTCAAGATTAATAATATTGCATATGTTGTTTTAGGAAACTGTTTTTTAAACTTCAGCTCAGAGTAACATTTATTTTGTGAGTTTTGAGTAGGCCAGCCCTCCATTCCCCATAGACACAATGAGTAGAGAGATAATGCAACCTCTGCCAGGACAAGAGATTGAAGTGGCGGACAGAAATAATACTGTCTACATTGGCGGTAGGGTCCACCTTCCAGCCAGCATGATAGAGCCTTCAGCAATCTTCATCTTCTATAATAATTCATATAAGAGGGAACACAAAAAAAAGTCATCACCATTTGAAAGAAATAGATACCGTTATAAAATTGACAGCTATTTTTTGTTGTTGTTGTTGTTACTGCTTTTAGACTACAGACATGGTGCTGAGCCCTTTCAGCTCTACAATTTCTTCAGTGTTATGTGTCTGCTCGCTAAAAATCATGTAATATTTTAGGTTTATAAAATATATATTTATAAGGCCAGGCACAGTGGCTCACACCTGTAATCCCAGCACTTTGGGAAGCTGAGGTGGGTGGATCATGAGGACAAGAGATTGAGACCATCCTGGCCAACATGGTGAAACCTTATCTTTACTAAAAATACAAAGATTAGCTGGGCGTGGTGGTGTGTGCCTGTAGTCCAGCTACTCAGGAGGGTGAAGCAGGAGAATTGCTTTAACCTGGAAGGCGGAGGTTGCAGTGAGCCGAGATCGCGCCACTGCATTCCAGCCTGGCGACAGAGCGAGACTCCATCTCAAAAAAAAAAAAAAATATATATATATATATATATATTTATATAATATTTCTAATATGTAATACATAACATAAATTTAAGTTATGAAACAAACAATACTAACACTTGTGATCCTACCACCAAAAGTTAAGAAGTAGAACCTTACAGCTGGGTGCAGTGGCTCACTCCTGTAATCCCAGCACTTTGGGAGGCTGAGGGGGGCAGATCACGAAGTCAGGAGTTTGAGGCCAGCCTGACCAACATGGCGAAACCCCATCTCTACTAAAAACATAAAAATTAGCCAGGCATGGTGGTGTGCGCCTGTAATCCCAGCTACTCAGGAGGCTGAAGCAGGAGAATCGCTTAAACCCGGGAGGTGGAGGTTGTAGTGAGCTGAGATCACGCCACTGCACGCCAGCCTGGGTGACAGAGTAAGACTGTGTCTCAAAAAGAAAAAAGAAAAAAAGAAGTAGAACCTTACTTCTTCCATTGAAGCTATCTCCATGATTCTTCCTGAACCCAAAAGGTGAGTATTTGCCAGAATCTGGGCTTTATTGTCCCCATCGTCTCTTTGCTTTTAAAAATAATTCTACCCCATAGGTATGTATCTTGAAACATGATATTGTCAGGCATTGCTTGTTTCTGAAATTTATGAAAATGGCATCATCCTGTATAAAGCCTACTTTGATGTGATTTTTTTTCCATTCAGGATTGTTTTTCTAAGATCCATCCATGTGGTTAAATGTAGACTTAGTTCATCAATTTTCATGGCCAAATAATATTCCACTGTGTCAATATAATTTATCCATTCTTCGATCTATGGGCATTTGAGTTACTTCCAGCCTTTTTGCTATAACAAGAAATTATGTGTAAACATTCATGCATGTGTCTCCTGGCAAGTGTTTCTCCAGGGTTTATATCCAGGAGTAGGTTGTTCAATTGCAGAATTTACACTTATTTGGCTTCAAATGTACTGCCAGCTTGTTCTCCAAAGTAGTTGTTCAAATCTACACTGCTACCCAGGACATACTAGGGTTCCCACTGAACCTCAACCTCACCCATACTGAAATTACAATGTTCTTAATTTTGCAAGTCTTGTGGGTAATAAATAGTCCCTTACTATAGTCTTAATTTGCATTGCATTGATTACTAATGTGGTTATGCCTTTTTTCATGTTAATTTTCTGTCGTAGTCCATTTAGACTGCTGTAGCAAAATACCATAAACTGGGTAGCTTATAAACAACAGAGATTTACTTCTCACAGTTATGGAGGCTGGGTAGTCCCAGATCAAGATACCAGCAGATACAGTGTCTAGTGAGGGCCCATTTGATGGTTCATAGATGGCACCTTCTAGCTCTGTTCTCAGATGGTAAAAGAGGAGAACTTTGATCTCTTCAGCCCCTTATAGGTGTGTTAATCACATTCATGACCTAATCACTTTCCAAAGGTCCCACCTCCTAAATATCATCACCTTGGAGATTAAGTTTCACATATAAATTTTGGGGGAAAGCAAACATTCAGACCACAGCATTTTTTGTTAGTGTTTCCTATAAATGGTATGGCTATTCACTCCTTTGGCAATCATTTTGTTGGCTTGTCTATCTTTTGCTTATAAACTTATAATATTTCTTTATACAAAATAGATACTTATCCTTTGATAGGATTATGTGCAGCAAGAATCTTTTCCAAGCTTATGGCTTATCTTTTCACATACCATTTTTGGAATCTTTTAATGAGCTACTATTCTTCATTATAATAAACTTTAATTAATAGCATTATATACATTCATCTTATGGCTAGCATTTTTGCATCTTAATTCAGAAACCTCTACCTGTCATAAGGTATAAAAGATAGTTTCCAAAATTTTCTTCTTAAATGTTGGCATTTGTCTTACACAGTTAAGTCTTAAGTCCATCTGAAATTTTGCTTTTTACATCTGTTAACAGGTTCCAATCCAAATTTCTTTCCTATGAATACCCAATTGTCCCAGAATAATAATTAAATAGCCTACTCAATAACCATTTTTTTGCTATGCGAATTTTTTTATATTACGTTGTTATATATATATATGTATATATATGTGTATATATATATGTATATATATGTGTGTATATATATATATATGTATATTTAGATCTGTGCTGGGGTCTCTATTCTGTACCATTTGTCAATTTTCCCATGCCTGTGTGTGTGTGTGTGTGTGTGTGTGTCTGTGTGTCTGTGTGTCTACACAAACTAAATAGAAGTACAGAACAATAACTTCTGATATCTCTTAAGTTAGCAACCCACTCCAACCACACACCCTTTATTCCTCTTCAGGTGAGTCTGGTTTGCTCTTGGACCTTTGCTATTTTCTGTGCATTAGAAAATCAGTTTGATAAGTTCCTATAAGCACCTGTTGCAATTTTGATTGATTTGTATTGAAACAGAGAAACTTGCAGAGATTTTATGTTTTCATGCTATTGAGGATTCCAGTAAATGTATATGGTGTATTTAATTCATTCAAATTGTTTTTCCTTAGTATCTTTTAAGAGTTTTAAGATTTTTTCAATAAAAACCTTGCCCAACTTTTGTTTTACCTATTCTTGTTGGATATTGAAACAAGATATACTGTGTATATTATATTTTAATTGTGTTTTCTAACTCATTATTGCTGGGGAATAAAAATCCATTTGATTTTGCTTGAAATAACTTAAAATTATTAAGTTTAATAATTTGCCTACAGTTTCTTTTGAGTCTTAAATGTAGAGAATCATATTATGTATAGAAGATGACCTTTTTCCTTTTTCTTATTTTATTGTGATGAATAAGCCTCCCAGTACATTGTTGATTTAAAGCTGTGGTTCTGAGTATCCATGTCTTAGTCCTGATTTTAAAAGAGTTTGTAATGTTTTACTATTAAAAATAATATGTTATATGTTTTTGGTGGATAATCTTTATTAGGTTAAAGAAGTACTCATCTCCTAGTTTGCTAATAATTTTTTGTTTACTCCTTTGTTTTGCTTTCTTGTTTTTCTTTTGTAAATCATTAATGAGTGTTCCATTTTATTCAATAATTTTCATGAGTCAATTGAGAGACTGATGTAGTTTTTCTCCTTAAACCTTTAGTATACTAAATTCCACTTTTAGATTTTTCTAACATTAACATCTTACATTCTAGAAATAAACCACCCTCAATCATAACGCATTCCCTTTTGTATACACTGCTGGGTTCAGTTTGTTATCTCATTCAACCTTCACATTATGAGGTAGGTGCTTTACAATCTTTTTTTACAGCTTGTTATTTAGTAATGATATGACCATGAATAAAGGTAAAACTTGGCCTCAGGTCTGTCTGACTTTAAAGCCCAAGATTTTAATCGTCTTTCATGCTTCTCTGGATGCTTTGAAGTTAACAACTCACGAGAATGCTTCAACGTACAATATTTTCATAGTGTCCACTAGGCATCTATCTAATCCAGTTCTTTTGTTCTTGAGATGATAATTTACTTACGCTTGACTGGTGGACCTTTGAAGTCAACCTCATAGATATGTGTGTGGAGGGAGAAAACGAAAGGTGGAACTCCTGGCATTAAAATGTTTAAAAACCAGAGGGTGGAGTGTGAATCAAGACTTTAGGCATGTTATTGGGGGAATGACTAGAGGAGTCTCAAGTTACTATCTTAATAGTTAAGAAGGCCTCCTTAACTCTTTTCCATCCAGACTTTCTTGTCAGAACCTTCAACATTATCAACCATACTGAACTTCAGGACAAGAGAACATTCACCAGGAAAAAAAAATGGCAAGACCTTGACAAACCATCCAATGTCAAAAGAATCCAATCATATTTCCTCCTTACCATGATTTTCCTTCACTTTGAACATGCATTTTTTTCTTGACCTGCTCCAGTTTCCTCACATTGTTTTCTAAGAATAGTAGCCAGAATCAAACATCATAAAGAACTCAGATGAACCAGGGAGAATACCTAGCACTAGGGAGACAGAAGCTTTTGGAAACACAAGTATGGGTGCCATGATGCTTCATCCCTTCTATGCGCTTAAAAATCTGCCCACATTCAGTAGATCATGCTCTAGATGTCAATGCTGTGCTGGAGACCCAGAGAACTGGCTGAAGAATGCTCTGAAACTTATGCTCTCTCAAATGTCACTGCCTTGATGAGACCTTCCCTGAACACCCTATGTAAGTTGCAGCTCTTTTATCCTAACTTCCTCTATGCTCCTTTCTTGCTTTATTTTCCTTATAGTATTTATGACCAACTAACAATATATGTTGTTAGGCCAACTATAACAATAAATGCTATAACTTTTAAAAATATTACAGACGTAAGAAGCTTCACAATGGGAAGGGTTTCTGGTTCTGTTTCATGATGTACCCAAGTGCCAAGAGCAGTGCTTGGGACATAGTCAGTGTTCAATAAACACTGGTGGAAAGAGGAATGGAAACGTGAAAGGACGGTTGGAAAGAGGGGAGGCCATCTCTCACTATGCAATCTAGACTGGGAAATACTTCTCACCACTGTTGGCCACTAGAGTAGGCCCTAGGCTCTCAAAATGTGGAGACACACTACCTCACCTCAGATACACATAGGGAGTTTCTTTGGTACTGGAATCAGCAATAGGAGCCACGCAATTAAGATAAATAACTGCGTTTACCTTAAAACATCATAACCTACTCAGCAATAAAAAGGAATGAACTGTTGATACACACACCAACATGGAGGAATCTGAGAATCACTGCTCAGTGAAAGAAGTCAGATACACGAAAGAAATGCATATTGTATGCTGTATTTGCATACAATGCAAATAGACAAAAAGCATATCACTGTTTTTCTGGGGTCAGAGGAGGAAGGAGAGAAGGACTACAAAGGCATGAGGAATCTTTGGTGAAGGTGATAGACATGTTCCATATCATGATGGTGGTTTCACTAATGCTTATGACTCTCAAAACTCATTGAACTAGATACTTTAAGTTAATGTAGTTTATTAGACATAAATTATTTTTCAATAAAGTTGTAAGGGATAAAATATTGTAACAGGCACAGAGAGGAGCACATGGGCTTTTTAGCCTGGTTTCCTATCTAAAGAACAACAGCAGTCCGGCTTTTCATACAAAGTCATCAGGCTGGACATCCACAAAGTGTTACATCAGCCAGGAAGTATGATGATTTTCTCTGCCCTTCCCCTTCCTCCAGCCATCACTCCTCCTCCTGAGACTAAGAAATCCTCTAACAGTAACTCATATATGCACCAGCTCCCTTCACCAGCCTCACTGTATAATCACACCAGATACTGTTTATATCACCTGTCACTATACCACTATATGAGGTTTAGCTAACACTCTGTCAGAGCCAAGGCAGCTGTAACCCTGAGCGTCTCCCTGGAGAATCTCACCTTGACCCTAGCCTGCCCCTCCATACTCTTAGAAGTATTTAAACATCAGAAAAGTGCCACTGAAAGAGAGAAAAAAAAAAAAGAAACTATGCTTCCAATGGAAAGATTTTTCATTTAAATGCACTTCACTGTGTGATGTATTCCTTTAATTAAAGTGTGTGTCTGTGTGCACTGGTTGCTATTACAGTGCAATCTCTCATGTTTATTGAATGCAAGAGTAGCTGGGGTAATGCAGTGGAAAATCACTTATTAGCTAGAGCACAACTTAAAGCTATAGTTCCCTGATCTTCTAAGCTTCTAAAAGGTATATAATCTTCAGAATGATCTTGGTTAATGGCCAGTGTGATAAGATGCCTTCTGTCAATTTGAGTAGGTCTTGTCTGAGAAAAACAATTATTTCTCAAAGACCATGTTTGACTTTGTCTTTTTGTCTAACTGAGATTCCATCCTTCATCTCTAGCAGAAACATAGAACCAGAAGAACATCCAGTTACTAGAGGGTTTGCAAAAGTAGTATAGGGGAGTAGAATTATCAACAATCCCTGCCATTCATATGTTACCTTACAGTTTACAAAGTACTTTCATGTTTCTTCATGAGCTCCTCTTAAGGATCTTGTGGAGTACATATCATTACCTCAACTGAGACTCACAGCATAGTGAGATAGTCAAGGTGCATGGGAAAGAGCAGAGGTGCACTTGAGCCACACCCCTGAACCTGGGTCCTGTGCTCTTTCTGCCACCCCAGAGCTGGGAGTCAGATTTCTGTTCTGATTGTGCCTCAGGGTTTGATTGACTTTGGGACAAATCTTAGATTATGTTTGGGTTTTTATCTCCTCATCTGTATAAAGAGGGAATATTTCAATAGCCTTTCAATTATTAAATTCTAAGTCTTTCTATGTTTCCACAAACTGAGAAATGGGAAGTCAGGGAGAAAGGGAGTTTTGTCCCATGATCTTCTAAAAGAATGGCAAGTTTTCTTCCCAGCCAGGGCCCTGTTGTACTACAAAGAAAAGCTAGGTTTTCCTTCAGTTTTTGAAAATTATTGAAAAAAATGAAAAAAAAAGTGAAAAAGTGAAAAAAATTATTGAAAAATTTGAATTATATGAAAATTATTGAAAAAGTCATAAAAAACACTCAAAATACAATCAAACATTAATCAATAACTCTAACAGATTAACTGTTTTCCTTTCCCTACAGTTTCTGACTGGCCTTGCCAACACAAAATCATATCCTCTCACTACAGTTTTTGGGGTTTTTTTTTTTTTTTTTTTTTTTTGTTTGTTTGTTTGTTTGTTTGTTTTTTACAGGGAAGAAGATCTATTGATCTATTCTTTTATTCTCTGCAGCAAAAATTGTATCTCCTGAATACCTTTTCTCCCCAACTAAATTATAAGCTTCTTGAGGGCAGAAACCTACATAATACCCCTTTGGATGTGCCTCAGCATTTAGCATTTACATCTAGGATACAATTACATTGGAAGTATGTTTCCTCTGTTTCTTGAATTCTTTCTACCACAATTTAAGCTCTGCACTTTTCCAGATTCTCCTAAAAAATTAGTTTCTCCTTTGGCTCTGACATGCACTAGCTCCTCCTATTAGTCTTAAATCACTGACTTCTCTATGCCCTGTTTTAAATTCTTCAACTTGGAAATAATAAGAACCAAATTTGTCAGGTTATTATGATATAAAAAAGGATAATTCACATGGAAGCACTTAGCACATGACTGACATATAGTAACTGCTCAATAACTACGCGTTAGATCTGAGAATCTAAAACAGTATTTGTCTGTATTCATAGTTCTCCTTAGGCTAAAGGGGGAAAGAGAAAAAGAAAACATGCAGCCAAAACTCAGCTCAAGCTGGTCACAGTGGCTCATGCCTGTAATCGCAGCACTTTGAGAGGCCACGGCAGGCAGATGGCTTGAGCTCATGAGTTTAAGACCAGCCTGGGAAACATGGTGAAACCCTGTCTCTACTAAAAATACAAAAATTAGCCAGCAGTGATGGCATATGCCTGTAATCCCAGCTACTCAGGAGGCTGAGGCAGGAGAATTGCTTGAACCCCCGAGGGGGAGGTTGCAGTGACTTGAGATGGCGCCACTGCACTCTAGCCGGGGCAACAGAATGAGACTCTGTCTCAGAAAAAGAAAAAACAAAAACAAAAAACCTCAGCTTGATCCTACCTTCTCAAAACTACCTTTCATTATAGTTTCAGTAATATTCAGTAGAGTGGACAGCATCCTCTAACAACATTGTGCCTATGAAGCACCTCACTGTGGAATTCTCATGAGTCAATGCAACAAAAACCATAGCAGGTACCAAACGACAGCTTAAAGCCACATCAGAATGATAGATGCATCCAGAATGGTGTCACAGCCTTCAATTTCAGCCAGGTTTGAATATATTTCCTTGGTCAGAGGCTGTTAAAGTGAAGAAGGAGATCTCTTCATAGAGAGTTTTCATGAGACATCAGTGAAATGCACACCTTCATCCAAGAACAGATCATTAAGTATTTACTATAGGATGACTACTAGGGATTCCCAGAAGAAAAGACAAGGTGTCTTGTTCACTATTGTTCA
Source organism: Homo sapiens (assembly GCF_000001405.40). NCBI lineage: Eukaryota > Metazoa > Chordata > Mammalia > Primates > Hominidae > Homo > Homo sapiens. Next base: position 105,008,224 of record NC_000010.11, on the reverse strand, counting down.
CAGTCTTGTGCAAAATGGGGTGGTTATAATATGAAGTGGTTAATGCTAAGATGGAGATATGTCTGCAGCAACTGTAAAGGACCTAAGGCAGCTTGGTAGAGATCAAAAAAGCTTCCCAGAATTACTCAAGCTGAATCAGAAATGCTAAACAGAAATCACGCCATGCAATCAGAATCATGCCAGGCCAGCAATTTCTTTGTTCTTGCTTCTCCATTCCTCTGCAGCTACACATCCCCCCACCCCATCTTTTAGGTCAACCTTAAGTCCCTTCTTTATTGTGATAAGTCCAGTTATACAGCCCAGAGGGGACTTCTTCCCAGGAAAGAGGTCCCCATATTTCTGGAGTTCTAGCTTATGTCCTGATTTCAAATTTCTTTCCTGCCTTCTGAGCTCTTTGAAGGCAGGACCAGGCCATGGGTTACTCATCATTTTATGCCCAGCACAAACAACCCTGCTTGGTACCTAGTAAGCACTCCTATAACTAACTAACCAATGACTACCTATTTCAAGACATGACAATAAATGTTCATGTCATGAACTGACCTTGTGGCCAGATTTTTTGGGGGGTTGGGGGAGGGGGTTCAGAAAAAACGGTCTGCAATTATGGCTCTGAATGTCAGGCAGGTGGATCTGAACCCAGCTTCTGTTGTTTCACTCACTTTCTTCCCTCTCACAAACTCACACTCACACATTCATCTTGGAAAAGTTACTTCTGCTTTCTAGGATTCTGTTTTCTTATGTTTGTTTGTTTCTCTGGGAGGAGGATGAGTGATGGGTATAACAATGGTATCTTGTTATAAGAATTAAATGAGATTCTGAATGTAAAGGTTTGGTGCACTGCCTGGAATATAGCTATTCATATTAATACCACTGCCTGGTATTAATTGTTGTTGTTGTTTTGTGTATTTTCACCTCAACTAAACTGTAAAGATCCTTGAGAGCAGAAATTATATCACATATTTTTCTGTATCTCTCATAACACTGAACACAGGGCTGCACAATAAGTAGATTCCTCATAAATATTAATTAACCAACTGGTTAAAATGCCCAACCACTAGGTAGAACTTCAGGATGAAAGGAAGTCACTAACACTAGATTAGAATAACTTCCTTTTCTTCTTTGGGGAAGGAGCTTTCACTAGAATGTGAGCTGTCACTAGAGTGAAGATCTTGTGCTGGGACTTTCTCACACTCACTTACCCTGTTGGTCAACAGGTAAGTCTAGATCACCCATCCTATGCAGCCTGGGTCAAAGGAGACCAAGTCTTTTCCTTCCTAGAGCTCTAATTCTACTGGGAGTAACAGACATGCCACAGATAAGAATTAACATGCTGAATGATGCCAAACTATTATGAAGAAAAATAAAGCAGGATAAGGGGTGCCTGTTGTAAGTTGAGAAGAAGTTAGATTTTACATAGGATGGTTGGGGAAGGCATTTCCAAAAAGATGTGATTTCAGCAGAAACCTGGAGTGAGAACTTGAACCAAGTGGATAATCATATCCCAAACAGTGCAAGACAGGACTGTGTTTGTCAACTGGAAGAAGAGCAAAGAAAATTAAGTGGTTGGGGCACAGAGAGATAAGGCCAGAGAAGTGGCAATGGCAGAGAGAAGTGGAAATTATGTATAATCTTATGAGCCATGGAAGACCTAAAGTATACTGAGTGAGATGAGAGCCACTGGAGATTTTTGGGCAAGGATGACATAATACCACTTATATTTTAGTGGATCAGTCTGGCTGCTTTATGGAGAGTAGATGGTATGTGGATTAGGGAGGAAGAGGTTGTTACAATAATCCATGTGAGAGAGGGATGAAGGTGACATGAACCAGAAGTGAGTAGAGGAGGAGGAAGTAAAGAGTGTTGTGATTCTGTTTGTATTTTAAAAGTAGGTCAAGACAATTTGCTTAGGGACTGATTGCAGGGTATGAAATGAAGAAAAGAGCCAAGACTCCAAAGTATTTGCCCTGAGAAATTAGAAGAATTGGCCAGGCGTGGTGGCTCATGCCTGTAATCCCAGCAATTTGAAAGGCAGAGGCGGGTGGATCACCTGAGGTCAGGAGTTCAAGACCAGCCTTGCCAACATGGTGAAACCCTGTCTCTACTAAAAATACAAAAATTAGCTGGGTGTGATGGCATGTGCCTGTAATCCCAGCTATTTGGGAGGCTGAGGCAGGAGAATCGCTTGAACCCAAGGGACGGAAGTTGTGAGCCGAGATGGCGCCACTGCACTCAAGCCTGGGCGACAGAGCAAGACTCCATCTTAAAGAAAAGAAATTGAAGAATTAAACTGCGAGAGGAGGAAATTTAGTGAAAGGAAATGAATAGAAACCCGGTGCTAAATTTTAGAGTGGATTATTTGGCATATTTATAAGATATCCATGTTGAGATATCAAGTAGCTAGTTAAATGAACAAGTCTGGCATTTAGGGGAGAGATCCGGGCTGATAATTAGGACAAATAAGTGGTATAACTGAGAGCTGGATGAGATCATGAAGGGAGTGAGTGAGGGCAGAGATAAAAGAGGTCTGAGAACTGTGCTCAAGGGCTCTTCTTTATTTAGAGAGGTTACAAAGATGAGACAGAACCATGAAAGTCTTCTGGAAGGAATAGCCAATGAAGGAGAAGATCTAAAGGAGAACGGTGTTCCATCTTGTATATAATTCTACCCCTGCTATTATTCCTCCTCCCCCCACTACTGAACACTTCACTGGCTAGCAACTACTCATCCTCCAAGTCTCAGCCTTTGTATTTCTTCCTCAGAGAGGATTTCCCTAATCCCCAATATAAGCTTTCCTCCCTTTATCTTATATCACCCTGGTCTTTGCCTTCTTAACACTTTGGGTATGAATCTATGCATATATGTCTGTAATGAACATAATTTTACACAAAAATTTGTGTAGTTCCATGTTTGTTTCTATGTATATACAGTGAATATCCACTTTTAACCAACCTGTTGGCTACCTGAATGCAAAAGCCCTGGCTAATTCTACTCACCCAAGGGTGCATTTGTTGAATGAATGTGAGACTAAACACCAGGTCCTGGGCTAGGTGTATTATATTCATTAACCAATTTCAACTTAATAGCATTCCTGTGGTATTCATATAATTAGCAATCTTGTGGTATTCATATAATTTACAGATATGAAAACTGAGAATGAGAAAGTTTGAGTAACTGGTCAAAGGCTACTTAGCTAATAAGGAACTATATCACGATTACAAAGAAAACTCAGATCTACCTAATTCACATCAAATGCCCTTTCCATATTCATGGTTGCCTCTCCATGGTTATAGTTCAGTAAGTATTTCATGCTGGCCTGTTTAGAGAGGAGCTGATTATGAATGGTGGAAGGGAAGGGGAGACTTGATAAGACTGAACGTTGCATTCTCGATGCACTCCCCCCGCCCCCCACTTCCCCCCACCTCACTCTATTACCTCACATTCACACACAGCTCTCCACATCTGTCTGTGCTGATTATTCTCCATTTGCCCTCACCCCAAAGTCATTTTCTGACCTCTTCTACTCTATTCTATACCCCCACAGGGCTCACCCATATGGCTGCATTAGCCCACCTGGCTTCCTTGCGTTTTGCCATCCTGTTGCATTCAACCAAAAACAAAAACAAACAGCAGGGATCTGGTAGTTAAGAAGAGGAGAGGAGAGGTTAGAGTTTATCTGCTCCACTTCCTATCCTGCCTAGTCCCCAAGTTTCTGGCAGAAGCTCCAATCCCTTTGACTTCAGCTGTTCGGTACCCCCTACCCCTTAATTCCAGCTCTGTCTAGAAATTCAGTAACATGGTTTCCTGTCCTTGCCCCTTCAGGCCCAGGTTCAAAAGCCTCCTACTGCTGCTAGTTCCTGGGTGCCTTGCCATGCCATGTTGCTTCCTTAAACCCTGCACATCCCTCCGTAGAGAGTCCCTTCACTCAGTTCTTACTGAAATTCCAGCCAAGGTCAACCTTCTGCTCCCAGGCAGAGCCTGGCTGGTACAGCATCAAAGCCCATCCCTTCTCTGTCCATCCTGCTCTGGCCCCAACCCCGCCAGGCTTCCTACATAGTCCATGCTGTCAGGCAGACAGCTGCACTGTACCCACTCTGATTTTATAGCCACCCACAGTCCCATAAAAATCAATGGAACAAAAACTCAGAGAACTTTTATCACACCTGAGAAACTTCCCATAACTGCCCTGAAATCATCCTGGATCTTCTCTGGTAAAAAAAAAAAAAAGAGAGAGAAGAGAAAAAAAGGAGGGGAAAGGGATAAGAGGAAACAAGGAGGTTTGGCATCCAGGTGTAAACTAGTGGTAATTCCCATCTTTTCCCTGACTGGATGAAAAATGAAGTGCCCACAAGAAGCATAGCCTGTCTGAAGACAGAGATAACACCTTGTGTGCTGCCAGTTCTAAGGGCTGAACTGTTGGCATAAACATTTTCAAAGCCCCAGTTCCCAAGTGCACAGGAAGGAGCCCATGGAATAAATCAAAGCGAGGTCCAGATGAAAAGTTAGGGGGACAGGCACCCATGTCAAGTTCCCTGCTTCAACACGCTCCTGCTAGGACGCTGGAAAAGCACAATTAATGAAAAGTGGTTTGTACAGTTTATGTAAACATATTAAACACCTTGCTCTGCATATTTATCTGACACTAAGTGATTAACCAGTTGCATAAGCTAATATTTATACATAACTTCGAATTGCACAACACAAATTAGGCTCCATTTAATCATGGAATCAGAGAGTTTGGAAAAAGCAAGCAGAGTTCGGGGACATTCTAGTTCAATCCCCATATTACAGATGAGGAAACTGAGGCAGAGAAGGGCAGTGACACATCTAGGGTAGGCAAGAGCAAGGCTAAGGGCTGTGTCTCCCACTAAGCTCCTTTATCTGCCATGTTTTGCTATTTTCTACTAACAAGAGGAACAGGCTGTCCACTGCTCCTAGACTCCTGAACAGAATAAAAAGTAGAGTTTCTCTAAATTCCTTGAAGGCCAGAATAATATTATAATAACTAACATTTCCTCAGCTTTCACTCCATGCCAGGCAGATATTACAATCTTAGTGGAGTAAATGATTTAATTCTCCCACCATCACTATGAGAGCGATGCCATTGTTAGGAATTATAACAAAGATGGAAAGCCCTGATTCCAGATCCCAGCTGTCAGGGTTTACTTCCCAGTGCCACCATGCATGAGCTGCATGAACTTTTCTGTGCCTGCATTTATATCTATGAAACGGGGATAGTAACAGCACTTACCTAGTAGGGTAGTTGTCAGTATTACATTACTTAATACAAATAAAGCCAATACAATGGTGCCTGGAACACAGCGAGTACTCTATATGATATTCCTTATTTTGCTGTTCCAATTGTGCTCCCTATTTTGTAGGTAAAGGAAGAAAAGCAGAAATACTAAGGAACGTACTCAAGTACATACAAATACACAGATGCTAAGGAACAGAGCCAGGTTCCAATCCAGGCCTTCTGACTCCAGAGCCAACACTCGCTCTCACTGACACTGTCCAGTAGAACTTTCTGCAATGATGCAAAAGTTCTACATCTGCATTACCCAAGAGGGTAGGTAACCAGTCACATGGGGCTACCGAATACTTGAAATGTGGTTAGTGCCATTGAGAAATGGAATTGTTTTATTTATTCATAATTAATTCAATTTAATTTACAGCCACGTGTGTCTAGAGGTTTCTGTATTGAACAGCTCACCTCTTCACTACCTTATTCATTCTGTGGCCCTTATACCCCGGCTCAGTGCCTGATGCAGGGTAGGCATTTCATGTTACTCTCTAGGATATAAATCCTTATTCCTACCTATCTGAGGTTACTGCCATCACAAGTCAGTCTTCAATAAAAGGTTATTCTGTGAAAATGAACCCATAAATGTTTGTGGGAAGAATGAATAATTAAATGCATGAACCTGTCACCTCCAGCTAGGTTGAGAAACGGCTTCATATGAAGCAGGGTGAATCTCTTGGTCTCCCCTCCTTTGTCACGATGCAGGCACCCATTCTCCAGCCTGCGACACTCTTTTATCTGCTCTTCAGGAGAGACCAGTGGGCCAAAATCAGAGGCTATGAAGGTCCTTAATCATCCATCACCTGGGGCCTACCTGGGCACACATCTTAGTGTCTGAAAGATAATTTGAAACCTATTGATCTCTCTCATTTTGATTTTGGCAGTCACATTCCCCACGTGTCCAGGGAAATTTCAAGAACCACTTAAAACAGATCCCACTGTGGGACCTGAAGAATTAAGATGCTCTGCTATGAAGTCAGACATGTCTGTGAATCTCAATTCTGTCATTTCTAGCTCTGATAATTTGAGTCACTTGGATGCTCTAAAACCCTAGTTTCCTCTTCTCTGAAATGGGAACAGTTGTGTCCTTTTCCAAAGGATTGAAAGACATATTGTGCCTGAAGAGCTTAGCATACTACAAAATAACTTGTCTGTGTTCATGAAAGAATGTTCCACCTCTGCTTTCAAGGCTAGAGTTAGCGAAACTGCTTCTTTTAATTGACCTGTCACTAACTGATCCTTCCTTTCCATCTTTTTCCCTTAAAGGGGTTCTATAGGCATCCTCCCAGAGAACAAGTATATTCAAAGGGTAAGCATGAAGCTGAACCTGACCCCACATCCTTGCATAAGTTTTGCAATGGAAAGTGCTATTTCAAGGAAATGTTTTGGATAATCAACATCACCATCAAAAAACATTTAAGTGCACATTTTCAAGTGGTGCTGAAGGAAGCATACAGGACAACACAATCCCTGCCCTCCAGGCACACTTCAAAGAACCACTTAGACACAATCTGTTCTCTCTAGAAAATTGCCAAATCCAATAATTTTCTCAGCCCTTGCCCCTCTACAGTATTTGATTCTTCTCCAAACTTTACACGATTCTCCTTCCGTGAATTCAAAGGCACTGCTCACTCCTGGTTTTCTTCCTGCTTCCAGAAACATTCTTCTTCTCTCTCCTTTGCTGGCTCCTAAATGTCTCTCCTCTGTCACTTACTGGCTATGTGACCTCCAAAAACTTACTTAACTATCCTGAACCTTCACAACATTATCTGTAAAGCTGAGTTAATGATACCTACCTTACATGGTTAGTCTGAAAATTATCTAGGAGAAATACAAAAGCCACATTTCCAACTGGATAGAACCCCATCTCCCAACAAACATTTTGATCTAATAGATAAAGTATAATTCAAAAATCTTAAATAATTTCTGAGCCTCGAATTAAATTGCTGAGTGTCAAAATCAAACTAAGACCTCAAAAATAAAGCAGTATCTGACTCGATAATGACCCATGGTGTTTTGGGAAAGACACCTAAGTTCTGGGAACTGATGGGTGAGTGATAATACCTACATAAGGAAAAGACACTTATCTTTATGCCTTATGTGGTAAACAATGGGAAATGAGCCCAATATACAAAGTTTGAAGTGTTATCTGATACATGATATGGTGCCCTCCAATATGTTGGCCACTATCTGAGCATGCAGCAGCAAACTGTCTTCTGATCAGTGCCTTGGATTAGGGTGCAGGGGTTGGTGGTAGCATAGGAATTGACACACAAAAGAAAATAAAACCCCAAGCTAGCTGTAGCTATGAATATGATTTGGACTCACAAAATCTGCACAATAGATGCCGGAATTCCTAGTAGATAAATATACATAAAACTGTCTATGTCCATTGATACTTCTATGGCTCACACAGAAGCAAAAAACAAAACAAAACAACAACAAAGAAAACAAACACCACTACCACCACCACCGGTGGGGAATATTCTACAATCCGGGGCACCTTATAATAAAGCAGCATAGACAAGTCCATGTGAAAATGGGCTAATATTTAAAACACACATAGCTACACACACACACACACACACATGAACACACGTATACCCACACAAAAATAAGTACCATGAGGCTTGGGATTAATGAACAAATAGAGGCTAGAATATTACAATTAGATAGCAGAGTAATACACTTAGCACAGTGCTTGATATAGATTAGGTACTTAATAGTTTCTATTCCCACTCTGTTTTCTTCTGTACCCTAAATATTGGTTCTAGGATTCTGTCCTTGTCTTTTTGTTGGCTTGGGACATTTATTTTTAATTTTGTTGTATTTTGTTCATTCATTCATTCATTCATTCATTCATTCATTCAGCAGGTGAATGCATGACCAGAGCTGAGCTTTAGGAAGACTGTACTTTATGCTACCACCATACTGAATTGTTCATTATTGAAAAAAAAAGTTTTTGGAGGACCAGGGGCCAAGTAAAAGGCAGGTAGTCACAGAGAAAGGAAACTCATCTGCCCATCACAAGAAGGTGGCCATATGAAAACCCCTGGGATAAAATAATCACAGGAGAAGGAGCTAGTGGGATGGAGCAGAGAAACCACTTTGGAATCTGAGTCCCACTTGTGGACTAATGGGCTGGACCACGATGATCCCAGAGTAAAGGATCATAAAGCATTCTTCCAAACTCTTTGTATGTGTCTGAATGGCCAAGGGTGGCCTCCTGGGGAATAAACCCTTCTGCCTCCCCCTTATATGATGGGGTGTAGATCAGGGTTTTCAGAAGAGATCCTGTGGAGCAAGAGATGCTCAACCTCCATAAGACAAGGGTAAAGGAACAGGTATTAAGGACATCTATTTGAAGTTGTGCAGGGAGTGGGGAGGACTTGCTTATGGATTTCAGAGCACAGGACAATATTTGAACAAGGTAGTGAATAAGGGAAAACTATTTCCAACAGGCAGAAATTTAGATGAAGCAGATTTTATTTTAATGCCATAAACCCTTGGCTAATAACTAGAGTTTTCTAAAACTGGAATTGTCTGCTTTCTGAGGGATTGAGCTCCCTCAAACTGGAAGTATGTAAATCAAAACTACTTGGCAGCTGGTCAGAGCCAATATACAAACGTTTTCAGGGTTGGACCTATCTAGCTCAAAGATTCTGTATGAACCAGTTAAGAAAAAGTAGAGGATAAAACAGCAGCAAAAATGACTAAAAAGAATTTACCAATGAGAGCATATAAAATAAATTATATACCTAGAAGTATTAGTAAAAACAAAAAAGGGACGGTTTTAAAATAAATGATGTATTTTTTTCTCTCCTTTTCCACTTTTACAACGGAGCATGAGGGCATGCATCTACACCAGTAATACGAAGGTTTGCCATCAAGTGACACTGGCACTGCTGAAATGCTGAAAATGTCATCATTCACACATCATCATAACTTCCCCCTTTGTGTATACTTCCACGATAAAGACAAAGACCTGGATCATCTGAGTATTCCTGTCTTTAATTCTGTAATTAGAGAACATGAGCCTTGATGAATTGCAAATGGAGTCCGAACCCCAGCTTGTGACTTAACGAGTAAAGATAAGCCAGTCACAGATGTCCACACTTCATATTACTCAAGGGCCGATGATTCTCCACTGGGAAACTGTCCTCAGTGATGTACGGTCCCATTAGCCAACTATTACCCAGCTGGCCTCCTCTGCCTGAGACCTCTGGCCTTTCTAGTTCTGAATCTGAAAAACTAAGCATTAAGGAGACTGAAGGTTCAAAGAATCTTAGCAGATGACTTCAGTCCAGAGAAAGCAACCCCTGAAGTCTTAGAAAGGTTAAAATTCAAAGTAGCAAAGAAGAAGAGATACAAAAAAATAACTGCCCTGAAGGAGCAGGAATTCTGAGTTGGGTTAACCATATGAAAATTTCAAATCATATGAAAATTGACATCCTCTGCTCAGCTGTGAGGCCTGGAGGAGAATTCTGCAGAGCTGGTTTATGACAAGCAGAGATCTCTCAACAAAACAGTGCTTAGCACATCTGTATAATTTCTCCTGCTTGATTCTCACAGCACACCTGTCATCTTTCCATCATTATTTTCAATGTACAGAAAATGAGGCAGGTTGAGAGAGGTTAAGCCATCCACCCGACATAACACATCTGGGAAAAAGAGAATCAGGGAATTAAATCCAGGCCTTTAGAATCCAAGTCCAATTCTCTTTCCAGAGCCTTGCACTGTCTCTTTCAAGGAAGTCTACTTTCAACTGGGAATAAACTATGAGATTTCCACCAAATTATATGTTCTTCCCAACTGAACCTCTTTTTCCATAACTGACCTGTCATCAGGTATGTATTGAGCACCTAATAAACACCCGGTAGGTTCCTTTCACTGGTAAAATCCCCCTCATTCTCCAACATTCAGCATTCTGCCTTTCCCATTCTGTACAGTCTACAAAGGCCATTTCCTGCTGATCATCTCAGAACTTTACTGGGTCCCTAAGGTTCCAATAGCACCATATGTGATTAACAGTTCATTACTTTTTCCATTCTACCAGATGGAGACACTTCATTGATTCATCATTATATCCACACAAGCATTGTGTACAATTATTTAAATCCATCAAGTCCTCAGTAAAGATTTGCTGAATGAAAAAGGAGGCTCTGGCATGAGAAAATTAGCCATGTTACAGAGCTAAGATACACACATGACACAGACATTGAAGAAGAGGAGATCTGTAAGTGCTCGACTGTGAATCCCAGATTCTAAAGGCTGTAGAGATAATCCTCAAGGGACAGACCCCAAGAAAACAAAAAGCACATATATGCATCTTCCTCACCCTCAATCCCTGATGTACCTTCTTCTTCTCCCAAGACTGGAAGCATCTACAGTGGGCTTTTTCCAATGATTATAACAGCAGAGGTTTAGAGTCAGGGTATTGCCTGATCTAGACTTGATTTCCTAGATGGGATCAGATTATTGATGGAAATGTTAAGTCTCAAAACAAAAGAAACACAATCAGAAGTGTTCATGTCTAAAGTTATGACACAAATTAGGGGTTCATATGAAATTGATGAAAGGCAAAACTGAAGATTTCCTTTAGGTTTTCAATGGTTAGTTCATACGAAAGAAATTACCTACTGAAATAGCCTTTGTTACTTTAATATAGACAGTTCCCAACTTCCATGTGAACTGTGTTAAAAGAAATAGTTTCCTGTCTACATAATAAAGCATAAGTTTCCCAGATTAGCACCCAAATACCTCACTCTCTGACCTCAGAGTAACTTTCTGATCACATTTCCTATTATTCTCCATCACATTCCCCTATTATTCCCCTTGCTAATCTTAGCTATAGCCCCCTTTCTCCACCTTCACAAGTTTATTTGGGCTGTTTGCACTATCTAGAATATCCTCTCCATGTGCAAATCTCACACCTCTTCCAGGGATCATCGAAAAAATAAATGCCACTCTTCTCAACATCCACACATCCCCGCTGGATCTCCCTCCACTGAACTCTTGAGATGCTAACTTTCCTTCTTCAGTGACAGGTGAGGGCAGAAGTTTGTACTTGCTTGACATTTGAAGACACATTTTGGTAGTAAAAATTTTTTTTTCTATTATTAAGTCTTAGCTCTGAAAATCCCTCTAATTATTTCAAAATGCTTTCTCACACATTAAGTAATTTTCATATTTCTCAGAAACTAGTAAAATAGTACCATTTTCCAGATTAAAGTTACAATATTTGTACTCAGTCACAAATGACCAGAATATGGCCTATCTTGATAAATGTTCCATGGGCACTTGAGTGTGTGCTCTACTTGTGTTAGATGAAGTGCTCTAGAGATGTCAATAAAGTTAACTTAGTTGGTTGAATTGTTCAATTCTTTTATGTTCTTACTGATTTTTCCATTTGTTCTATGTACTGGCAACAAAAACAGCAGAAATTTTTTTAAATGCCATTTAAAAAGTCAAGTTTACGCAATGTTTAGGAATAAACCTGATTAAAAGAGAGGTGCAAGATCTATAAGCTAAAAAGTATAAAACATCACTGAATCAAATTAAAAGGAAACTAAAACAAATAAAGAGATGGCTGTGTTCACAAATCAGAAGACTCAATATGTTTAAAAGGCCAATTCTCCTCAAATTAGTCTACTGGACTTTATGCAATCCCAACCAAAATTCCAAAAGCCATTTTTTTGGAGGTAGGGGGTAGAAATAAACAAATTGATTCTCAAATTCATATGAAAATGTGAAGTACCACAGTGACCAAGAAATCCAGATAATGTAGTACTGGTGTCAAGATAAGCAAATAGATCAATGGAACAGAATAGAGTCCAGACATAGAATAGAGCCCACACATATATGGCCAATTAATTTTTGACAAAACTGTACAGGTTATTCAATGGAGAAAGAATAGTCTTTTCCATAAACTGTGTTAGAATAATTTGGTATCCATATGCAATAATCATAAACTTTGATCTATATCTTGCACTATATAAAAAATTTAACTCAAAGTTGATTATTGGCCTAAACATAAAACTTAAAACTATAATAGCAGCTAGTAAAAGGCAAAATAAAAAGATAATTGTAACACTGACTTAGGCAAATATTTCTTGGATATGACTCAAATAATATGATCCAAAAAATTGATAAATTGTACTTCATCAAAACTATGAACTTCTCTTCATTGAGAGACACCGTCAAGAGAATTAAAAGATAAGCTATGACATGGGAGAAAGCACCGTAAATCACGCATTTGAAAAAGGACTTTTATCCAGAATATAGAAACACTCTCAATATTCAATAGTAAGAACACAAGTTGCCCATTTTAAAATAGGCAAAAACCATAGAAAACATATAGATAGAAAATAAGTGCATGAAAAGATGTTCAACATCCTTAGTCACTAAAAGAATGGAAATTACAACCACAATGAGCTACCAATACACATCTACTAGAAAAGCTAAAATTAGCTGGGTGTGGTGGCTCAAGCCTGTAATCCTAGTACTTTGGGAGGCAGAGGCGTGCAGATCACGAAGTCAGGAGTTTGAGACCAGCCTGACCAACATGGTGAAACTCTGTCTCTATTAAAAATACAAAAGTTAGCCGGTCATGGTGGCGTGCACCTGTGATCCCAGCTACTCAGGAGGCTGAGGCAGGAGAATTGCTTGAACCCGGGAGGCAAAGTTTTCAGTAAGCTGAGATCATGCCACTGTACTCCAGCCTGGACGACAGAGCAAGACTCCATCCCAAAAAAAAAAAAAGAGAAAGAAAGAAAGAAAAGAAAAGAAAAAGAAAAAAGAAAAGCCAAAATTAAAAAGACTGGCTATTCCAAGTGTTACTAAGAATATAAAGAAACTGTAAATCTCATGAATTATTAGTGGAAATGAAAAAATAGCACAAACACTTTAGGAAATGGTTTGACATTTTCTTAAAAATTTGAAACTACCTCTATCATATGATCCAGCCATTCCACTACTATTTGCCCAAGAGAAATCAAGAGAAATGTTCATAAACACACTTATACATGAATTCTCATTGCAACTTTATTTTCCTAGGTTCAATCCAAATGCCCGTTAACATGTGGATGGATAAACTAATTGTGCTATGTCCACATAATATTATCAGCGAAACAATAAAAGAGGAAACTGTTGAAACATACAACATAAATCAATCACAAAAGAATTATGAGAGAAACAGGCTGTGCAAAAAAGGGTTCATACTTTATGATTCCCTTTATATGAAATTCTAGAGAATGCAAACTCATCTCTAGTGATATAAAGAGTACCACCAATTGTGAATATGGTGAGGGGATGAAAAAGGATGGAAGAAAAGAATTACAAAGGAGCACAAGGAAACTTTTGAAGGTGACGGATTTGCTCAGATTCTTGACTGTAGTGATGACTGCATGGGTGTATTCATATCAAAATTTTATCAAGTTTATATATTTTAATTTGTGCGGTTACTGAGTGTCAATTATACCTCAATAAAGTTGTTTAAAAAATCTGAAGGCAACTCACAGAGTGACCCTAGTTTTATGTTAAATAATGCTTATGAGCATCTAAAAAGATTTCACTCTCAGTGAACACCTTAACTCTTCAATACAGAAATCATATCAAACATTTTTGTAGATAGGTCAGACCTCCTCCCTAATATATACTCTAACCATCCATGCTTCTATTTTACAGCACTTATTGCAATTGCCATCAGTTACTTATTTGATCAGCAGTTCTCTCTGTATGATAGCAAAGATGGTAACAAAATCCATTATTGCATCTCTAGGTCTTGGTACATGGTAAGTGCTCAATAAGTATTTGTTGAGTATCATGTACTTCATTTGGTATCTGGGTAATAGACAGTAGGGTACTGATACTCTCAAAGACATGTGCTGGAAGGGAACAGATGGATTTTGCTGTCTCTGCTTCTTTTCTTCATTTTCCTTTTTACCAGTATTCACTATGAGAAAATTTCTTTGAGATTTAAAAATGGATATTTGTTAGCATTTGTCAGACTCTGCTATTGAGTAGTAAGCTACTTTGGAGGAAAAAAGACAAATGTTGGGGCATACTTTTCAGTATCTTTAATGATTAAGTCATGATACCTATAATGGAGATTAAATGAGCTTTTTCCCTGATTATTAAACTGGCATTTTCAGCATCAAAAAAAGGGAAAAACATTGTGCAAACCTAAGGGTAGGCAGATTATATCAAGAGTAATGATCTACTAATGAAATCTTAAAGCTCCCTTCAGGGACTGAAGCCTCTGGGCTAGAAAGTTCAAGAGACCATCTATGCCTGAGATAGACTCAAGGGAGAGTGAATTTCCCAGCCACCTTTCAGCATTTCAATTATGAAAACATTCATGCCCAATATTGACATGATCATATTTGAAGAAATAAAAGCTAACGTATCTTTTTTCCCCTCATTCATTCCCTAGCTGCCTATTAGAAAGCTTCTAGATTACAACCCTGGTATCTCTACCAAACACTTCAAATTAAAGTCTCCATTTTAAAAAGCCTGTTTCAATAACTTACTCAGACAGCTACTGGTAGATCCTGCCTCCGGCTCTGAGAGCAGCCAAGGGAGGCACGAGGCAAAATGTCAGAAAAGCAACTACAGGGAAGAACAACCACAAAGGAAGGTGATTATCCCCTCTACAGTGCACCTCGGCAACAGCGCCAACCAGACGCTCCCCTCTTCCACTTAGTGCATTTGGGAAACAAGCATCTCCTTTGTCAGGAAAGAAGTGTGCCATGAGCAGGCATAGCCCTCGGCCTTAGATATTTTTGTAGGCAATCAGACCATCAGATCTATGATGTCCTTTGATTCTTGTCATGGTCAGTGTTATCAGGCACCCTCTCCCCTGTGACTTCTAGGCAGTCAAAAATTTTGATTCTGTTTTCAAATCACTCGATAATTTTTCCCTTTCTTTCCAGCCCCATAATTATAACCTTTATACAGGTCCTCTTTAACTCTCATTCAGGTCTTTAAATGTCCTAAACACAGAGAAAAAAAAAACATACCTAATAAATGTAAAACCATTAAACAAAAAAGGTTTCTTTCTAGACGTTTCTTAAAAACCTAGATTAGTTAGGGTTTCATAGGTAAAGTCTGTCTAGGCAAAGCTTTCTCCAGAAAGTTTTGTTTTCTTTGAGTTTTGAAAGATGAGCAGGACTCAGAACTAGCTAGATGAAGTGGGGAAGTAAAGGACTCCTAGAAGAAAGCATGTGTGCCAGGGCACTTTGGTGTGAAATAGGAAGACACATTTCCTGTTGCATGAGTGAATGGAGTGCTTAAAAAGAGGAGGTAGAAAGTTAGGATCCACGTTAAAAGGCTTCATGTGCTGAGCTAAAGGCTTTCACTTTATCCTCCAAGCTAAGGGGAAGCCAATGATAAACTTCAGGAAGATTTGCAACACATTCAGGTCAACCAAACTTTCTGTAACTTCTGGCACATCTGAGATCTGCTGACATTTTCAAATACAAAGGGAGAACAAAAACAAAATGCCAAAACTGAAACAAAACACGTCTAGCTTATACAACAAATAGCCATGGTTCTAAAATACGAGTTTCCATCTGAGACTTCTTTTAGACTCTGATCCCTCGATGTTCTTCCAAGGGGTCCTCATGGTCTGGGCACCATCTTTTTTCTTGTGTCTTCCATGATTTCCTAATCTTGTCCAGGGTCAAGGCCAAAGACCAGCTTGGAATCTTCCTGACCAGGCTCAGGGCCTCTCACATGGATCTGGTTTCCATCTCAGAAATAAGCCCTACCCCCTGCTCCCTCCCCTACACCCTACTGCCAATTTTCCTGGTGGTTGGCTCCATTCCATATGTCTCGGGAATATCTCATGCTACACAGCAGGAAGAGACTTCTACTGTCCCCCTCACACAGGGCAGCAGGGACACAAAGGGCAATAAGACTTTCATTATTCAGCAACCTTGACATGCATATGTCTTATGGGCTGAAATGCATCCCCACAAATCCACATGTTGAAGTCCTAACCCCCAGTACCTCAGAATGTTACTATATATGGAGACTGGGTCTTTAAAAAGGTAAATAAGTTCAAATGAGGTTATTAGAGCAGGCCCTAATCCAATATAAGCAATGTTCACGTAAGAAGAGGAAATCGGCCAGGTGCAGTGGCTCACGCCTATAATCCCAGCACTTTGGGAGGCCAAGGTGGGCGGATCACAAGGTCAGGAGTTCGAGACCAGCCTGGCCAATATAGCGAAACCTTGTCTCTACTAAAAATACAAAATTAGCTGGGTATGGTGGCACGCACCTGCAGTCCCAGCCACTCGGGAGGCTGAGGCAGAATAATTGCTTGAACCCAGGAGGCAGAGGTTGCAGTGAGCCAAGATCGCACCACTGCACTCCAGCCTGGGCAACAGAGCAAGACTCTGTCTCAAAAAAAAAAAAAAAAGGAAGAAGAGGAAATCAGGACATAGAAAGACATAGAGGAAAGATCACGTAGAGGAAAGACAAACATAGAGGAAAGATCTTATGAAGATGCAGAGAGAAGCTGGCCATGCTCAAGCCAAAGACAGAGGCTTCAGAAGAAATCAACCCTGCCAACACCTTGATCTCAGAAATGTATGGCCTCCAGAACCATGAGGCCATACATTTCTATTGTTTAAGCCACTCAGTCTATTTCTATTGTTTAAGCCACTCAGTCTGTGGTACTTTGCTATAGCACCCCAAACAAACTGCTACAATAAGTAAACAATATAGAGAACATTTTTTTTTCCACCCGCAAGGAGAAACTTTTCTTATTTCAGGACCACAGGGATCAATGGAAACTGGAGTCAAAAGTATGTCCTGGATGCACCGTCTCTGGGTCAGTCGATGCCTGGGCTTTCAAGAAGCTGGTGGAGACAAGCAGTTGATTTTGCTTGCTCTGGGACAGGAGGTCCAGTGAAGCCAAGGGAAGGGCTGGTAAGTGTATTAATTTCCTATTGCTACTGTAACAAATTTCCACTAACTTAGTGGTTAAGACAACACAGATTTATTCTAGAACAGCTCTGGAAGTGAGAAGTCTGAAATGAGGCTTATGAGGTTAAAATCAAGGTAGCCAGACTGCATTCCTTCTGGAGGCTCCAGGGGAAAAACCATTTCCTTGCCTTTTCCAGCCAGTCCTCATCTTCAAAGAGCTCAGAGCAACCTCTGCTTCTGTGTAACATCTTTCTGTGACTCTAATTCTCCTGCCTCCCTCTTAAAAGGACCCTTATGACTATATTGGGTCCCTCAAGATAATCTGGGATAAAACTTAATCACCTCTATAAAGTCCCTTTTTCCCTAGAGTAACATATTCACAGGTGTCCCAGGTGGACAGCCTGGGGAGTTGGAGGGGTTCAGGAGAGATTAGGAACATAGAAATGTCAAAGGGTAATTCCTGGGTGGAAACCTAGGTTTTGTGATCCCCATCCTTGACCTCACAAATCTTCCGCTACCACCACCAAGATCACATAATATTTGGCACAACTGGTTAGAGTCTCCCCAGGAGCAGGCCCCAAGCCAAGGACTAGAGTGTAAGTAGTTTATTTGGGAGATGAAAAAATAAAACCCATTGGTATTAAAGTAGAAAATTACCCAAGTAAGAGAACGCAGTCAATATGTGGTGCTACGAAGCTGGCCAACTTTGTGGGCAACTAGAGTTTCATTCCATTGGGAAATTCTAGATAAAAAGTATAAGACATATGTCTCAGAGTTACCACACATGACAGTGAAAGAGCTGAGGTATCTATACACCAAATTCTGCTATCTTTGGCTAAGGCTGCCCCTAATTCCCAGGTACTTCTATAGCTTTCTGCACAGAGGGGTAGAGTAGCCTCCAGAGGCCTCAGAGAAAGCCCTCAGGCAAAGAAATGCAAATATTGGCAGTCAGAAATCAGCAGGAGCACACTAGAATAGAAATATCTAGTGGGTATAGGCAGGACATCAACAGTGTCTGCTAACATGGGATTTCTCACAGAAATCAGTGACATGGCTGAGTTTTGCCTCCTTGTTGAAGTGGGTTGAAATAACATAAATATGAGGCAACAGCTGACACCTGCATTACACAGAGAAGAAACATCAGGGGAACCTCAGCTTCTATATTTGCCTTATACTTTATGCCTACAGAACAGCCACTATTACAGCCCATTGTGCCTCCTCTTCCACTGGAAAATCATCCTTGAACTCCTTGCTCTCTGGCCTCAGTTCGGGACTTCTGTGGAGTCCCCATCTGCAGCATTTCCCTGGTCTGAAGCCAATTTCCTCCCCCATCCCACTTGCATCACATTCTGCTTAGACAGAACATCAGTCTGCATTGCTACACATCTCTATTGCTCTTTGGAGTAGATGAAAATACACAGGATAGCATTTCTCTCCACCTACTACTTCCTCCCTTGATTAAAAATGAAATTACAAAAGAAAAATTCCAGACTGTTATTTTCTCCTTATATTCCACTCCTAGTCCTCTGCCAGGCCCTTCCACTCCATTTCCAGCCATAAATCAGGTAGTTCTGAAATTCCTATGCCCAAATTCACAAGGACAATATGCACGTTGGTACTTTTAAGTAAGAAGTCAATGTTCTATAATTAATTTTCTCCTCTCACATTAAACCTGCCATTCTTCGCATAATCTGAGTGATACATGCAGAGTCAGACTTCATCTTCCTGACATTAATACCTGTCAGTACTTCAAATGCAAACAATTGTGACATTTGATTTTATAAAAATTACCAAGTGCACAAACTCCGTTTAATTAAACCATTTAAAAGTTGCTTTTGTTACATTTAATGAATGATATATTATACGGCAATGAAACACGCAGCAATACAAATACTTCACAATGCTTCCAATTAAGACTCACTTCACTTATGCCAATTGACAACACAAGTGTTCCACACTTCATTCAGTTTGTGCATTTTAAATGAACTGGTTAGTGAGAAGGGTGCTTCTTTGCTAATGAGTTTTGTAATCAAGGCATCTATTTTAATTTCAAATTGGCTAGATTGGGGGAAATTGCTAGACTAAATGACTGGTACTAATTAGGATTATAAAAATATTCATCATGCCATGGAATTAACACGGGGGTCTGATTTTCCTACATTTGCATATTGCTTGAGTTTTGGGGAAAGAATCTTGACAAATTGTCTTCTCTTTAGCAAATTGAACAAACACTATATCTGTTTTAGTCCTTCTTTTCATTTAAAGCATAATACATATTCATGATTTGTAAATGAAGTTACATGATTTCAACTTCTCTCTTCATTACCATATTAAAGATGTTGTCTCCAAAAGCTTCCTTTAAAAATTTGAGATCATAGTATTACCTATTTAAATGACAAACACCTTGGTTTAATCTATATATTAACTCAAAGATTTGAATAAATTAATGGGAAAAGCGAACAAAACTGGACAAAATCCCCTTAAAACACAACTGCCTTGTTGTTGTTTATTTTTTGCTTGAGGCAGAATTAATTAGTCCTATGTCTTATCATCAGCAAGCAGTCTGATGGCTTCTACCCTCAAAGTCCCACTCCAGAAACTGCCACCAGCTGAGAAATATGCCATAAGAACCACTGGATTCATTTGAAGGTTTGGTTTCCACATGGCTGATTTTGTTGTCTTACTCTATTGTGCTCTCTGGAGCTGGGGTTCAGCGTAAAAGTGGCCCATATGCGGTTCTGTCTTAAGGCAAGGGAAAGCCCACCTATCAACCAGGAAGAGTGGGGTGTGGTGGCTGTACCTCAGCCAGGCCTAGGATAGAGAGCAGGCAGTCCCCTCACTGGCTGTGTGACCTTGAACAAGTTAGAATGCCCTTCAAGAGTCATATGCTCCTCTGTATCTTGGAAATAATATCTACCTGGCAGCTGCTTATGAAAATTCAACATAATCACATATATGAGAGAATTTGTCAGTGCCACACATGGGAAGGTGGTACTTCAGGACATGTATCTCTATTTCCAAGGAGCAGCTATACGTCCAACTCTGAGTAAAGTAACATGGGGCATGTAAGAGTTCCTAGGCTCAAAGCTCAATGCATTAGAATTGTCTACACCCCTTGGCTCCAGAATCATTTATTTCCATTACAGCTGTCAAAGCAAATAAGCAAATACTAATTCAATTTTGGGATGGAGCCGGAAAATTCATCTGAAAAACTACCAGAATAAATCACTTCCTTAACATCTACCTATGGTGGGTGCGTTCTGAATAATAAACCCTACATTTGTTGCTGAGTTGTAAATAATATAGATTGAGGTTACATCCAACAAGAGTACACTTTTTGTTAGGAGAAAAAAAAATATTCCTAGAATTTCAGAGTTCTAAAAGGACGACAGTGAAAAAAACGCTGAAGAAAAGAGAAATCTCAGGCTGCATATTTTAGTTCAGGGAAATTTTCTTCTACAACATACTCCTTCTTGAAAAGGGATTAAATAATGATTTGAAAGGGTTTTACTAAATCAGCCCCATTCACATCTAAAGCATTTTTTAAGAGCACTGCCTTATAACTAGGATAAACATAAACTAGTCATGGTATATTACTTAAAGAATTTTTAATTATGAAAGCAATGTAATGAAATAATAAAAAATTTGGAAAAGAAATGGTATGCAAAAAAAAGCCCCACAAACATAGTTCCATCATCTTAACGGACCTAGCTAGTATTTGGGAATATTTCCTTCCATTCTTTAAAATAATTTTTCTCCCTCATTCCTTTTTTCTCCCTTCCTACATTCATTCCTTCCTTCTTTCGTTCCGTCCTTCATTCCTTCCTTTCTTTACCTTACCTTATTTTTTGCATACTTGTATTTAAAAGTATGTCTTAATATATATTATGTACGCAGTTGTATATATTTATATATGTAATATGTAATGCGTACAGGCATACATCATTTCATTGTGCTTCACAGATATTGGGGTTTTTACAAATTTAAAGTTTGTGGCAACTACATCAAGCAAGTCTATCAGCACCATTTTTCCAAGAGTATGTGCCTACTTTGTGTTTCTACACCATATTTTTGGAATTCTCACAACATTGCAAACTTTTTCATTATTATTATATCTGTTATGATGATCTGTGATCAGTGTTCTTTGATGTTATCATTGTAATTGTTTTGTATAGGTGCACCACAAATTACACCTGTAGAAAATGGTTCACTTAATCCATAAATATGTGTGTCCTAATGCTCCATCTACTGACAATTCTCCTATCTCTCTCCCTGTCTTCAGGCACCCCTATTCCCTAAGACATAACAACATTCAAATCAGGCCAATTTATAGCCCTACAATGGCTTCTAAGTGTTCATGTGAAAGAGTTGCATGTTTCTCACTTTAAATCAAAAGCTAGGGATGATTAAGCTCAGTAAGGAAGGCACGTTGAAAGCCAGGAGGCTGAGAGTGAAGTCTCTTGCGCCAAACAGCCACATTGTGAATGCAAAGGAAAAGTTTTTGAAGGAAATTACAAGTCCTACTCCAGTGAACACACAAATGATAAGAAAATTAAACAGCCTTATTGCTGATATAAAGAAAGTTTTAGTGGTCTAGATACAAGATCAAATCACCCACAACATTCCATTAAGCTAAAGCCTAATCTGGAACAAAGCCCTCTCTTCAATTCTATGAAGGCTGAGAGAGGTGAAGAAGCTACAGAAGAAAAGTTTGAAGTAGCAGAAGCTGGTTCATGAGGTTGAAGGAAATAAGCCATCTCCATAACATACAAGTGAAAGGTAAAGCAGCAAGTGCTGATGGAGAAGTTGCAGCAAGTTATCCAGAAGATCTAGCTAAGATCATGGATGATGGCGGATACACAAAACAAGATTTTCAATGAGCAGCCTTCTATTGGAAGACAGTGTCATCTAGGACTTTCACAGCTAGAGAGGAGAAGTCAATGCCTGGCTTCAAAGCTTCAAAGGACGGAAGACTCACCCAGGCTAACGCTGCTGACGACTTTAAGTTGAAGTCAATGCTCACTTATGATTTGAAAAATCCTAGGGCCCTTAAAAATTATGCTAAATCTCCTCTGCCTGTGCTCTATAAATGGACCAGCAAAGCCTGCATGACAGCACATCTGTTTAAGTATAGTTTACTGAATATTTTAAGCCCACTGTTGAGACCTACTACTAAGAAAAAAAGATTCCTCCCAAACTATTACTGCTTATTAACAATGCACCTGGTCACTCAAGAGCTCTGATGGAGATTTACAAATAGATTGTTATTTTCATGACTGTTAACACAATATCCACTGTGCAGACCGTGGATCAAATAGAAATTTCAACTTTCAAGTCTTATTATTTTAAGAAATACATTTCATAAGACTATAGCTGCCATAGACAGTGATTTCTCTGATGGATCTGGGCAAAGTAAATTGAAAACCTCCTGGAAAGCATTCATCATTCTAGATGCCTTTAAGAACATTCATGGGAGGAGATCAAAATATCAACATGAACAGGAGCTTGAAAGAAGTTGATTCCAACTCTCATGGATGACTTTGAGAGGTTCAAGACTTCAGTGGGGGAAGTAACTGCAGACACAGTAGAAATAGCAAGAATAGTAGAATTATAAGTGGAGCCTGAAGAAGTGACTAAATTGCTGCAATATCATGATAAAACTTGAACAGATAAGGAGTTGCTACTTACAGATGAGCCAAGAAAGTGGTTTCTTGAGATGGAATCTACTCTTAGTAAAGATGCTGTAAACATTGTTGAAATGACAAGAAAGAATTTTAAATATTCCATAAACGTAGTTGATAAAGCAAGATTTATCAGGGTTGCAGGGCTGGAGAGGATTGACTCCAATTTTGAAAGAAGTTATACTGTGGGTAAAAAACTGTCAAACAGCATTGCATGTTACAGAAAAATCTTTCCTGAAACGAAGAGTTGTCAGTGCAGCAAACTTCACTGTTACCTCATTTTAAGAAATCACCACAGCCACCCCAGTCTTCAGCAACCACCACCCTTAGGAGTCATCTATAACAAGGTAAGATCCTCCAGCAGCAAAAAGATTATAATTTGCTTAAGGCTCAGATGATCATTAGCATTTTTTAGCAATAAGGTATTTTTAAGTTGAGATATGTACATTTTTTAGACGTAATGCAATTATACACTTAATAGACTACAGTATAGCATAAAAATAACTTTTATACGCATGGGGAAACCAAAAAGTTCACATGACTTGCTATATTGTGATATTTGCTTCATTTTAGTGGCCTGGAACTGAACCCACAATATCTCCAAGATACGCCTGTATGTATTTAATAGGTATTAATATATACCTATGTCGCTACATGGATATTATGGTCACTATTTTAATGGTTGCATAATACCCCAGTAAATGTATATACCATAATTTAAAGTCCCTTAATGTTAGGCAGTAAGTTTCTTCCTAGTTTTTCCCATTATAAATGACTTTGATAAGCATTGTTATGCCTAGAGCTTCTGAACTGAACCATTGGGTTAAAGTTATGAATATGTGTATGTTTTCTGATATATATTGCCAAGATATTTTCCAGGAAGGAAAATTCATTTGCACACCCATCAATACTATTTCAAAATATAATACCCGACACTGGGTATTATAATTATCGTACAGAAAGTGATACATTTTAAAAACTGAAACCTGTTAATTTTAAATGAAAATTTTTTCAAATTGTCCTTATGAATTTTCTTGATTAACTGGGATTACTGAATGTCAATAAATTCTTGTATTTGGTTTAGTCTAGTTCTCTAATATTAACATTTAAAGTATTTCTTCTTCTCTATTGTTTACCTCCCTTGCTACCTTCTAACATTTCTTTTGAGAAAACTTATTTTCTATCTGTTGCTTTCCTAGTTTGTCTGCATGAAATAAAAAATGACCTTGACGGAGAGTGGCTCCACTGAGGGTGGAAGGTAGTGGCTGAAAAAGCACGCAAGTAATTCTCAGATGCCAGTGGTGTTTCTTGATCAGGTTGCTGGTTTCATGAGTGTATTCAGTTAATGAAAATTCATCAGACTCATGAGATGTATGCTTTTCGGTATGTATGTTAAAATCCCATTTTTAAAATTGAAAGAATGACCCTGAGTTTAAAAGGCCAGGTGCCTTCATACCACAGTGAGTGGTCAAGATATAGGCAGAGAATGGAGGGAGCATAAGTGGCCTGGCCTGGTCGGGCAGACAAGAGCTTAAGGTCATAGGGACTTGCAAAGGAAGGGACAAGCAGAAGAATTCCTGAGTCCAACTGGAAAACGAGAAATCTAGGATCTGGATTCAAGCAAAGTAGTCAGCACTAGGGCAGTGTTATTAACAGAAAAAAACAGCACGTACATAAAGACAAGGTCAGCTCATAGAGGCAGCAGATGAAAGTACACAGGGAAACCTGAGGCTGCATTGCTCTACCTCCTGGAGCACCTGTGGCTGGAGCCACCTATCTTAACTAAAACACTGCCATGGCTGAATTTCTATCATGGGAACATAATTGCTTTGGGAAAGGTACTGTTGCCTGCCTGAGTACCCTTCTTAAAGCATATACATGCCGTATCTTCCATTTCAGCAAATGTGATTTTCCCTCTAATAAATGTATCAGGTTACTAAAATGGACACCAAGAAGGTGAAGAAGAGACCAGAAAGTCTAGGACATCATATAGAAAAAGCATGCTTGGGGCTGGGTGCGGTGCATGGTTCACACCTGTAAATTCAAATATTTTGGGAGGCCGAGGAGGGCAGATCACCTGAGGTCAAGAGCTTGAGACCAGCCTGACTAACATGGCAAAACCTCATCTCTACATAAAAATATAAAAATTAGCCGGGTCTGGTGGCAGGTGCCTGTAATCCCAGCTACTCAGGAGGCTTGAACCCAAGAATCGCTTGAATCGAGGAGATGGAGGTTGCAGTGAACCAATATTGCATCACTTTACTCCAGCATGGGTAACAGAGCAAGACTCCATTTCAAAAAATTAAAAAAGAAAAGAAAAAGCATGCTTGGGGTGACACAGGCCACCAGAGCCACATTTTGCTAAAGGTTGTTCATTCGAATGAATGTTCTTGAAAACAACACTGACATGAATGGAGATCCTTACTGCCCTTCTCTCACTGAATACAAGTTCATAGCTAACATTAAACCAGTTCTGTCATTCAGAACTCTGCTCAAATAGATCAGTGGTAACATTCAAATATCACAGGGTATCTCTGATTATGGGCCACACCCATTAGGTGGTTGCTCTACCTCCTGGTGTTTCTATGGTGATGAAGATAGCACACCTCCATTGTACTAATGAGACACCTGTAAGAGCAGTGGCCACTTGCTGTAGGTGAGCAGAGCTAGAGATATTTCTCTTAAATTATATATAAATCATTTTTATAAGAATGGAAAAGGACCTAATAAAAATGCAATGTTTTTCTTTAAGTGAAAAGTGCCCTTCAGTCCCACTCATATTCCTCAGAGGAAAAGCTTCAAAGCCATGGTCATCCCTAGTTAATCCCCAGAAGCTTTATCTCCACCAGGTGAGGAGACAGGAAGCCTGTTTCTGCCAATAGCTACTGAGAAACTTATCATCGCCTACTAATCCTGGAGGATCTCAACAAAATTACATTTTTAATCTGAGGGTTTTAAATGAGAATATAAATGAAAGTCACAGTTTCTTTGGATCCAGCATTCCAGAAGTCAAGTTTACATTTCCTTTTGAATTTTTAGGCCCTCTGAAATCCAGATACACTCCAGCACCTGCCCCAGTTACAGTCCAATTGGCAAAGCCTGCGTGGGACAAGCACCTCCTCTGTACTGGGTCCTGTGTTGCCAGCTACCACGCCTAACACTGCATCAGCTGCTTAACCAGTCTGTCAATCCGTCAGCTACTATTGATCTTGTCGGATAGGAGGTGATCAACAAAAATCCTTAGCTGCATGCCCACTCCCCAACTATTAATACTATAACAGCAACCCTTCATTATGTGTGCTAGCATTTCAGAAAGTGCTTTTTACATCAAAATTATGGGCAATTCTAGACCACTGTGGCCCAGAAGTGTCTGAAAACAATGGAGTCTGCAATCCCATTGAGCTCATCTCTGATCTCCAAACCCAGCTGTATCTGTTAAAGTTTCATTTTGCCAAGAATATAAACGGTATTAGAGAGCTTTGCAATCCTACCTCTCACGCAGAAAAAAAATAGCTATTTTCAGCTCTCCATCTCCTACGGAAGGCCCCCTGTGCCAGGATGTATGCATCTGTGAATACATGAGCATGTGCCCATTTTTTTAAAAACTGCAGTCTCTTGTCAAAATGAGGAATGTTTAAACATTCAGCTCTGTACAGCAATGAGAACAGCAGCTATATTTCTAGGATTGCACTGTCTTCAAAACCTATCTCAAAATCTTTCCAAAAGTCTCAGTTTTAATAAGATTATTGAGCCCTCCAGCTAATCTAAACACATCACAGTGTAAGCTGTTTCAGTCATCAGTGAGGAAATAGCCTGATGGAAACAAAAGAGAATCCTACCACTTAAATAACTGACAAAGACACAGCCCTCAAAAGAAGTTATAGAGCTTTTGTTCTAAGATGGAGGGAGGAGAGTAGCTTTTCTTTTGTCATTTCCAATTTGGTCAACCATAACCTATTACTTCCACTGCTTTTTTAAACTTCAGGAATTCTTATAAAATATCTACAAAGATACCCAAGAATGAATCTCTTGTCTTTACTGAGTCCTTTTAAATTAAAATGCAAGATGGCAGGAGAATCTATAGGCCAGAGAAGGAGCTGGCATGGGAGGTAGAAGGAGTGGGGAAGCTCATAAGATGGTCAGAAGAGAAGGAATTGATCAAATGCCCAAATTAAGCTGACCAGAAATCAGAAAGGACTTTAGTAGACTGGGGTGCATCAGGATTGCAGAGGTATGACCCTCCAGCAAGGTCAAATGGAAGGTACATCTGCCCCCCACCCCTTTGCAGCTTTGGAGGACTCAGAAGATCTTCCCCACACCCAGGCCTTGGCCGGTATCAGGTAGACATGTTTCCCAGTTAACTCACAACCCAACAGCCACATATCACTAGCAGAGTGTGATGTGCATCTCTCGATTTCTAGATGCAATTTTGTTTTATCCACAAGGTATTTCTTTAATTCTCCAGCAGTGCCTTTACTGAGTGAGATCTACTGGCAAGTCTTCTGTAGCTTTGGGGTAGCATTTGGGAAAGTAAAGCAATTGGATACTGTCCTTTTAAAATATCATTCAATTAGGTCTTTTGTAATACATACAACATAACGAGATAGCCTTACCAACTCTAAAGAAATTTCTAGTGCATTTCATCAAAGGCACAATAATGGAAACATCGATTCACTCCTCACCACAAACATCTCCCTTTGATGCTGCAGTTACCTTAATACTAGCACTTTTCATTTTCTCTAGAAGGAAACAGCTGCCTTCATGCATGCACATCAGAGAAGGCTCTAGTCTGAAATAACACATTTGTATATCAATCTCAACTACACTTGCATTTTCATTTGCTGCTGCACAGCATCACTCTCCTTGACTCTAAACTACTAAATTACCCCCAAAATAAAGAAAAACTCTTCTGCAACCTGGATGACTGGGGCTAGGTGTTTTATGCCATCTCTGCAAGTGTTGCCAGGGGCATCATCTGCTTTCACACATCATTTATTTAAAAGAAGAACGGCCAAGCACTGGTTAGAAACTTTATGGGCCTGAAGAACATTCAGCCACTTTACGCAAAAGATGTCAACAAGAAAGAGTACCTAAGGAATAATATATCTAGAAATGTGCAGTGTGATTAGAAAAATCCATCAACACCCACTGCCACATTTTCAAATATTTTTAGCAAGTGAAAGAGCAGCCACCAAGTCTGAAAGTATTTTGAATGCATTATATCCATAAGGGTACTTCATGAGCAATGCCCCAGATGTTCTCAGTGCTGTGGAGATGGAGGCAAAGGATACTCTTAGATACACAGGAGACATATTGCATTTGGTTTATCAACCTCTTGGTATGAGTAGTCTGTTGCCTCTAACCCAGCTTGCCTCTATAGAAATAAAAATAAGCTTTAAGAGGTCTGAGCTTCTTATAAATAAATTACCATCCAACCATTTAATGACATCTGAATAATTTACTTTTTTCAATACTGTTTCAAAATTTCTGGCTATACTAAGCCTCTAAAGTCACAGACTATCTGACATTTGGCTAAGTCTTTCATACAATATCCACTTGATGCCATGAAAGAAATATATTTGCAGTGGCTTTTCCTCTGCAAATGTCATGTGGGTGTCCTTAGGGGATGGCATTAAGCACCTGGCACCCACCATGAGGCTTGGTTAACGAGACATAGAAAGGTTATGTTGAAATTATTGTTTAAAGGTGCTGACATCACATGATCGCATGCACACACACACACACACAAACACAAATTCACAATCACATATTCAAATATACACTGAGGAGCAACTGTTTCAGTATTTAAGAGAGCAGAGTGAAGAAGCTATTTCAACCAAGGTTGTTCTGTGGATATCTCTATGTAAGACAGTGCTCAGAATTATCTGTTTCCTTTCACTGATTGATTCCACAACATTATTACATAATAGTTTGGCATCAAGCACTGTAGTACGATTCTGGAGATGTCAGGAAATACAAAGAGGAAATCATCTAAAATGTCTTTTCTTAAGTATAAGTTGATCAAATATAGAGAACTACAGAATTTAAGCATTCATCCACTAATTCATTCATCTAACGGATAGACACTGAGGACTGATTACAAGATAGAGCTTGTAATCTAGTGAGGAATGCAGATGACCCCAAAAATCAACACAAAATCTCATTTGTGACAAGTGTTCTGAATGAGGGATACATAGTGCTACGAAAAAGAACATCAAAAGGGATTTGATTTCATCAGGGAGTTTACGGAAGGTGTCCTGAGGAAGTGATGCTGGATCTGAGATCTGACGATGATGAGACTTACATTAAAGAAGAGAATTCCAGGCACAGGGAAGGGAGCAAGGGGCAGAGGTAGGGCAAGCAACTGAAAGATTCAAGGGGAAGTGATAACAGTGAACCAGGAGAGAGAAGGAGGGACCAGATCAGGCAGGGGCTGGTAATATCTACTGGGGACTGTGGTCTTTAGTTTGTGAACAAAGAGGAAATGTGAGAAGGGTTTAAGCAAAGGCACACAATCATTATATTTGGGAAATATTTTTTCAGGTTGTAGTATTAACATACTGGAAGAGACTCTAGCAATCGTTCAGATGACAAACAAAACTTATATTTGAGTAGTGGTGGTAACAGAAAGAAGAGGATGGAATCAAAAGATATTTAGAAGTGGTAACAGAAAGAAGTGGATGGAATAAAAAGGTATTAGATCCCATGATTGATCACAGATGGTGGGTTTAGAACAAGGAAATATTAAAGATACTCCCTAGGTTTCTAATTTTGCAATTAAATGGCTAGAGATAGGGAATACTGGAAGAGAGCCAGCTATGCTGGGGCGAGATCTCCAGTTCATTTCTAGAATACATTGAGTTGAGAGGTTTTGAGGCATACAAGAGACAGACAATGCTATGTATGCAGCTGAATATACGTATTTGGAGCTCAAGAAGGAGGTCTTATTGGGGTCACTAGATCTTTAATGTATTTTTAGAAAATAACAAAATGGACTTTGTTTGAAGCTTCCCTTCTATAACTCAACTAAGAGCAATGGTATATTCCAATGTCACCAAATCAAGGTGGCATAGTGTGATGGAATATGCCTCGAGGTGGAATCTGATAACATGTACTTAAGCCCTGGCTCCTAGCTTCTAGCTTGGAGGGTTTGAATAAGCCATAGCTTTTCTGTACTTTCGTTTACTATGTCACTATAAAATATTATGTATGTCCTACTTCTTTCACAGGGTTGTTTTGAATAAGGTCAAATGAGTAAAATTATAAAGAAAGTCATTTTAAAAATGTGAAATACGGTGACTCACGCCTGTAATCCCAGCACTTTGGGAGGCCGAGGCGGGCGGATCACGAGGTTAAGAGATCGAGACCATCCTGGCCAACTTGGTGAAACCCCGTCTCTACTAAAAATACAAAAATTAGCTGGGCATGGCGGTGGGCACCTGTAATCCGAGCCACTCAGGAGGCTGAGGCAGGAGAATCGCTTGAACCCAGGAGGCAGAGGTTACAGTGAGCCAAGATCGCGCCACTGCACTCCAGCCTGGTGAAAGAGCGAGACTCTGTGTCAAAAAAAAAAAAAAAAAAAAGAAAAGAAAAGGAAATAATAGCATTGTCAATAAGTGAAATATACCTGTCTACATATTTTGATACTTAAGAGCAGAAAGGAAAGTTAGTTGCTGCAGACAAAATCAATGATGAAATGATTTGGGTTGGAATGATGAAATGTCACTGAATTCCCTCCAAAATGTGGATTAAGCAAGCAAGTGATTTTCACATGGTGGTACCTGGATGACAAGAAGTAAATGAAAATAGTATTTATTCACCTTTTGATCCAAACTGTAGGCCAGCACCCAGTCCTCTTGCTTGGGATGAAAGAGCAGGCTCTGGATATAGAAGGTGAGCCGATACTTCTGATAGGTCGCCCCTTCGTCTGAGCTGATCAATATGCTGCTCTCCATCTCAGGATCACTGAGAAGCATAATCTAAAGAAAGGATAGAGGGACATATACAGACAGAGTTAGTAGGAAATAATAAATATAATAACTTTAATCATAAATAAGTCATCTGTATTTGTACACCATAGCACATAAAGGAGCATCTGGGCCTCTGTAAAAAATACTTGTATTAACTTTTCTCCTGATTTAGTCTCTCATTGTCGAATTGAGGTAAAAATAGGGGGCAAGGCTAGAAGCATATAGAAGAAGGTTTCATTTTTGATGTCCATCTTTTAAGCACCGGGAACTTTTTTTTTTTTATTATTATACTTCAAGTTTTAGGGTATATGTGCACAATGTGCAGGTTAGTTACATATATATACATGTGCCATGCTGGTGTGCTGCACCCATTAACTCGTCATTTAGCATTAGATATATCTCCTAATGCTATCCCTCCCACCTTCCCCCACCCCACAACAGTCCCCAGAGTGTGATGTTCCCCTTCCTGTGTCCATGCGATCTCATTGTTCAATTCCCACCTATGAGTGAGAATATGCGGTGTTTGGTTTTTTGTTCTTGCAATAGTTCACTGAGAATGATGATTTCCAATTTCATCCATGTCCCTACAAAGGACATGAACTCATCATTTTTCTGGCTGCATAGTATTCCATGGTGTATATGTGCCACATTTCTTAATCCAGTCTATCATTGTTGGACATTTGGGTTGGTTCCAAGTCTTTGCTATTGTGAATAGTGCTGCAATAAACATATGTGTGCATGTGTCTTTATAGCAGCATGATTTATAGTCCTTTGGGTATATACCCAGTAATGGGATGGCTGGGTCAAATGGTATTTCTAGTTCTAGATCCCTGAGGAATCGCCACACTGACTTCCACAATGGTTGAACTAGTTTACAGTCCCCCCAACAGTGTAAAAGTGTTCCTATTTCTCCACATCCTCTCCAGCACCTGTTGCTTCCTGACTTTTTAATGATTGCCATTCTAACTGGTGTGAGATGGTATCTCATTGTGGTTTTGATTTGCATTTCTCTGATGGCCAGTGATGGTGAGCATTTTTTCATGTGTTTTTTGGCTGCATAAATGTCTCCTTTTGAGAAGTGTCTATTCATGTCCTTTGCCCACTTTTTGATGGGGTTGTTTGCTTTTTTCTTGTAAATTTGTTTGAGTTCATTGTAGATTCTGGATATTAGCCCTTTGTCAGATGAGTAGGATGCGAAAATTTTCTCCCATTGTGTGGGTTGCCTGTTCACTCTGATGGTAGTTTCTTTCACTGTGCAGAAGCTCTTTAGTTTAATTAGATCCCATTTGTCAATTTTGGCTTTTGTTCCATTGCTTTTGGTGTTTTAGACATGAAGTCCTTGCCCATGCCTATGTCCTAAATGGTAATGCCTAGGTTTTCTTCTAGGGTTTTTATGGTTTTAGGTCTAATGTTTAAGTCTTTAATCCATCTTGAATTAATTTTTGTATAAGGTGTAAGGAAGGTATCCAGTTTCAGCTTTCTACATATGGCTAGCCGGTTTTCCCGGCACCATTTATTAAATAGGGAATCCTTTCCCCATTGCTGGTTTTTCTCAGGTTTGTCAAAAATCAGATAGTTGTAGATATGTGGCTTTATTTCTGAGGGCTCTGTTCTGTTCCATTGATCTATATCTCTGTTTTGGTACCAGTACCATGTTGTTTTGGTTACTGTAGCCTTGTAGTATAGTTTGAAGTCAGGTAACGTGATGCCTCCAGCTTTGTTCTTTTGGCTTAGGATTGACTTGGCGATGCGGGCTCTTTTTTGGCTCCATATGAACTTTAAAATAGTTTTTTCCAATTCTGTGAAGAAAGTCATTGGCAGCTTGATGGGGATGGCATTGACTCTATAAATTACCTTGGGCAGTATGGCCATTTTCATGATACTGATTCTTCCTACCCATGAGCATGGAATGTTCTTCCATTTCTTTGTATCCTCTTTTATTTCATTGAGCAGTGGTTTGTAGTTCTCCTTGAAGAGGTCCTTCACATCCCTTGTAAGTTGGATTCCTAGGTATTTTATTCTCTTTGAAGCAATTGTGAATGGGAGTTCACTCATGATTTGGCTCTCTGCTTGTCTGTTATTGGTGTATAAGAATGCTTGTGATTTCTGTACATTGATTTTGTATCCTGAGACTTTGCTGAAGTTGCTTATCAGCTTAAGGAGATTTTGGGCTGAGACAATGGGGTTTTCTAGATATACAATCATGTCATCTGCAAACAAGGACAATTTGACTTCCTCTTTTCCTAATTGAATACCCTTTATTTCCTTCTCCTAACAGGGGATCTCTCGGCAGAAACTCTACAAGTCAGAAGAGAGTGGGGGCCAATATTTGACATTCTTAAAGAAAAGAATTTTCAACCCAGATTTTCATATCCAGCCAAACTAAGCTTCATAAGTGAAGGAGAAATAAAATACTTTACAGACAAGCAAATGCTGAGAGATTTTGTCACCACCAGGACTGCCCTAAAAGAGCTCCTGAAGGAAGCACTAAACATGGAAAGGAACAACCGGTACCAGCCACTGCAAAATCAGGCCAAATTGTAAAGATCATCAAGGCTAGGAAGAAACTGCATCAACTAACAAGCAAAATAGCCAGCTAACATCATAATGACAGGATCAAATTCACACATCACAATATTAACTTTAAATGTAAATGGACTAAATGCTCCAATTAAAAGACACAGACTGGCAAATTGGATAAAGAGTCAAGACCCATCAGTATGCTGTATTCAAGAAACCCATCTCACGTGTAGAGACACACGTAGGCTCAAAATAAAAGGATGGAGGAAGATCTACCAAGCAAACGGAAAACAAAAAAAGGCAGGGGTTGCAATCCTAGTCTCTGATAAAACAGACTTCAAAACAACAAAGATCAAAAGATACAAAGAAGGCCATTACATAATGGTAAAGGGATCAATTAAACAAGAAGAGCTAACTATCCTAAATATACATGCACCCAATACAGGAGCACCCAGGTTCATAAAGCAAGTCCTGAGTGACCTACAAAGAGACTTAGACTCCCACACAATAATAATGGGAGACTTTAACACCCCACTGTCAACATTAGACAGATCAATGAGACAGAAAATTAACAAGTATACCCAGGAATTGAACTCAGCTCTGCACCAAGCAGACCTAATAGACATCTACAGAACTCTCCACCCCAAATCAAAAAATATACATTCTTTTCAGCACCACACCACACCTATTCCAAAATTGACCACATAGTGGGAAGTAAAACACTCCTCGGCAAATGTAAAAGAACAGAAATTATAACAAACTGTCTCTCAGACCACAGTGCAATCAAACTAGAACTCAGGATTAAGAATCTCACTCAAAACCGCTCAACTACATGGAAACTGAACAACCTGCTCCTGAATGACTACTGGGTACGTAATGAAATGAAGGCAGAAATAAAGATGTTCCTTGAAACCAACGAGAACAAAGACACAACATACCAGAATCTCTGGGACGCATTCAAAGCAGTGTGTAGAGGGAAATTTATAGCACTAAATGCCCACAAGAGAAAGCAGGAAAGATCCAAAATTGACACCCTAACATCACAATTAAAAGAACTAGAAAAGCAAGAGCAAACATATTCAAAAGCTAGCAGAAGGCAAGAAATAACTAAAATCAGAGCAGAACTGAAGGAAACAGAGACAGGAAAAACCCTTCAAAAAATTAATGAATCCAGGAGCTGTTTTTTTGAAAGGATCAACAAAATTGATAGACCGCTAGCAAGACTAATAAAGAAAAAAAGAGAGAAGAATCAAATAGACGCAATAAAAAATGATAAAGGGGATATCACCACCGATCCCACAGAAATACAAACTACCATCAGAGAATACTACAAACACCTCTACAGAAATAAACTAGAAAATCTAGAAGAAATGGATAAATTCCTCAACACATACACCCTCCCAAGACTAAACCAGGAAGAAGTTGACTCTCTGAATAGACCAATAACAGGAGCTGAAATTGTGGCAATAATCAATAGCTTACCAACCAAAAAGAGTCCAGGACCAGATGGATTCACAGCCGAATTCTACCAGAGGTACAAGGAGGAACTGGTACCATTCCTTCTGAAACTATTCCAATCAATAGAAAAAGAGGGAATCCTCCCTAACTCATTTTATGAGGCCAGCATCATCCTCATACCAAAGCTGGGCAGAGACACAACCAAAAAAGAGAATTTTAGACCAATATCCTTGATGAACATTGATGCAAAAATCCTCAATAAAATACTGGCAAAACGAATCCAGCAGCACATCAAAAAGCTTATCCACCATGATCAAGTGGGCTTCATCCCTGGAATGCAAGGCTGGTTCAATATACGCAAATCAATAAATATAATCCAGCATATAAACAGAACCAAAGACAAAAACCACATGATTATCTCAATAGATGCAGAAAAGGCCTTTGACAAAATTCAACAACCCTTCATGCTAAAAACTCTCAAGAAATTAGGTATTGATGGGACATATCTCAAAATAATAAGAGCTATCTATGACAAACCCACAGCCAATATCATACTGAATGGGCAAAAACTGGAAGCATTCCCTTTGAAAACTGGCACAAGACAGGGATGCCCTCTCTCAACACTCCTATTCAACATAGTGTTGGAAGTTCCGGGAACATTTTTTGTGGTCTTCTGTCTCCTGTCCTTGGGACAGTCATCTCTCTCTCTCTGTCTCTCTCTCTCTCTCTTTCTCTCTCTCTCCCCCATCCCATTCTCCATGCCACTGTTAATCACAGCATTTTTCCTATATTGTTCTTTAGTTGTGAGAAGCTCCCTCCCCCACTGCCATGCTGCCATGATCCCATTGTTTGTTTTGTTCTTTCTGAATTGTTTTATGCATTTAATTAAGTGGTTTTATGATTCCTTTGTTAGAGATATTTTCCAAAACATATAGCCCCAAAGGTCCTTGAGCAAATATTTCTCCCACAGAAGGTTTATCATCTTCCAGTCAAGTGGACAGAAATATTGTAATGAAAAGTCTTTGGCATCAGAGAGACCAGGTTCAAATCTCAACAGTTCTCTGTTAATATTGTATCATCTTGAGAAAGTTACCTAACCTCAGCTTCCTCAATAATAACCTGACTCTGATAATATCCAAACTGGCTTTGAGCACAGGGCATAATGTATGTTCTTTTTTTGTTGTTTTTTAGTAGAGATGGGGTTTTGCCACGTTGGCCAGGCTGGTCTCGAACTCCTGGCCTCAAGTGATCTGCCTGCCTCCACTTCCCAACATAATGTACATTCTTAACAGTCATAGCTATTATTACTAGTAAACTGCCCCTCCAGCCAGTGCAATCTGACTTCTGCCCCTAGTGCCACAATTACATTGATCTCTCTAAAGATAGACAAACTTTTTAGTATTTAAACCAATAAACGCTTAGACACTCAGACTTTTCCATTATTTAAACTCATAGCAGCCTTTGATACCACAACAATTCCGTCTATTTTGAAACATTCTCTTCCAGGGGCTTCCATAACACCATGTTCATCTATTTTTCCTTTTCATTTCATTTCATTTGGATACTCAATTTTCTCTTATTATCCCTTAACTGTGACCACTCCTTAACCCTCCATTTTGACTTTCTTCTTTTGCACTCAATATACTATTACTCAGTGACATCTTCCATTCCTGATTCTTTTCCTTTTCCTTTTGAAAATCATCACCGCCTTGGGAAAACTCCTAAATCTCTGAGTCTCAGTCACAGATTTGGAAGCTGAGCTGCCTGGAAGATGCTTCTATTTAGATGCCCCACAAGCACCTTGAGCTCCAGATGCCCCACAGTGGTACCTGATTCCAGCCCTACTGCTTCTCTGGTATACCCTAGCTCCATGAGCGTTTCCACCAACATCCATGTTTAGCAAAAAGCCCAAGATGCATCCTTGACTCTGCTTTCTCACCTTCTGAAAGAATAAGTCCGTGAGGACAGTGTATTTTACTTTTCAATTAACTCTTAACACAAAATCCATTATCTCCCTACCTATTGCGATTGTCTTAGTCCAAAACATGCAAATCTCTCTCCTGGATTACTGTAAGACAACTCTAGCCAGTCTTACCATGTTAGCCTTGTCCCTTCCAATCCATGTTTCACACCGTGGCCAGAACAATCAACCTGTAATATAAATCTGATTCTGACATTCTCTCACTTAAAACCATTCCATGGCATAATCAACGTTCCTATATTCCAAAATCCTTAAAACATCTTAGCAAAAGCTGCACCCCTGTTTATGTCTCTGGCTTCGTCAGAAGCACAACTTTTTTGGAATTTATTATCCAGCTCAACTCAACTTCTCTGAGTTCCTAAATAAGCAAGTGAATTTATTTCCTCTTAGAGTTTTTCTTATCTTTGCATATGTTGCCACCAATTTTCTATCATGCAGTCTAAACCATAAGGCCCAGAGTATAAAATATAGCCCCCTAAATTTCCATACCTTATAAAATAAAAGTGTTAACTAGCAGGATTTTTTCAATGTTACCCAGAGCATATATTAGTATTATAAAATAAGCTTTAAAACAAATTTAGGTCTTTTAAGTGCTAAAATTCACAGTCCTTTCCCTCTTTTATTCCTTTACAGCTTCTAAGACAAGCTTACTTTCTTTTCTCAAATATTTGCTTTGGCTTCATTGAAATAAGTCATCACTAGTTATCAGCAAATTTTTAAGAAATGGAGCAGTATAATGACTTTTTTTCACTCATGTGTGAATAATGCAGGGAAATACTCTTAG
The DNA here is from genome assembly GCF_000001405.40 of Homo sapiens. NCBI lineage: Eukaryota > Metazoa > Chordata > Mammalia > Primates > Hominidae > Homo > Homo sapiens. The sequence continues at coordinate 104,970,600 of NC_000010.11, read as the reverse complement.
AGTAATCATAGACCAAATAACTTCCTCTTCCCATGGCACTATGAAGGGGTAGGGGTAGGGGAAACGGGTCAAAGCACTCAAGCTGCCCTTGAGAAAACCTGAGGAAGCATCTGTGGTGCTCGCAGAGTTTGAAAGGACGAATATAATGGGTAAGAAGGAGGCTTTTTGGCTTATGCCTGTAATCCCAGCTCTTTGGGAGGCCGAGGCGGGTGAATCACTTCAGGTCAGGAGTTCAAGACCAGCTTGGCCAACATTGTGAAACCCCATCTCTACCAAAAATACAAAAATTAGCTGGGCGTGGAGGTACACACCTGTAATCCCCGCTACTCAGGAGGCTGAGGCATGAGAATCACTTGAACCCTAGAGGTGGAGGTTGCAGTGAGCCAAGATCACGCCACTGCACTCCAGCCTGGGTGGCAGGCAGAGTGAGACTCTGTCTCAAAACAAAAAAAGAAAAAAAAGCTTTCATAACCAGCCTCACTTGCTCCATATCATGTACCAATGGTCTACAGAACAGGCAATGAAGTCATTTTTCCCCTGGTGCAGAAAAATTAAACTGCTTATTTTATGCAGGTATAAAAAAGCTTCATGCCCATGATTTTAATTAGAAGATAAGACCAACACCATAAATGAACTTTATTTTATATACCGTGAGTTACAATATACTAAATAAGGGTTACCATTGAATATCTTGTGCAATGTATTTTCTTCCCCTAGCTCTGTTTCTTTCTGTGCACACATGCACAGAGACACACACAAGCCCACTTGCATACCCAAATGCACATTAATCCACACACAACACATACGTGTGAGCACACATACACTAACATATACAGAGATGCTGCATTTATGTGCACACACACATAAAGAAATTTATATATAATAAAGCATATTGACATTGAGTGGCAGTTTTATGGAGCTTTTGTTGGTGAGAGTACATTTTTATTACTACCTTTCTCTGACATTCTCATCAGAAATTATTTGATATACTTTGATATCACTGGTAGTGTCTCTATTCAATTCAACTTTTTGAGAAGAATGAAAGGAAGGGAGATAGATACTGACATATTCTGGATTTCTAACCTATGCTGGGCATTTTACCTGATTTTTTATTAAAATCTCATACAAATCATGTGATATAGGTATCATGAGTTATATTTTACAGATAAGGAAACTGAGGCTCAGGAGAAAAGCAACTTGCCTATTACTCCTCTAATTGCCTCAAAACCCACACCTTCCATGCTCTGTACGCGCGCGCGCACACACACACACACACACACACACACACACACACACAATCCTTTTTGAAAGCATCTCTGAGAAACCCGCCCAAAATGCAGCTTCACTCATCTCAATTTCTGACCACAGGAGCATCAAGCATTAAGAGAGTAGGAATCTAAGAGGAAGATATAGGTTAGTTGTAGGTGCTCAAAAATAAAAAAGGAGGAGGCCATATTATTTATATAATCAGAGAGCAAATATTTTGTCAGAAGTTAAGCCTCAAGGTAAAATACGTGTATTGTATATTCACGTACCAAATCTATAAAGAAAATCATCCCATGTCCACCCAAATTTTTCTTGTTACACATGGATTTCAAATCCCAATGCCTGTGAGGGCAAAGCAGGTAAAGTGAGCAAGTGAAGCAGACAAGCCAAGACAGGGACTGGTGAGGACTGTGTCAAATCGGAAAGTACACATCATTCCCTCAAAATATTTAAAATTGGGTTTTTAAAAAACATTGTGCCCAAATTAAATATATCTGTGGACTGAATTTATGGATGAGACATGTGACTCTCGCTAAAGCTGTGATAGCATGTTTCTACAAAAACAAAGACATTCACAAGCTTACCTTTCAATGTATAATTATAGGTATCTAGTGTATAATTTGTGGCAATGGCTGTTTAGATATCATGAGTTCTGCATTTATGTGATTTTGGCAATACGAACAGGACAGAGATCCCACTAGAGATTTTAATTTTGTTTTGTTCATCATTCTGCTTTGATTCTTTATAAAGCAGTTTGTCCTGACATGAGAACTGCAGTGGGTATACGTGTGCTGGAAGGGGAAGAGGGGTTTTTCAAATATGGTTTCGCAGATTGTTAAGGTTATAGGCTCTCAATGCAGATGTCTTTAGGCCAGGCTCCTCAGACTGATATTTCATGTGTAAACAGAAAGTTGCTCAAGGCCGGGCGCGGTGGCTCATGCCTGTAACCCCAGTACTTTGGGAGGCCCAGGCGGGTAGATCACCTGAGGTCAGGAGTTCGAGACCAGCCTGACCAATATGATGAAACCCTGTCTCTACTAAAAATACAAAAATTAGCCGGGTGTGGTGGCATGTGCCTGTAATCCCAGCTATTCAGGAGGCTGAGACAGGAGAATTGCTTGAACCTGGGAGGCAGAGGTTGCAGTGAGCCGAGATTGCACCATTACACTCCAGCTTGGGCAACAAGAGTGAAACTCCGTCGCAATTATCCCAAGTCTGTTATCTCATCTAGAGAAAAAAGGAGATAGTAATTGTACCTACCTCTTAGTACTATTGAAAGGATTAAATGAGATAATGATTAAAGGGGCTTAGCACACTACCAGGCACATAAGTACTAAATAAATGTTAACCTTTAGCTTTAAATTACCCAGGATAAGGCCAGGTATGGTGGCTCACACTAGTAATCCCAGCATTTTGGGAGCCTGAGGTGGGCAGATTGTTTGAGCTCAGGAGTTCAGAACCAGCCTAGGCAATTTGGTGAAACCTCAACTCTATCAAAAAAAAAAAAAATTAGTCTGGTGTGGTGGCGTGCACTTATGGCCCCAGCTACTCAGGAGGCTGAGGTGGGAGGATGGCTTGAGCCCGGGCAGTGGAGATCACACCACTACACTCCAGCCTGGGCAACAGAGCCAGACCCCATCCCCCCAACCAAAAAATAAATTATCTAGGATAAGAGCACAACTGAAGTCAGAAGTGATGCCAAGCAGGTTGGAGACAAATAGAGGTGATGTGGGGATTATTTGCCTCCCTCTTGACTCCCATTATTCCTGAACTTTGTGGAGAAAATTGCAAGAGGTGGGCATAAAGGGGACTGAGGAGTTGCTGTTCAATGGTTATAAAATTTCAGTCACACAAGATGAAATAATTCTAGAGATATGCTGTACAATGTGCATATAGTTAACACTCTATTGTACATGTGGAAGTGGGTTAAGAGGGTAAATCTCATGTTGTCTGTACGTGTGTTTGTTTGCCATAATTTAAAACACAGGAAAGTGTCAGGGAGAAAAACATCATATTTTAGTGTTTTATATATTACATTCACTTTACATGCATTTTGCATTTCTGGTAATATTTTAAGAAAACACACCCTATTAACCAACATGAATACGGCCAGAGTAAACACCAATTGGTAGATAATTGTCAATTTGCTAAACACAATTGCTGCTTTGAATGAACACTCTCATCTCTTCATTGGATGACTATACCCCATGAGGAAACTAAACATGCCACTGCCTTAGGGTGAGAACTGCATACAATCAAGTTCCTGTGATTTAGCCATTCACTGTAAATGAATTGTCTGTGTCCAAGATTAGAGTTGGTAATCTTTAGAGATTACCAACATACAAATGGTGCAGTATCTTTTGAAAAAAAAAAAAAAACTTGTAATGCTTTCTGAAGGAAATTCCTGAGAATGTTGAATAATATTGGTTTTAATTTTAATGGTATATTGCAAATTGCAAAGGACACTCAGGGAAGTCAGGAGTCAGGCAGGGGCTATGCTTAGTCAGCTTATACTCTCAAAAGCCTGTCAGCTTATCTATGTCTAAACCAGTCAACATTAGTATTGGAGATGTCAAAATCCTCCCCAGAAATCTTTCCACAATGCACCCTTTCTTGCTGCTGAGTGAGTCTTACAATATCATTGATGAATATGTCACTTTATTCAGTTGCCTATTCTATTTCCTTTGTGCAGTCTATTAAAATCAAGTGAAAGCTAAACGTTTCTCAGTCTCTCTCTCACTCTGCCAGAGATCCAGAAAGTCAAGGAAAACACTCTAGTTCAATGTTTTGGGCACGTTCTCAGAATAGGAGCAAACAGACTTTTCTCTAAATATAAAAAAAGAAAGGCTATAATTTATTGTATAATTGAGTCCTAATGGTAGACTTTTAGCAAAGTTAGTGTTCAATAAGAAATAACAATAACATCAATATGAGCTCTTAGAGTATAAAACAATGACAGCATAGCTATCCGCTAAACCCACTGATATAATTGATAAGTTGTTGAATATTGACTTCCATACAAACAGAGCCTACTGTAGATACGGCTTTTACTCACAATATACCAGCATTCATTCTTCGAACAGTGGTTCTCAACTGAGGAGAAAGAAGGGGTCATGCCAAGGGGACATTTTGAAACATATGGAGATATGTTAATTATCACAGCTGGGGGCAGGGGAGAGAGTTCCGGTATCTAGTGGGCAGAGGCGAGGGATGCTGTAAAACATGTGACAAAACACAGGACAGTGACTCACAACAAAGAATTATCCAGCACAAAATGTCAATGATGCTGCAGTTGGGATTATTACAAGTAAAATATGTAAACTACATATAAATGTCACGGAACACCAATATGCATGTATGCTTATACATATCCTGTCTCACCTATGGCCACAATGCATGCCATTCTCTTTGCCAAAATTAGACTCCCCACCTTTCCACCCTAATCCATTATATTAAGCTTATTTACACTTGTTCCTCAGGATTTAACATAAGCACACCAACAAAACTGCAGTCATTTAGGCTATTCAAGAAAAAAAATTAAAGTACAAAAATAACAAGAAAACAATCCTATTTAAAAAATGGGCAAAGGACTTGAATAGACATTTCTCCAGAGCTATACAAATGACCAGTGAGCAAATAAAAAGATGTTCAAAATCACTAATCATTAAAGAAATGCAAATCAAAACCACAATGAGATACAACCTCACACCCATGGCTACTGTTTAAAAATAAAAAATAAAAAATCAGAAAATAACAAGTGTTGGCAGGGATGTGAAAAGTTGGAACCCTTGTGAACTGTTGGTGGGAACAAAAAATGGTGCAGCCACTACAGAAAACAGTATGGTGGTTCAACAAATAATTAAAAATAGAATTATCATATGATCCAGCTATTCCACGTCTGGGTAATACCCAAAAGTGAAAGTGTCCAGCTGTGTCAATTGCAATTGATGGTCAAGAAAGATGAGTACCAAGAACTGACCATTGAATGTAGCATTGTGGAGGGTATTGGTGACCATGGCCAAGACAGTGGAGTGAAGCAGGCAGACAGTCAGTGTTGATGCAAGTATAAATTGGCGTGACTATTCTAAAATGCAATGTGGCAACATGAAACAAGACTCTTGCAATTGAAAGCAAGGTCTCAAAGAGAGATACGTTCACCCAGTGCTCATAGCAGCATTATTTACAATAGCCAAAAGGTGAAAGCAACCCAAGTGTCTATCAATGAATGAATGGATAAACAAAATGTGGTATACACTACAATGGAATATTATTCCGCCTTAGGAAGGAAGGAAATTCTGACACATGCTACATGGATGAACCTTGAAGACATTATGCAAAGTGAAATATGCCAGTCATAAAGAAAAAAATACTATATGATTGCACTTATATGGGGTACTTAAGGTAGTCAAAATCATAATGACAAAATGTAGAATGGTAGATACTAAGGCTAGGCGGAGAGAGAAATGAGGAGTTGTTGTTTAGTTGGTATAGAGTTTTAGTTTTGCAAGATGAAAAGAAATTTGGAGATTGGTCGTAAAACAATGTGTACTTAACACTACTAAACTGTACACTTAAAAATGGGAAGACGGCAAATTGCATATTATTTGTATATCCCTACAATTTTTTAAAGTAAAAAATAAATATAAAAATAAGACACGAGACTAGAGATAAAGTAACAGGCTAATGAACACTTTAATCAAACAAACACATACACACCATTTATTCATCCAACCTATTGACTGAGGCCTTACTCCATGCCAGGCTCTATTCTAAGGACCTAGATCAGAGCAGTAATCAAATCAGAATGAAAATACTTTCCCTCATAGAGCTTACATTCTGTTGAAGGAAGAATAAACAACAGATAGACAAATAAGTAAAACATGTGGCATATCAGATGGTGATAAGGCCTTTAGAGTGAAAGAAAGCAGAAAAGGTAAGGGGAGGTGCTGAAAGAGAAGCTGTGTAGTTTTAAATCATGTGGTCAGGAAAGGCCTCATTGGGAAAGTAGCATTTGCAAAAGGATGTAGGAGCCCAGTAGGCTGGAACAGAATGAACAACGTAGAGTGTTGGAAATGAGGTCAGCAAGGAAACGCAGACCCAGGCATTGATATAAGGACTCTGGCTTTATCACAAGTTACATAGAAAGCATATGATACACATACAATGAGCATGGCTGTGATAGTCTAGGGCTTGTTTTTTAATCCTCTCACTCTGGCTACCATGTCGAATAGAGCATTGGAGGATGTGGGGAAAAAAATCAAAGAGACCAGGGAGAGGTTCTGTAATGATCAGAAGGGACAGATGAATGGCCTGCACCAAGCTGGAGCACTGAGGTGCTGAGAGGTGGTCAGTTTCTGGGTGTATTTTTGGAAGAAAAGTTAAAAAGGTCTGCTTACAGATTAGATGTAGAGTGTCAGAGAAAGTGAGGTGACCCCTTAAAAGATTTTTAAACTGTACATTCATCTCAATGTTTCTAATAATTACAAATTGGAACTAACTCAAATTATCTGATAGATTTGGGGCCTGAACAACTGGGAAAGTGGAATTAACACTTATGGATAGAAAAACAGGTTCAGGGCTTTAAAAATAAAGAATTTGGTTTTGAAATGCTTAATACACATCCAAACAGAGACGTTAAGTAGAAGAGCAATGTACAAGGTTTATACTCCGGGGAGAGGGCTGGCCTGCAGATAAGAATCTAGGAGACATCAGAGTCTGAATAACACTTAAAGACATGAATCTGGAGATAACCATGACAGCAAATACAGATAAAAGAGAGTCTGGAGAACTGAGCTCTATAGTATGTTTAGGGTCAAAAAGATAGGGACAGACCAGGAAAGGAGCCTGAGAGGGAGAAGGAAAACTCAGAGAGTGAGATACTCTTAAAATCAAGGAAAGAAAGTATATTAGGGAAGAGTGTCCAGCTGTGTCAAATGCAACTGATGGTCAGGTATAAAGAGTACTGAGAATTGGCTACTGAATGTAGCAACAGGGAGGGTATTGGTGACCATGGCAAAGCCAGTGGAGTGAGCTAGGCAGACTGTCAATGTTGATGCAAGCATAAATTGCCATGACCACTCTGAAAACCAATGTGGCAATATGGAACGAGACTCTTATAAATATTCATAACTTTAACCCTGTAAATTGTCTTCTAGCAAACTATCTAAGGAAACCATCAGAAACCCAATAAAAGGTTTATGCACCTGTAGGTTCAATGCAATGTTTTTATAATAATACAAAATTAGAAATAATGACTATATTTGATAGGATAATGACTAAAGTGAGCTAAAGCCATTCAATGGAATATTATGCAGCCATTAAAATGAATTCAAATACTTTTATGACATATGAAAAACAACCATATATTTAAACAGTGCATGAAATGCAGGCTGGACACACATGAAGCATCATCTCAATTTTGTTAAACATTGCTTATATTTCTTGTCTGTACTTATCCATAGTAGATAACTTGAAACAAACATTCACGTTAACAGTGGTTATTCCTAAGTGGCAAGATTATGAGTATTTTTTATTTTCTTCTCTATACTTTTCTATTTTCCCCAAATTTTCGGCAGTGAGCACACATTTCCTTTACAATCATAAAACATTATCTGTCTACACACACACATATACACATACATATACCTTCTTGATAAAACATGCTACGCATTGCCTGCTCTTGGAAAATTTGAAAAGCTAGTAAATTTCTATCCACATGGTGAGCACAACTCGTGGTGCAGGACAGGTGTGTCATGAGGGTGGGGTAGTGAAGAAGACTCAGTGTGGACAGGAAAAACAGCATCTCCCAATTCAGGGAGTGGTGTTACTGACCTCCCCTATGGAGTAAGAATCTGCTGCCCCAAACTATCCCACACACCATACACTGAATGGATTTCCCCCAGCCCAGCTCTGATATGGAATCTCCCCTCCACAAGAAACACCAATACTCTCTACATGTCTTTAAAAACATACCCAGCATCTCAGGCATTTAGTGGGCTCCCATGCTGTTTTCAGGCTTGACCTCTTCAACATAACCACTTGCTCAAGCCAAGCTGTGCCTCAGAGTTTTTTCAAATCACTGTGCTTACTGCAACATTCCTATCTTTGCCCATGCCACTCCCCTACCTAGAAAGCCCAGCATCCTCCCTGCCTTCCTTCAAGTCCCATTTTAACTCAATCCCTTCCATGAAGCCTCCTGAGTGCTCCAGCTGAATGATCTCGGTCTTCCAAGAACTCCATCAGCAAATTCATAATCACATTGAACTGCGATTTTATGTTTAAATATATTTGAAATTTATAAATATATTAATATATTTTAAAATATTGGTTATTTTACGTTTTACTTGTATTTACCTCACTTTGCCACCTTGATATTATGTTCCTTAAAGGCAGGGAGCTTTGGTTAAACAATGTTCTCTGGTCTTCTTTGCTGCACTGCCTGAAGAACGTGCTCAATAAATCAATAAATCATGTGATGCATGACTGAGTGAAGGTCACTCAAAGGTTTCTCAGTTTGCTTGACCAAATATTCAGTTCATTGTATTTGGGGTTCATCAGTGCCCTACTAGACAGAGAAGCTAGCTTCATCTCAATAAGGGCAGTCAGCAAAACCTTTACCTGAGGCACTGTCCCTCTGCCAGCCAAGGCATTACCAGTTGCATATGCAGTAATTGGCATTCAGGTCAGTATTCCTCTGCTACTTCATATTATTCTTTTGTAGAAGTTGGATATAGACAAATTTAACAAATTGGTGGCCACATTATTTTTTAACCAGATATTTATTTCCAGTAATTTTAAAAAGCAAATCTAACACCAGGAGAGAAGTATAAAGAAGTTTCATAATTCAAAAAAATGCAGGATACAGGATTGGTCTTGAAGTCATTTTGCTTATTTTTGATGTTTTGATTTGGGGCTTTTCTTTGTTTCTTTTCTCCACATTAGGATCATTAAAGGAAGATGTAAACCCAGACATGGATTTCTACGATCAGATGGACTAAGGCGCAGGTTAAATAGGATGAAGACATGTGAGTTGGCACAATGTTGTCACAGGCATAGATACATAACCAGGTGTGTTTGGTTTTCAGAAATATCTAACGAGTTAAATCAAGATCATCCAAGGCGTTTGTTGCTTCAAGCATCCAAGTTGCTACTGTGCACATCTGGGACCACAGTGGGACCCCAGAATTAAGAATCACTGTTCCAAAGCCTAAAATCACAAAGGCAATGACTATATGAAAAGATAAAGCAAAAAATGCCCACCAACATGCCTATTATCTACCACAAAACAAACCTAATTTATAAGCATCTTGTTGAAGCTGCGTAGGAGGAAAAGCCTGAAAAAATTCAAGTGCACAAGAGATGGTAAATGGAAATTAATTGCACAGCATCCATTATGGCTAATTTAAGAACTGCAGATTGTCACTAATACTTATTATTTATTGTATTATCTTTAGTATTTCTTCCAGTGAACATCAAAAAAGGGGGAGGTTTTCATATGTTCACCTGCTAACCCTGTTTTTTCCATTGGACCTTAAATTCTTCCTATAGGAAGCCTCAAACTTAGGATATTTTAAGGGATTGCTATGGTTTACATATTTGTCCCCTCCAAAACTCATGTTGAAATTTAATACCCTACGTGGCAGTTTTGAGACGTGGAGCCTTTAAGAGGTGATTGGATCATAAAGGTTTTCTGTCCTTACTAATGTATCAAATCCACTCATGGATTCATGGATTAAATGGTTAATGGATTAATGGATTATTATGGGCGCAGAAGAGGAAGAGGGATCTGAGCATAGCATGTTGGTGTGCTCAGTCCCCCTTGCCATGTGATACCCTGTGCCACCTTGGGACTCTGCTTAGGGTCCCCACCAGCAAGAAGACACTCACCAGATGTACCCCCTTGACCTTGGACTTCCCAGCTTCCAGAACTATGAGAAATGAATCCTGTTTCTTATAAATAGCCCAGTTTCATGTATTCTGCTACAAGCAACAGATAATGAACTAAAACAGGAACCTAAACCTAGATATCTGGGGAGGATTATTATATTTAGGAGAAGGAAGATAACCTTCAAGTTATCGTGAGGAAAACAATCTTGGGAGTAAATATACTTAGAAATATCCTATATCCTGGTCTAGCTGAAAGAGCCTAAACAGCCAAGAGCTTCATCAGCATTGGTAACAACATCAGTATATCTGGGAACATTGCATTGCCCAGTAAGTATCGTATCACATGAACATTCCTTAGAACTCAACTGATGGGACGGGCCCTCAAACATCTAAATGCTAGATGTGATCAACGCAGAACAAGGGCAACTTGCTGCTGCAACAACCCTTTGAGACAATGGACCACATAAGAGACCAGGCTGTAATAACCAATGGTGCCTTAGAGTCCGTTCACCCATGCAGGAACTGTACTGAGGAAAGGACAAGAGGGACTGATCCTGTTCACCCAGAGGAGAGACATTTAGCTCCCAGAAAAAAATGAAAACAATAAGTAGTCAGGCTGTGCAAGGAGTTGGCAGATGTTCAAAGCACTTGGTTGGTCTGTGCTTTTACCCCCAGCTCAAGACACCTGTGCTGCATGCCTTCACCCACAGGCAGAGTTAATTCCTACCAAAGTCTTCGGATTGCATTGCATTTTACAGCTTGCCAAGTTCTTCCACAGCTCTTGTCTCCTTGATCCTTGCTCTACCCTGCGAGGAATGCAACGCAGGTATTGTTACCCCTGTTTTAGTCCACTGGGGCTCCTATAAAAGAATATCATACCCTGGGTGGCTTATGCATACCCATCACTTCTTTCTCACAGCTCTGGAGGCTGGAAAGTCCAATACCAAGGCACTGGCAGATTCAGCATCTGATGAGAGCCTGCTTCCTTGTTCATAACTAGTGCTTTCTCACTGTGTCCTCATGTGATGTAATGAGGAGAGAGAGTTCTCTGAGGTCCCTTTTATAAGGATACTAATCCATTCATGAGGGCTCTTCCCATGACATAACCACCTCCTGAATGCCCGACATCCAAATACCCTCACACTGGGGGTGGTTAAAATTTTATATGAATCCTACGATTTATATGAATTTGGTATGTGTAGGGGTGAATAGCATTCAGTTCCATAGTATCCCCTCTATTAATTTCCTGTTGCTGCTCTTACAAATCATCCCAGACTTGGTGATTTAAACAATATAACTTTATTATCTTACCTATCTGCAAGTCAGAAGCCCAAAATGAGTCTCACTGGCTAAAATCCAGGTGTCTGCAGGGCTGTTTTCCTTTCTGGAGGCTCTAGGGGAGTGATATGGTTTGTCTCCATGCCCCATCCAAATCTCATCTCAAATTGTAATCCCCACGTGTTCATGGAGGAACCTGGTGGGAGGTGATTGGATCATGGAGGCAGTTTCTCCCATGCTGTTCTCGTGACAGTGAGTTCGTTCTCACAAGATCTGATGGTTTTAAAAGTGTGGCACTTCCTCCCTCTCTCTCTCTTCTGCCACCATGTAAGATGTGCCTTGCTTCCCCTTCACCTTCCACCATCATTGTAAGTTCCCTGAAGCCTCCTCAGCCATGTGGAACTGTGAGTCAGTTAAACATTTTTGCTTTATAAATTACTCAGTAATTTATAAATTACTGGTAGTTTTTTATAGCCATGTGAAAACAGACTAATATTGGGAGGATCTGTTTTCTTTGCCTTTTGCAGCTTCCAAAGGCTGCTCACTTTCCTTGGCTCCTGGCCCCTTCCATCTTCAAAGCCAGCAGCAGCTAGTCCAGCCTTTGTCATACCACATCACTCTGGTTCTTCTTCCTCCCTCTTTCCCATTCTCTAGATTACAATGGCCGACCTGATAATCCAGGGTACTCTCCTTATTTTAAGATCAGCTGATTAGCATTCTTAATTCAATCTAGAACTTTAATTCCCTCTTGCCATATAACTGAACATATTTACAAATTCTGGGGAGCGGGGCATTGCAGGGAGGTGGTTATTCTGCCTATCACACCCATTCTACAGGAAAAGTAATGCCAGGGCTCAGTGACTTGCTACTCAGTGGCAAGCAGCTACTTATTGACAATTGGCTACTCAGTAACAATTGATTACTAAGTATTAAGACAGGTTCAAATTCAGAACTCTCCCTCCCAAGTTGAGTGTTTTATTCTTCTTGCTGTACTCTGTATTGGTGACATAGCAAAGGAGACAGAGGGCACAGCAAGGCAATGACAAAGAATTAGTGCAAACAAAGGCAGAAAAGAACCAAATAGAAAGCAGGAGGAAAAATGAGATTTTTTTCTTTTTTTAACCTAACAGGTCTTCTCCGTGGGTGTTCTCTCATCCTGCTCTACCCACCATCATCCTACTTTTATGGGATCATCCCTTCGGCTGCAAATTTGACCCCATTATCTCAAAACAAAAGAGCTTGTGATCATAGGCGTTTGGGTTTTTTAGGGTGTTTTGGTTGTTTGGTTTTGCTTCCCTTCTCAACGTGACGCAGAAGAGGAGGGGACCAAGGTAGCAATTTTGCCAGGCAGGTAGTCTCTGTAATGATCCATCATCCCATGCCAGGTGGTCCCCAGACAGGCAGGGAAAAGAAAAACACAATAACAGTAATAAACAGAGAAAAGGGTCTTCCAGATAACTACATAATGAGGAGCCCCAGCTGCCTCAGCCAGAGAGGGTGGGAAGAGGTAGGAGAGGAAGGACTGAAGAGGTAAGAAACAGAGGAGCCCAAATGTGATGGTTTTGTATTTTGTCCCAGTGACAGGTCTGAGTGTGTGTGTGTGTGTGTGTGTGTGTTTTCTTTCCTTATTGCAGAAAGAAAGAAAACAATACCACACAAACCCTCGCAAACTTTTTGTTGTTATTAAGGACAGAACAGCACATTTGTCAAAAGGTCCAACTGCCACTTCTGATTTCAAAGCTCCACAAAGGATCCACCCCTATGGTGATTTAGATTAATCGCTTCTCATTAAGAGCCAATAAACAAACCGCATTCAGAAGGCTCCTTTCTGCCACAGCCCACTGTTGCCATTTATAATTGCTGAAAGGGAAAGCAGAGGAACACCAGAGAGTTGTCAAGTGTAATTTATAGGTTTTTAAGATCGAATCATTTTCTATAATATTAGATTAAATGACAGTCTATATTAAAGAGGAAATTACATTTCACCTTGCTTTCTTCACTTCCCGCACTCAGCCCATTTTGAGCTAGGGTTTTAGAAATACTCTAATCCCAAAGCAAAGGGCCAGAAAATGTCCTGAATGATGTACCTGAGAAGGATCACCCAATGAATGTCCATGCACCCAGCATTCTGTCCAGAGAAGGTGGACAAGAGATAATTGAGAATATTCTCTTAGCAGAGCCAAATTATCTAGGAACCCCTCAGGGCACCCTACACTCTTCAACCAGAGCTGTGTCATCGGATCCCAGCCACACTCACTATAGCTCCAGGGTATTCATTTTGGTGTCTGTGGGGGTAACAAAATTACACAGAATAAGTCGGTGGTCTTAATGGAATCTCATCACCTTTGGGTTTAGAATCAAACAGACCTTGCTTTTTCATTTGGTCATTCAGTTACGTGGTCAATCATTCCCTCACATTCATTTATTGAGGCTCTAACTATGGGCTAGATTCTACAGTAAACAGGGAACACACAGATGAGAAAGACACAGTCAAACCCCACCTCCATCATCTATTAACTCCTTGACTTCAAGGCTTCAGTTCTACTCAACTGTAAAATTTAAAAAAAAAAAATCACTTCCACCACCACCACCATGGTGGGTTGAGAGGAGATGATGAGAAGGAGAAATAACATTTGGAAAACTCTTGTCACATATACGTTCAACAAATGTTGGGGCTTTCTTTGCCTTCCATGTCCCATGGTGTTTCCGAACAGTTACTTTCAAATGAGATGAGCGCAAACACAGAGAATCAGTTTGTGTAAGGACAAGAGTCCCTTGGGTTGCACAGCTGAGATGTATGAAGTAAAAACAACAATGTAAAGGCTGATAAACACTGTTGCAGAAGGATGTGACATCCTGAAGAACGAGAAAGGAAGAGTGGGACAGTAATCCATTACTGAGACAAACTTGTCATTTGTAATGTCGGATTATAGAGAGCCAACTCTTTAGTCTGGAGGTCACATAGTTCACTCACTGGTTCCAATAGAATGTTCCAGCCCCATGTCCCCAGAGTGCTTATATTCCTGAAAGGAATCACCTAAATCACAGTTCCCCAAATATCCCACGTTACCATTGTGATGTCATTGCTGCAGTTATTCTTTGTCCTGGAAGGCTCTTTTTTACACTCCATACCCGTAAATCCTATCACTCCCTCAAGGCCATATCCAAATGCCACCACCTCTAAGAAAGCTCTGTGGATTCTTCCTCAGCCCTCTGTAGTACTTTGTAGACCTTAAAATTACCTGCTTAAGTTACAGCAAAACTGTAAGCTCTTTTGTGGCAAGAAGAACTTTTTCTCCTCTTTTTATCCTTCTCAGAGCCCAATTTATTGTCTTTCAGGGAGGGCTCAAAAGATGGACTGCTCTGCTCCATGGTGCCTGCATTTATGAACCCAGCCAGAAGAAGCCCCCAGGTCATCCCTGCAGGAGTCTTGGACGAAGGAAAGGAGTGAAGGCAGAATTTTGAGATTGTTCTTATTCCATTCAGCAATACTCATCTCCACTCTCACTGCATTCATGGGCCAAAGTAAGTTATGGAGCCAAGCCTGTTCTCATTGAGGGTGAGGTATCTAATCCTCCCAAAGGGAGACACCCAGTAGCAGGGAATATTTTGTACAAATAATACAAATTTAACTCCTAAGTATATACCCAAAGGAATGAAAAACAGATAAACAAATATATGTGCATGCCTGTTCATAGCAGCTCTATTCACAAAATGTGGCCAAAACATGTGGAAACAATCTAAATGTTCATTAATGAATGAATGGATAAACTGATTTTGGTAAACACTCAATATTTTCAGCCATATAAAGAAAGGAAGTAGTGATACATGCTACAATATGAAAAAAACTTCGAAAACACTATGGCAGGTAAGAAGCAGCAGAAACAAAAGGTCACATATTGTATGTCTCCATTTATATGAAATATCCAGAATAGGGAAATCTGCAGGAAGAAAATGCCGACGGGTGATTGCCAGAGACTAGGGATATAGGGGAATGGGAAACGACTACTTAATGGTCACAGGGCTTCTTTTGGGGGTGATAAAATGCTCTGGAACTAGATAGTAGTGATTACACCACATTGTGCATGTACTAAATGCCACTAAATTGTTCACTTTAAAAATAGTTAATTTTAGTTAATAGTTAATTATTTAGTTATTTAGTTAATAGTGAATTTTAGTTAATTTTATGTGAATTTCACTTCAAAAAATCTATATAAATAAAAGAACTGGGTCCGGGACTCATTGGTTTCAGCCTTTCTCACTTATCCAGAAAAACTAGGATGATAATGTTAAGTAAAAAATAGCAGTAAGTACAAAACTAACTCCCACCTAGCTTGTTAAGTCTCCTAATGAAATCCCTCTGCTTAATGGAAAATAATAATAACAGTCAATCTAAACAGGTAGCACGGGCCACCACCACCAGGTGAACAGCTACACTGACCCCATAGCCAGCTACTGGCTAGTGAAACTTGTTGCAGGTCTGCTTCCTTTCCGCGATGCCCAGTTCCAGCTCAGGCTGGGTCCTGCTGATGTACATGACAGTTCCAAGTGGACTACTCTTCTCAGAAACAAATCCTATTCTACTTGCCACAAGCTGCTTCTTCCTATTTCTTAACAATTAGTATTATCAACAAGTTTAATTAACAAGCAGAGGCCCCCTCATGCTCAAATGCTATGCCCGAATGCTCTCATTTAAAAAGTTGGTATACAGGCACTTACTATACACAGCTTTATGAAGCATGTGTTATAAAAGTATCTCACCCACCTGGCTTTTTAATACCCTTCAATTCAATCCCATAAAATCCCAGCAATATTTAAGTGCTAAAGGTGGCTTTCACTATGATATTTATTATTGGATAATGAAAAATGGAACAGAGAGCCTTCAAAACTCCAGGCAATGGAGTGAACCATATCTTTTCTAAGCTTTTAATAATAGGACCACAATTTTCTTCCTAGAAATTACACAGATCTCCAGTGTCCCTTTTGAGATTCCCTCTTGGATGCATAAATTTTCTTAAAAATTTTACTTATTTGTAACCAAACCCCCTATCAGTTGAAGGAAAGTCAGTTGGTCAAATATATATATACATATCTGCCTCCTCCATTCAACTGAAACTTTTTAGGACAACCTTGAACTTCCCATGTGACCAAGAGTCCCCCAATTTTCCTGGCCTTGCCCAATACAGACAGCTATTAGCACACACTGGGAATTTACTCCATGTCACTGTTTCCAATGCTGAGTCCCCACTGGGTCCTATGTTAGGTTGCTATTTTACCAGCTAATATGCTTTTGTGTCATTTATTGCTCTGTATGTCTGTGACTGCATCAGACTATGATGTCTCTGAGAACAGTAATTAGCCTGATTTATCTTTTTTATCTCTGGCATCCAGCACAATGTCTGGTACATTGTAGATGTTAATAGATACGTCTAAATGCAGTAATAGTTAACCAACTCTGGGAAAACTATTACAGAGCAGAAAGGGAAGTCTAAGATCATCTTTCTCAACTATCCCAACACACAGTGGAGGACATGTAACAAATGCAGTCCCCTTTCTAAAATCTCATAGGTACCAATGGTATAATTGTTAGCCAATGGTGGCACCTGGAAAATGCCATCAGCACTGTCTGAAGTGCTTGTGAAACATTGCATTTTCCTGGATCCTACCTTAGACATCTTAAATAGGAATTTCTAACTCTGAGAGCAAAGTCCTGAATCTACCTTTTAACAAGCACTCCAATTATTCTAATATATACATGAGGTTGAGCATCACCGTTTTAGAATACCTACAGCAAGGACATCATTTTTCTTGCTTCCAGTTCCTTGCAGAATGGAGGAAACTGCCAGTGCCTGGTAGCCCCCCATCAAGGGTATGGCCACAGAGAGTGTGGAAGACTCACAGTATACAAAATGGAATATGTAATTCAGCAGAGCCTTCACCATGATGGGTCAGTTCCTTAGACCCAGTGAGAAGTTAAACACTGCAGAAGAAAACTATGTGGCATTGAGGCAGAACTAATCATTTAGGAATTGGGACATTATTTGGTTAGCTATCCTCCTCTGAATAATCTTTGATTCCCCACTGCTCTGTCAGAGAGTGGGGTTTCCAATTATTCTTATTGTAACTTCACTACACAATAAGCCCCAGAAGGTGCGTGTCTTTTCCTCTGAAGAGCCTATGTTTTAGGCTTTCTAAACACTACCTGTTTGCTCAAAACATGGTTGAGAAATAATTAGCATCAACTGTGGAGCAATGAGCTGCTGCTTTCAGGTTCTACATATAGTTTCTGAAATAGAAAATAGCAAGAAATTAGCCATCTCTTTCCTAATTAATGGGCAACAATTCCCATTCCTGTTAATTTATAACATGTTAACACAACTCTAGCTACTCCCTTGCTGTTGTGCCTAGCTTAAGGTGACATCAAAGGGAAACAAAAACATTTGTTGTCTGTGTGTGCATGCATTTAGGCTGGAGGAGCAGGGATATAGAAAGGAAAAGTGGACTTTTATCAGAAAAGAGTAAGCACAGCTCTCAATTTGGTCACAAGGCAGAAAATGGAAGAACTTTCATTTGTTCCTGTACATGGGTGAACAAAAACCCCAAGAATCTTGGACACTGAGACTAAGAAAAGCCAATATAAGACTACAGAGAGAAAATACATAATTTCGAGTAATGCGTTTCAAACTTTAATATGCTCATGAATCACCAAATATCTTACTAAAATACAAATTCTGATTCAGTAGGTATGTAGAAGAGTGTGAGATTCTACACTTCTAACACGCTTAGAAGTTAAGCCAATGCTGCTGGTCTGTGGACCAGACTTTGAGTAGCAAGGGCTCAGGGTAAGGAAGGACTATTAGGAACAGCTGGTGTCATGCTGTGATTTTTTTTTTTTTTTTTTTTTTTTTTTTTTTTCAAACATTCATGTGCACCAGAATCACCTGGAGAGTGTGCTTAACCACAGATTTGGGTCCGACAAAGAGTGTCCAATTTAGGAAATCTAGAAGGAGCCTGAGCATGTGCATTTCTAATAAGCTCTCAGGTGATGTCAATGCTACTGGTCCAAGAACCACACTTGAAAACCACTGGTGTAGGAGACGGACACTAGATTTGGAATCGGGGGAACGATTCAAATTGCCGTGCTGGTGCTAACTTGCTTAGTGACTTTGGCAAGCCCCTTCATATCACTAGACATAAATGGGGATAATGGTATCTATTGGTGGGTTCACTGGTTTTGGTAA
The DNA here is from genome assembly GCF_000001405.40 of Homo sapiens. Classification (NCBI taxonomy): domain Eukaryota; kingdom Metazoa; phylum Chordata; class Mammalia; order Primates; family Hominidae; genus Homo; species Homo sapiens. Next base: position 104,951,929 of record NC_000010.11, on the reverse strand, counting down.
GGGTTAAATGAGATAATGTATATGACATACATAGCACAATTTGCTAAGCCCACAAAAGTGGACACTATTGAACTCCCTTCCTATGGTTAAGATTAGCCAGATGGAGAATGGCTGAATTATAAGAATATCCTGGGATGTGACTTCTCTATAAAAGACTTCACATCAAAAGCCAGTTTTCTCCAGGGTTCAAAATAATCATGAAACTGCATTGGGCCTCTTTGTCTTGCCACCTGTGATCTACCTCTGACATACAGACTGTTATGTAATCCTAACAGGTTGGTTTGTATTTAACCATGGTGGCTCACACCTGTAATCCCGGTAGTTTGGGAGGTTGAGGTGAGAGGACTGCTTGAGGTCAGGAGTTTGAGACCAGGCTGGGCAACATAGCGAGACCCTCATCTCTAAAAACAAAAACAAAAACAAAAAAAATAAAAATTCACTGGGCATGGTGGCATGTGCCTGTAGTCCCAGCTACTGATCCTTTCTTAAGGATCACTTGGGCCCAGGAGCTAGAGGTTATAGTGAGCTATAATCACACCACTGTACTCCAGCCTGGGCAACAGAGCAAGACACTGACCCTAAGAAAAAAATAAAAATAAATTTTAAAAAATCAAGTCTTATACCAAGCAAGGCAGTGTTGAAGGTGTGACTGGAACTGGATATTAAGCAAGATGATTTCTGTCCTCAAGAAATTTACAGTCTAATAGAGAAGAAAAAATTCAGTCCAAAAGAACATGCATTAAAGGGCCTGTTATGTGCTAGAAACTTATAGGGAACATATAAGATAGAAAATATGGTAAGAAGCACTAGTGAAGACTAAGAAGGAAATTATCCATAAATAGTAAAAATAACCAGAAAATTAAAAATATTGCCAGTGCCTCCTATAGATGTCTAAAAGGGTCTGTATAGGAATAATTATTCCTCTGTAGATGTGCAGGTCAAAAAGTAGCCTTACTTCAAAACAACAATCAATTAAATATGCTCCTGCTAATAAAATCACTTTGCTGAAATAATTTATATTTAGAGGCCAGCCTCTTAGTTAGAGAGTACTGAGGAAACAGCCATTTGTATATAAGCTTGTGTGTTTCAATGTTCTTGTGTATAGGAATCAACCGGAATCTTCGTTGAACATTCAAAATCTTGGCCACATTCTCCAGAGATGCTGATTCTGAAGTTCTGAGATTAGACTAGAAACCTACTCCTCCCTTCCTTTTTAAGACAGAATTTCCCCGGGTCTGAGTCAGGTGAAAGTGTGGCTTTTCCCCAAGCCACTTGTGCTAGCCCTTCTATTCAAATGAAATTTTCCAGTAGATTTTCTCCAAAACCAACTTATAAAATATTTTTGTAACTAAACCAGATCTATAAAAACAGCCTTAAAATTATAATCGCAATCATACTAATACTCCTTCCACTTGCTATGTGCCAAGCTGTAAACTAAGAAATCTTATTTACACGCAATGCTTCCTTTAACTTTCCCATGGACCCTATGAATTAGGACTTTTTATTAACCACAATTTTCAGAGAAAAGTCCGGTGAGATTAAGCAACATACCCTAGATTATACGGTCACATCATATAATAGTAAGTAATGTTGCAGGAACTAGCATCCAACCTTTCTAACCCCCAAACTTACTGACCTAAAATTAGCTATTTTTTGTCCAAACAGGCAATAGGCAGTATCTCATTGGTTGTGGGTAGTGATCACACATGGCTTTATTTCTGAGGGTAACATTTTGAAAAGGATCTTGAGTGAAGTAAAGGATTAAGAGGAGAGCAGAGGCATAAAGATGGGGAAGCTCAGAAGAGGCCTGTTTGCTCTTCTTGCTGCTGTTTCTTTTTGCACAACCTCATCTTATCTCTTATTGTCCTGACTTCTACCTCTGCATCTCAGATCAATGCTGCCCATGATTCACCTGACAACTTACAGGTAGACTTATGCAGCTTAAGCCAAAACTGATTACAAATTAAACTTATTGTAAATCAAATCTTATTACTCTCTTAACTCATTACCATTTCACTTTAAATTGATATTCAATGTGCAATCTAAAGTTTCCCTTCTCTCAGTCATCTGCCAAGTGGCTAATAATCTGCAACTGAACAGTAAAATACACTAAGGAAATAAATTCACCATTTTCCCCACCTTTCCTTCCTTTATGCACACAGAAACTCAAAGCATACATATTTTCTATATCAAAACGTTTATGTAGTGGGTTTTCTTAAAAGGAACACTAACTTAAGCATGCACTTGGTTCTACTCAAATGACCACAATGAACAAAGATGCAAAACCTACCTAGTCTAAGCCAGACTGCTGCTGTAAGATTCTCCTTATAACCTATCTTGTCTTAAGAAAAATAGAATGTATTTATGAAATGCTACAAGGGGTTCCAAAGAGGGCATGAAATTTCTTAAGAAGTAGAAGAGGGAAGTTACATTTAACTTCTTTTCTTAGTACTACACACTTTGAACCCCTAAGAGAATGCCTTCTCTGTTAAAGTGTTTCACTCTCTTACTGGGAAAAAATAATTCAGTTCATCTATCATTCTCTTGAACAGCCAATTTAAACTGAAAGCCTGACTGCCCAGACTCAAGCTACATTCAAAACTATTTCTCTTTCCCCATGGCATATAGGCAAAAGTTCCTTCCACCACTCATGTCTCCTCACTGATGCTCAAACACAAACATAGTATCTGTGGGAAACATAGCAATTTAAAGACAAAGCAAACATAGCAATTTTAAATAAAACCAACTCTCAATTTTCTGCCTCTGGAGTGGGGTGGTGATTATGTGTGCTGATGGGACCTATTGATTTTTTTAAGCATGAAAAAAAAAATTGTGGTTATTGCCAAAGCTTGGTCATTCATACAATGGAGAAGACCTGGATGGATGTGTGATCCCAAATGATGACTAATCAAAGCATGTTTTCTACATATTCTGGATGGTGGACTTTTCTGCAACAAATTGGCTTGAATTGGCTTGGGCTACTGTAGCATTAATTTGTATTCCTTGACAAAATAAGTAACATTTAGTGGGTAGCTGGGCGGAATGAGGGTAATGGCAAAAGGAACTGGGAGAACAGTGACCTATAATAAAATACTTCCCATGGAGACCTCACTGTGAATAATCAATGCTGGAATAAAAAAGGGCATCCTGGATGTGGAGTAATCTGACCTGTTTGATAACCCCTGAGAAAAGGCACATCAAATCTTCACTCCTTCAGATCCGCAGTAATCTTCCTCTTGCAGAGGTTCCTTCCCTTTAAAGCACTTCTGTTCAACCCATGAGGCATGTTAGGGTCAAAGTAAAAGAAGACATGGGCAGACATCGAACCGGAAAGTTAATGCCATGAGGGCAGAGCTATATCAAGGTTTAGCTACTATCTTTCCAGGGCCTGGTATCCATAAAATGCTGTGAATCAAATTAATTCATTTGCAAACTCAGTTCCCAGCTGAACCATCTCTGTCTTGATAAATTCCTCATTCTATTCCACTTACCTCCACACTGAGAGTCCTTGCCCATTTTTCTAAAATCTGGCTTCTAAGCCCCTTTATGTTGACTTTTTTCCATGATGCATCAACATCTGATTTTACTGGTAATGACCCACTAATTTGGCAAAGCCCTTATTTCCATGCTTTGCACACTACCCTTTGCAACTTCTGTCTGGCACAGCATAACCCCGTGGACAGACTTATACAGGTGAGGTCAAGCATAGGTAATGCTCCCTAGGAAATAAGCAGGGCTCAGGGGCACTTAAGACAGGACCAGGCAGGGATTGGTGTCCAGGGAACCTGAATCAGGCAGAAGAGGTGGACAATATGCAGTTGGAAAAAGCATGATAGTTGTCTATGTGTTATTTGTTCCTCAATCCCAAAACGACTCTTAGCCTGTTGCCAGTCAACTTATAAGGAGTACATTCTCATTAATTTTTACAATGACAAAAATAGTGCTGGCATCCAGACAAAAGGAGTTTTGTTTTTTGAGTACCTATGCCCAAGTTCTTTAAAAACTGTAACATCTAGGCTGGGCACAGTGGCTCACACCTATAATCCCAGCACTTTGGGAGGCCGAGGCAGGAGGATCACTTGAGGTCAAGACCAGTCCAGCCAACATGGTGAAACCCTGACTCTACTAAAAATACAAAAATTAGCCAGGCATGGTGCCACGTGCCTGCAGTCCCAGCTACTCGGGAGGCTGAGGCAGGAGAACAGCTTGAACCTGGGAGGCAGAGATTGCACTGAGCCAAGATTGCGCCACTGCACTCCAGCCTCGGTGACACAGAAAGACTGCATCTCAAAACAACAACAACAAAACAAACAAACAAAAAATACAACATCCAGTGCTAGGTCATGAAGCAGGCCCTTGTAAGTACTGCCATTCTCTGAGCCTGCGCGGATGATGTATCACTGCAGCACCGGTCAGCCTCGCAGCCCGTGAAAGGACCCCGCCTCCGTGTTCAGAGAGCCTTTGTGCTTTTGAATTTATTGTGCCTCCCCCAAGAGGAAAGAGAATGAAGCTCTTCTAAATCCCAACATTTCCTAAGCCTCCCTCTGCCAGAGTTGGAGGATAGGTTTCTAGTGTTATCAGCCCTTCTTTCTGATACCCAGAGAGAGGAGAAATTTCCCCTCAATCCGCAAAAACTACAGAATGCATGGACCCTGCTTTCACTGCCATAGAAGCTTTTTTTAAAAAATGTGAACGTCTACCAACAGAGCCCTTCCTTGGCCAATCACATTCCCTCCTGGAAGGAGAAATGGAAGAGCTCTTTATAAGTGACTCAAAGAAAAATTGATGGAGCAGTGAGGATAAGGGTAGCACATTAGGCCACATATCGGTGCGGATTTGTACAAGTCATCCCCTGCTTTTCCTAGAACGTGAGCTGCCATCTACTCTCTCAATCTTCCATGCCAGGGACCGCAGACAATCTCAGGCTACCACCTCCCAGAGGTAAGTTGAACCTCAGCACAGTTTCATCCATCCTGCTGTCCCCATTCCTGCTACATCTGCCCTCCCATATCACCACACCAAATGACCTCAGAGTTCAGAGGGAGCAAGGCCTTCTATTCCTCTAGGACTTAGAAATTCCACTAAAGAAACATAAACCTATTAATTCCATATAAAAAGAAGCATGCTCTGATGCCTCTGCTCCCTTGGGCCACATGTGATGGGTTCTTAGGCAGAAGAAGAGGAGAAAGATAATGTTCAGTTAACTTCATACCCACAGGGAGGTGGGGAGAGGCACAGAAATGAGACTCTGAGACATGGAAATACGCTCTGCCAGTGGAAGCAGCTTCTGGTTTTGTTTGAAACCATGGAATCAGCAAGACTACCAACCTACGGGCAACTTCATGTCAAAGCAGGAGATGGGTTTTATTGTTTACAAAGAGTTTTGTGTGCCCTGCCTCCTCATGAAAGCTCCTGTGATGGTCTGACTACGACAAAGTGCTTATCGAACAATTTTGTCTTCTGCTGATAGCAGGGAAATAGGCTAGCTCCAGCACACCCACACACAGCATGCAGAGAGAAAGAGAGAAAGGACATGAGCCAGGCAGAAGGCAATCTGCTGGGACTCACTGACCCAACTGGGACAACAGCAGAGGAGGAGGGTGCAGAGGGGTCCCAAAGGAAATGACAGGAGACTAAGCACCAAAGCAGAAACAAGAACAGCCGTCCTGTATTTGCAACTCTTTATTCTCAACCCCCACAGGTGTCTTAAACAGCCTTACATCCCCTCCTTATCTAGTAGTCATAGCTGTCATCACCACCACCTGTCATTTATTGTGCATACTCGATGTGCCAGACACTGCACTAAGCACTTTCATTGATTATCTCATTTGATACTCAACAGTACCCTACCAGAGTCAGAATTAATATTATCCCCATTTTACAGATATGGAAACTGACATTTCCAGAACTCAACCAAAATAACACCATTAATAAGAGGTGGAGCCAGGACTAGAACTCAGGTCTTCCTGAAGCCAGGGTGCCAGCTCTTAAAATCATATCAAATGTCTTAAAAATAACAGCCGCCTGAGTCCAAGCCCATGCCCACAGCACCTGGAAGTGTTAACTAAGCCATCTCAGCTTCTCCAGTGTGACTCAAGGCAAAATATGTGATGGAGCAAACACAGTTTAAAAAAAAAAAAAGTTGGTATTGTGTATGTGTGTGCATGCTTAATTTTGTGAAAAAGTGTATCCCGGTGAATTGAGGTGCCTCCTCCTTAACATAACAAAATAGTTTAAAGTAAACCTTGCATTAAAGTCAACATGCATAGGTTCAAAAATCATAATGGTACAGCTTGATAAACTTTCAAAGATGAGTGAGTGTGCCTATGTATTCACTTCCATGATTAAAAAAAAAAAAAAAAAGAACATTAGGCTGGGCACAGTGGTTCACATCTGTAATTCCAGCACTTTGGGAGGCTGAGGCAGGTGGATCACTCGAAGTCAGGAGTTCGAGACCAGCCTGGCCAACATGGTGAAAACTCATCTCTACTAAAAATACAAAAAATTAGCTAGGGGTGGTGGTGCACTCCTATAATCCCAGCTACTCAGGAGGCTGAGGCAGGAGAATCACTTAAACCCAGGAGGTGGAGGTTGCAGTGAGCCTGAGCCGAGATCATGCAACTGCACTCCAGCCTGACAGAGCGAGACTCCATCTCAAAACAAAAACAAAACAAAACAAAACAAAACAAAACAGAAAATTAGCAACACCTCAGAAACCCTCCTTGTATGTCCTCTCTCCCAAAAGTAACCACAATGCTCTTCTATTTAACATTGATTAGTTCTATTTTTAAATGTTATATAAACGGGGTCATACGATATGTATTCTTTTTTATCTCAACACTCTATGACGTTTTATGGCTCAATACTCTATGAGATTAATCCATGTTGTTGCTTGCTTATAGCAGTAATTCATTCAATCTCATTACTGTATGGTATTACATTGGATGAATTATTCCACAATTATTAGTCCATTTTGCTGTTGACAAATATGTGAGTTGGTTCCAGATTGTGGCTTTTATTGCTATGACCTTTCTTGTACATGTCTTTTGGCTCACATACATATGTAGTTCTGTATGATATTATACCTAAGAGTACAATTGCTGGGTCACAGGGTGTGTATATATTCAGCTTTAGGAGACACTGCCGGTTTTCTAAAGTGGTTATAACAAGTTACATCTTCTCAGTACTGCATGAAAGTTCCAGTTGCCTCACCTTCTTGCCAACACTTGATATTATCTTTTCATTTTAGCTAATATGTTGGTTATAAAAAGATATCTCAAGTAGTATAATTTTGTATTTCCTGATGACAAAGGAAATTGAGCTAGTTTTCAAATGTTTATTGCTCATTAAGATACCTTCTGTGGTGAAATGTCTGTTAAGTCTTCTGCCCATTTTTTTAAGTCGTCAGTCTTTCTCTTAATGATTTATAGGCATTATTTATGTAGTCTAGATATGAGTACTCTGCCAGATACAGACACTGCAACCATCTTCTCTTATTAAATGCTATGACTTTCACTCTTATATAATGCTTTTCTTAAATAATTCTTTATTTCATTTAAGTCCAACATATCAATCTTTTCTTCTATAGTCAAAATTTTTTAGAAGCCTATATAAGAAATCTTTGCCCATACAGAAGTCATGAAGATAATATCTTATGCTTTTCTTGAAAAGTTTTATGGTTTTAAGTTTAATAGTCATATCTGCAATCCAGAAGAAATGTTTTTTGTCGAAGTAAGAGGAGTCAAGATTATTATTTTTTAATATTAGGATATTTAATAGACCTAGTTATATTTTTTAAAAGACCACATTTTCATCACTGCATTTCAGTGTTACCCTTTGTTATAAATCAAGCAACCAAACATAGCTGGGTGTGGTGGCATGCACTTGGGAGGCTGAGGTGGGAGGACTGCTTGATCCTGTGAGGTTGAGATTGCAGTGAGCTATGACCATGCCACTTCACTCCACCCTAGGCAACAGAGCAAGACCCCATCTCAAAAGAAAAGCAAAAAACTCAAGCAACTGTATATATATGGATCTACTCCTGGACTTTTATTCTGTCCTATTGGTCTATTTTTCTATCTTTGCGCTAATACCAGACTTTCTTAATTACTGCAGCTTTAAATAAGTCTTATGTCTAGTAATATCTCCAACTTTTTTTTCCAAGATTCTCTTACCTATTCTTCACCCTTTAAATTTGTTTATAAATTTTAGAATCAGCTTGTTAAATTCCACAGAAAAAGTCCATTAGAATTTCCATTGAGATTGTTTTGAATCAATAGATGAGAGTGGGGGGAAATAAGGATGTTTATAAAATTAATTCTATAAACCATAAACTTGGTTTTCTCTTTACTTAGGCCACCTTGAAATGTTTTCAAGAATTTTTTTAGTCTTCTATATTGAGTCTCCACTCAGCATTCATGACTTGATTCATTGTATTACTATATTATTAACATATTTATCACATATTACTTGATGCTATTATACATAGAACTCTTTTTACATTTGGCCGGGCACAGTGGCTTATGCCTGTAATCATAGCACTTTGGGAGACCGAGGCAGGTGGATTGCCTTAGCTCAGGAGTTCGAGACCTGGGCAACATGGTGGAACCCCGTCTCTACTAAAATACAAAACATTAGCTGGGCATGGCAGCATGCACCTGTACTCCCAGCTACTCAGGAGGCTGAGGCAGGAGAATTGCTTGAACTTAAGAGGCGGATGTTGCAGTGAGCCAAGAATGCACCACTGCACTCCAGCCTGGGCAACAGAGCAAAACTCCGTCTCTTAAAAAAAAATATTTTATATTTATTTTCTGTTGCATTGTCTAAAAATAATACTTTTATACATTGACATTATATCCAGTGACCTTGCCATATTCACTTATTAATTCTAAGGGTTTATTTACAGATTCTTTTGAATTTTCCACAGTTGTTATTTCTTTTCCCTCCAATCCTTATACATTTTATTTATTTCTTGCATTTTGCACTGACTAGAACCTCCATTATAATGCTGAATAAAAGAGGTGTTAGTGGGCATCCTTATCTAATCTTAGATTGCTAATCTTAGGAGGGAAACTTTCAAGATTTCATCATTTAGTTTGAGGTTTGCTGTAGGTTTTTGGCTTCTTAAAAACTACACTTTATCTCATTAAGGAAGTTCTCCTCTAGTTGGATAAGAGTTATTATCATGAATGGGTATTGAGTGTTATCAAATACTTGCTCTGCATTGCTTAAGATTATCACATGATTTTCTCCTTTATTATGTAATTGTGGCAAATTACATTTGATTTTTGAATGTTAAAGTGACCTTGCATTCCTAAAATAAACCCAATTTGGTTGTAATATGTTATCTTTATATTTTGTTGGATTTAATTAGCTAATGTCTTAGGGACTTTTGCATCTATGTTCATAAAAAGGATTAATCTGTAATTCTTATTTCTTATAATGTCATTCTCAAGTTTTGTGTCAAAGTGATGCTGCCCTCACAATGAGCTGGAAAGTCTTCTTTCTTCTCCTATTGTCTAACAGAATTTCTGTAAGATCTAGTTTTCCTTAACATTTGAAATAATTCACTGGTGAGGCCATCTGGGCCTGGTGACTTCTTGGTGGGAAGACATTTAATTACGATTCCTTTCATCTGATTAATACTGAACTCTTCAAATTTTCAATATTCCAAAATATTTCAGCAGTTGCTCTAGGAAATGGTAACGTTTGACTCCTAGAAGTCCTGGGAAAATGTGTGAAATGTTTCACTGGTCAGATTCCATCTATGATTCTCCTTCCAGAGCACTGGCCTTTTAAAGTAAGATCTCTTTGATCCTCATACTGTCTAGGCACAACCTCTCCAGTGAATACAAGATATTTTTATCATTTAAAAAGAGAGAATAAAGATAATCCCTGTCCTTATAGCAGGGAGATTTATTGAGAATTTAATACACAGGATAATCTATTAAGACATTAAATTGTGTCTTTTTTTCTCAATACTCCAGACTCATCAGGCTAAAACAAAAGCTAAGTCTCAATTCCCCATATAAGCCCTTCCAGACATCCAGCCAGGCCTTTGTTTCCAAGGCCTGGACTCTTTCCCCTAGTGGGGAGTTGACAGCTTTTTTTTTTACTTTGCTTTGGAGCCAGAGCAAGAAGAGAAAGAGGCTTATTCCTGGAAGCCAATGCCACAGTCATTTTTGCTTCTCTATAATCTAGACCTACCCAGGGAATTAAGCCAGGTTGTCCAAGTTTTGGTGTTCTTGTTGAAAAGAGAAGAGTCCAAATCCTGAAAGTTTTAATTGGATAGTAGTAACGAGAGTGGTAGTTCTCAGCCTGATAAGCAATAGCTGAGTGGCAGAAACTCTAATGGGAGTGCCTGTATAAACTGGGAACAAAGCTGGTGGCCTTGAGAACCCTAAAGAAGATGTGCACAGCCTAACTCAACACAGAGACAGTAAAAACACCTTCAGAGTTAGCCTCCTCTGAAGAGACCACACAAACAAGGGCCAGGTGTAGTGAAGACCATTCCCAAATGAAGTGAAAGACATTTTCTATTCTTCCTTATATTATAAAATCAAGAATTTTTACATGGCCCAAGGGTATCAGAGGTGTGCAAATCACAGCAGCTATATCTTGAATAGGGGCTGAGTAAAATGAGGCCAAGACCTGTTGAGCTGCATCCCAGGAGGTTAGGCATTCTTAGTCACAAAATGAGACAGGAGGTCACAAAGATACAGGTCACAAAGTCCCACTGATAAAGCAGGATGCAATAAAGAAGCTGGTCAAAACCTGCCAAAACCAAGATGTGCCAAAAGTGACCTCTAGTGTACTCACTGCTCAATATTTGCTAATTATAATGCATTAGCATGCTAAGAGACATTCTCACCAGTGCCATGGCAGTTTACAAATGCCATGGCAACACCTGGAAGTTACCCTATATGATCGAAAAGGAAGAGGATAGTTTGAAGTCAGGTAGCATGATGCCTCCAGCTTTTTTCTTTTGGCTTAGGACTGACTGGGCAATGAGGGCTCTTTTTTGGTTCCATATGAACTTTAAAGTAGTTTTTTCCAATTCTGTGAAGAAAGTCATTGGTAGCTTGATGGAGATGGCATTGAATCTATAAATTACCTTGGGCAGTATGGCCGTTTTCATGATATTGATTCTTCTTATCCATGAGCATGGAATGTTCTTCCATTTGTTTGTGTCCTCTTTTATTTCATTGAAAAGACACATGCACACGTATGTTTACTGCGGCACTATTCACAACAGCAAAGACTTGGAACCAATCCAAATGTCCATCAATGATAGAGTGGATTAAGAAAATGTGGCACATATATACCATGGAATACTATGCAGCCATAAAAAGTGATGAATTCATGTCCTTTGTAGGGACATGGATGAAGCTGGAAACCATCATTCTCAGCAAACTATCACAAGGACAAAAAAAGCGAACGCCGCATGTTGTCACTCATAGGTGGGAATTGAACAATGAGAGCACTTGGACACAGGAAGGGGAACATCACACACCGGGGCCTGTTGTGGGGTGGGGGGAGGGGGGAGAGATAGCATTAGGAGATATACCTAATGTAAATGACGAGTTAATGGGTGCGGCACACCAACATGGCACATGTATACATATGTAAGAAACCTGCACATTGTGCACATGTACCCTAGAACTTAAAGTATAATAAAAAAAAAAAAAAAAATATATATATATATATATATATATATATATATATAAAAGAAAAGGAAGAGGAACTCTCGGTTCTGGAAATTTCCTGCCCCTTTCCTGGAAAAGTCATAAATAATCCACCCCTTGTTTAGCATATGATCAAGAGATAACCATAAAAATAGCCAACCAGCAGCCCTTGCTGCTGCTCTGCCTATGGAGTAGCCATTCTTTTGTTTTTTTACTTCCTTAAACTTGCTTTCACTTTACTCTGTGAACTCACCCCAAAATTATTTCTTGCATGACATCCAAGAACCCTCCCTTGGTGTCTGGATCCAGACCCCTTTCCGGTAACAAAGGCATGGGGGAGAGAGCCAAAAAGAATCACTGAGATGAAATAAATCAATAAGTCTAGTGATTACGGGCTCGAGCTCCTGATTTCATTTTTCAATGGAAAGATTGTTTAATATGGCTTATCTTTTACCCACCCGAGTGTTGTGGAGCAAGACAAATCCATGCCCAAATCCCTTCTAGTCTTGCCCTTGGGCTATTTGGACCAGAGTCAGTTTGGAGACCCATCAAGAAATTCATTTTCTGAGTAGGTTTTTGGTGAGGGCAGTTACTTCACGGTCTCAGGGACAGTTTGGCTGGCCTTGACCTCCCTCTTCCCCAGTGGTAATTCCACCCAAAGGATTAAAAATGTCTCTCCAAGCTCCAGTGTTCAGGAGTTTCAGACCCATTTGGACGTTCTCTTAAAAGGACTGTCATAAGAGGAGCCACGGGAATTCACTCTGGAGTGCAGAGAGTACACCTGCTTTGATCGGACATTTTGTGGGTTATTCTGACTTTGTAATTGCTTACTGATTTCAGCTTAGTTGAAATGAATGTCAACCCAGTGCCAGGCACTGTGTTAGGTACCAGTAAGCAGGGACAGATAATGCATGGTTCTGGCCTTGGGGCATTTACGACTTAGCAGGAGACACAAAGACATAAATGGCTGAGCTACAGGAAGATACATGCTAGGGAGGTAAACAAGAGTGCGATGAAAGCATCAAAAAGGGAGTAATCAATTCCACCATAAATGTCTCCTTTACTCCTCCTTCCTCGTCTCCTCCAGCCAGAGGTACTAGACTCTGGATTTTGGCAGAGGGTGCTAGAGGAAGAGTATAACTATCACAGCTGGAAGCCATTAATCCTATAGCAGTGACAGGAGAGGCCAGCAGAATGCTGAACACAGAAGGTGGGTCCAGAATGCAGTAGCCAAGTTCAGGTGCCATCTGGACCAGGAAAGCAGATCTGGGAAGCTGGGATAAAACCTGAAGCAAAAGACCTCTTCATTAGTTAGCCCTCCACAGGCCTCGTCCAGGGAAAGATTGAGAACCATTGACAAGTGGCTGCAATCCAGCTACCCTGGAACTGCCTTCAACACCTGCATCACGGCTTCCCCCGCAAGGCAGCAAGAAAAATGTTGCACTGTGACAGCCTGCAAGACATTATGCCAGGCACTATGATGCATACAAGAATGGGGAAAACTCAGTGCCTGCCATAACAGAACTAGCCATATTTATATAGATGGAAACATTAAAAGATAATATGTTGGTGGAAATGTGGGAGGAAACACTGGGCCAAGGTGATCAGGAAAGGCCCCCTTGGAACTGACTTCTGCACAGGGCCCTGAAGATGGTTAGAATTCAAGTAAGTGGAAAAAAGTTAGGGAGGATCATTTTAAGAGGATACTATGGGCATAAGCACTGGTGCTACTGGGGGAGTGTAAAGGAAACATGGGGAATCTAAATTCAAAAAAGGTCAAAGAGTATGAGTGAGATAAGGCAAGCAAAAATATTGGGTGTACATTACGAAGGAGCTTTAACCCCATGCTGTGGAGTTTGGCCTGAATCCTACAGGCAATGAGAAGTCACTGGCAGATTTTGATCAGAGTAGGAACTGAATAAAAACAAATTCTGTCACATAACACTTCCCCCTGAAAAACATTCCTCCCTGACCAATGAAGGCCATTCACTTGGAAGATGTCAAAGCCCAGCCTCATTCCAGGTTATAAATTTACCAGCTAACTACTGAGAACCACATCAGCTTGAGAAAGTTTGGGTCTCTCTGATGTATTTCTTTCCCAGTCAAAAATTTAAGGCACTAACGACAGTAAAGAAAGAAGCAAGCTGAGGCTGAATGGGCTCGTGATGCATAGGGAGTCCTGGAAGTGCCGAAAACACATTAAACTTCAGCAAAATCAAAGGGTAATACCAGAGTCCAAACTCTGTCAATCTGTCATCCTTCACCAGGTCAAGCGTCTACTACTTGGCTGGCTTCCATCTCCACTGGCACCTGCATCCAAACCACTGTGCACTGCTGTGCCTTGTAATTAAAGGTAAAAGCACACACATGCACTGCCAGAGGAGAGAGGCCAAACATGTGGGGAAGCATCATTTGGAAGTGCCCATTAGTGTGGCAAGGTCCATAAAGCAATGGCATTCTGCCACCACTTTGCTGAGTGACCTTCAACAAGCTCCCTTGAGGTGAGCAAGAATTGACTCACTCATTCTTTTTGTATTGACTCAGCCATGGGGAATGAGGCATCTGGCTGGAGTGGGGAAGGGTTGCCCTTCCAAGACCCGAACTTACTTTGCTCTAGACTGAAGGAAAACGTATCATATGCACCATCCTTCTTGACTCAGATATTTAATGTTGTTTTGCCTCGTGGTAAGCGAAAGTAATGTGAGCTTTCGGCCATGATGAAAGAGAACTTAAACTGACTTGAAAACACTTATTCTATGTTAGTTATCTTTTAAAATAAAACTTAGATTTTATAGTGAACTCTCCTAATGAATTTATATATTTGGCATCCTGGCATTCAAATTAACACCTACATTTTCTAGAATCTGCTTAATTTCTAAAGTGAAGTCCAATTGCAATGGGAATGCATAAAAACCATTGATCCACGTGGCAAACTCTAACTTACCTTTTGAAGCAAGGGTCCTCAACCCCTATACTGGTCAGTGGCCTGTTAGGAACTGGGCTGCACAGCAGGAGGTGAGTGGACGGCAGGCCAACATTACTGCCTGAGCTCCGCCTCCTGTCAGATCATCAGGCATTAGGTTCTCATAGGAGCATGAACCCTCCTGTGAACTGCACATACAAGGGATCTAGGTTGCACACTTATGAGAATCTAACTAATGCCTGATGATCTGAGATAGAACAGTTTCATCTGAAATCACCCCCTGTGCCCCCATCTGTGGAAAAATTGTCTTTCACAAAACTGGTCCCTGGTACCAAAAAGGTTGGGGACCACTGTTTTGAAGCCTAGTCAAATGTGACCTCTGCCACATCTTCCTCTAAACATTCATGGTAGATTAATCAGTCCCTCCTTTGTGTTACCAAAGCACTTGATAGATTATGTTTCCTTGGACAGAGACCAAGTCTGTTCATTTGGTGATCCCTGTACCTGGCACCATGTTGATCACTGAGAAAGTTTTCAAAAACTGTTTGCTGAATTGATAGCAGTCTGGGTTTACTTGCATTTGATCCTATGTTCAACAACAAGAATCCCAAACAGCTTTTATTGTTAAATTCGTCTTTGTTTGCCAAGGAGACTTATCTGTGCTCTTAAGCTCAAGACTGTTTCCTAACATCCCGACACATAAATCCAACAGCTTAACAGCCTTTTCCCCTGGATGTCCCATAGTATCAAACTCAGCATGCCCAAATCGAACTGATTATCATTCACCAACCTGTCTCTCTGCAGTCCATCTATGTTTTGTTAATATGCCCAGTTCCCCAGCTCTCATTCATTTACCCAGCCACTCAAGTTGAAATCCTCGGAACCCCACCTTAAAATTTTCTTTTCTTATCCCAACATCCAAACACTAATTTGGGTTGATCCCACTTTTCTAGCATTTTCACAGCTGGCCCCTCCATACCTTCCTTCTACACTATAGGAGTCCAGGTCCTTGTCATCTCTTCCCTACAACACAATGTTAGCCATTTTTTTTTCTTGCTCCATTTCAGATATACAGTTCTATAACCTGTCTTTTTAAACATACATATAATGAATAGCTTTCCATATCAATACACATAATCTTTAATCATTCTATCATGTTCCATCATATGAATGTATAATAGATTAATTTACTGGTAAAACTGTCATGATTAGGCCTTCAGGTGGCAAAAAATATTTTTTGCTTTTGCAAAGCAATGTCATACTGGACTCTATCAGTCTTACCTTTCCCTTAAATCCAGCCTTCGCCCTGTTTCCCAAGGGACTTTCTAGGACACAGACCTGATGCAATGACTCCTCTCAAGAAACAAAATCTCAACTCCTGAGCCCTGTACTGAGCCCAACACCTTTGCTCACATGGTCCCTAACCACTTTCCCTCCTCCTCTGCCACCACATCACAGGTGCTTTCACTCCACCCAAACCAAGCCTTTTGCAGCTTCCTGAACACACCTTACCTTCTCACAACTCTATGCTACAGCATGTGCTATTTCCTCTGCCCAGAAAACCCTCCCCAACCCACCCCACCATTAGTCCTCAGCAAACCTCTACTGATGTGTTGCCTCTGCTTCAATATAGCTTCCTTCTGAGCTTCCTAGACCTGCCGGGCAGAATCAGTGCCTCTTTCCTCTTGTGACTTGCAATGCTTATCACTCTCCTGGGAATGACTCCAGAAAAGCAAAGACCAGGGACACAAAAGACACTAAATAAAATTTGATGGATGAATGAATTTTTTTCACTCCAACTAGACCCATGGTTCTTGATGCTGGAAGTACAATAGAATTACCTCAAAAGCTTTATAAATTGCCAACCCTGGACCCCACCCTAGATGTATTTAAACATCTCCTTGGCTGAGGCCTGAGCATGGGTATGTTTTAAAGCTCCTCCAGGTAATCCTAAAGAGCAGCCAGAGTTGAGATCTAATGAAACAGACTCCAAATCTGCTGAAAGCAGTGATACATGCTTTCTAGAACTCAATAGAGTTCAGTGGGTCAGAGCCTGAAATCCTGAGTCAATCAAATCTGAGTTCATAACCTAGGTCATCAGCTTCCTAGTGAGGTAAGTTTTTAACCTCTTAGCCTCAGTTGAACAGGTGCAAAATGGGGATAATTATAATACCTAACTCACAAGGGTCAAAGGACTGCTCCGAGAATTAATCATACGATGATTGGCCCTGTCTCTGGCACACAGTAAGAATGTCATGGGCTATTATTTACTATTGCTTAATAGTCCTCCTCAGTACCCAAACAAGCCAACATTCCCCACTGACATTTAGAAAACACTCATGGACCAACTGAATGTTCTGCTGCTCAGAATCTCTCTCAGTGTCCTTCAACTCCAACTGCATGTACTATAACTCACTGCTAAAATCACCACTGCTAAAGGAAAGCAGTGCAAAAAATGCCCCTTCCCAGCCTTGACTGTTTTCACAGATAGTATTAAGTCAATTTTGACTTCGTCCACCTCTACAATCTTAAAGGAAATCACAGTCAGACCTTTTAACTTGGTTATAATTCCAAAAGGAGGATGGAAACTCTTGACAGAAAGACCGAATCTGAGCATAAGGAGGCAGGCTGGTCTACCTCTTTGGCAAGAAGTGGTAAAGGAGTAAACCAGTAAACATTTCTTGGTTGTAAGTCTTAGAATACAAGAGGTATGGATAAAATGAGTGCACTTATGCGCACATCCAGAAAGAGTCTGAAAAAAAAATTTAAATCCTCTCACTCAAAAGGTTCAGTAAATACACAACTTTTAAAATTATTGACACTGTACAAATGTGCCCAGGCTGTGTGTTAAGCAACACTCAGGGACACAAAAACATACAAGATACTGTCCCTGCTCTTTAAACACCAAACTTGAAAAGTTATCTGCTACCTTTGCAGTCCATAAAGCCCAGATACTAAGTTCAAAAATTATTCCAAACCTGATTATACATCATTAATGCCTAGACCTATTGTCTCATACATAGCCTTAACCTTTCCCAGACCTGTAGAATCAGATTCTCCATGGTAGATGAGGTCTGGGATTCAATATTATTCAAGTTCCTTTATGTTATTTGATGCAATCAATCCATTGGCTGCCATAGCGCTTTGGGAATTAGGGACAGAAGTTTCATCTGGGGTTAAAAATAGGAGTGAAATAGTGGGGTGTCTGGGAAAATTTCAAAAAGGAGGGAAGGCCGGGCACAGTGGCTCATGCTTGTAATCCCAGCACTTTGGGAGGCCGAGGCAGGCAGATCACCTGAGGTCAGTTCGAGACCAGCCTGGCCAACGTGGTGAAACCCCATCTCTACTAAAAGTACAAAAATTAGCCAGGCATGGTGGTGCATGCCTGTAGTCCCAGCTACTCGAGAGGATGAGGCAAGAGAATCTCTTGAACCCGGGTTGTGGAGGTTGCAGTGAGCCAAGATTGCACCATTGCACTCCAGCCTGGGCTACAGAGTAAGACAAAAAAGGAAGGAAGATTTAAGCTGAACACTGAAAGAGGAATAAGATTTTGATAGGTGGAGTGGACACACATCAGTGGGAGACCCAGCATAAAGATGGGAATGATAATAAATAGCAGAGATGTTAACATTTACATGATTTACACGGCTCGTGTCACTTGATTCTCAAATGAACCTTATAAGGCAGTGCAGCAGGCGTTGGTGGTTGCCTATATAACTTCCATCAATGCACCTCTTTCTACCTTCCTAACAGAACTTGTATTTTGTTACAGTATCCCTCTCTGTGTGGGCCTGTGCTTAGAGGAGGCTGGGCCCCACTCTGTCTCCCCTGGTTTACCCTGTCCTGACATGATGCACACATGGTACTCTGCTGGGAGCTCTGAGCTTCTGGAAGCAGTTCCCTCCATCTGAAAATGTGTTGTCTACTATTGGTCTTCTGTACATTTTACTGTCTGTCTGGGTGTGATGCCAGAACCTCTGTAACCATCTTGTCATCCATTATAAAAAAAAAAAAAATAGCCAGAGGACAAAGACCAATGCTCTAGAAGGCAGAGCAGCAAGATAGAAAGGACTTTGTCTTCCAAGATGTCACTGAACCAAAGAATTAACAACCTGGAGCTACCTACCCTGAGACTCTATCACATGAACTCATATGTTTCCTATGCTTCCATTTCAGGCAGAGTTTTCTGTATCTTGCAGAGCCAAAGCATCACTGCTGATCTAGGGAAGTATTATGATTCCTATTTTATGGAAAGTAGCCTGAGGTATGGAACAATTAAAACTTGTCCAAGGGGGCCAGCACAGTGGCTCATGTCTGTAATCCTATCACTTTTTGAGGCCAACACAGGAGGATTATTTGAAGCCAGGAGTTCAAGACCAGCCTGGGGAACAAAGCAAGACCCTGTCTCTATTTTAAAAATAAATAAAGAAAGAAAAGAACAAAAGAAAAAGAAAATTAAAAAGAATAGCTGGGAGTGGTAAGTGCACCTGTAGTCCCAGCTACTCTTGACTCTGAGGTAGGAGGATTGCTTGAACCCAGGAATTCAAGGCTGCAGTGAGCTATGATCGCTCTACTGCACTCTAGGCTTGACAACAAAGACAGACCTCATTTCTAAAAAATAAAAATTAAAAGTTAAAATGAAACTTGTTCAAAGCATAGAACTAACACTATAGAGCAGGACAAAGAAAAGGCTGAACACATAAGCTGAGAATCACACAACGTAGACAGAACCACATGAACACCAGACTAATGAGGTAGATGTTCTCCTGTGGACACCTGGAAGCTGCTGAAAGTTTCTGAGTAAGGATTGGCAAGATCAAAGTGGTGATTCCTGAAGATATATAGAAAGTTCTAACTGTGTCACTTTTTGAGGGGATAACTGTGGTACAGCCTACTTCCTCACCACTTCTTTCTCCCTCACTTCCAGGGGTTGATAGTTCAGGCCCATGTGCCAGCCCTGACTTCAGGGTACACTCAGCATGCATACATTCAAATGCAAGCAGCCGTGAGACTAAAGAGAAACAATCTTTATAGCTACTTCAGAGAAGAGAGTGGTAGGGAATGCTCCAAATCATTTACAATTTGCTTAGGGTCCAGCTGAGGCAAGACGGGTTCTGTAGAAACTATTAATGCCAAGAAAATCTTCCAAGAAAAATAACTTTTTACAAGCTTGGGTCTGCAAAGCTGATCTCCTTTGAGCTATAGAATGCTGATGTTCTGTGATTTGGGATCAAGGCAGGGCGGCTGAGACCAGGAAGCCAGCAGTTCATTATTTCAAGCTGAGTTTCCAGAGCTAACGTGCACACTAAGTTTCTGCTCTGACATCAGCTCACTCCTCTCCAAAGGTCCAGAGTGGAGTCAGGAAATCTCTCATGCATATCTATGCTGCCACTGCCTCCCCTGGGATGATTTAAGACTTGAGGTTCAGGCCAAAGACCACTTTGGATAATTGCATCCTATCTTCATGCTATTCTTCTTTTGTGACTGTCCTTCTTGTCTGGCCTGGCCTAACTGCTTTAATCAGTCAAGTGCCTCTCCTGCTACTGTCCCTGCATAAGCAAAAGTTGCCCTATAAAAACAGGCTGTCAATAGCCTCCTAGTCTCAGTCCTGAACACTATTCTCAGGCCTGTCTTACAGTCTATCACCTAAGTTGGTTCCAGTCTTTCTGGAGCCTTTCTAGAGGTTGAGATTTCTGTTTGGAGTCTTTTCTCAGCCTTTGCATATCAACAGACATTCTCCAATTTGGACTTTTTCTCTCTTTATTCAACCCTGACTCAGACTCTCCTTTGATGTTGCTGCCTTTGGTTGCTCTGAGTACAACTTAGCCTTAAAGGTCTTATTTAAGACCTTATTTATACCCTTGGGCAGTTTCTCCACCAGAGTCACACGATTTGAAAGCCTGACCTGGCCGTTTCTGCTGCCAGTGCCCTGGAAATCCTAGGTTTACTGAACAAAGATAAGAGAATCTCAAAGCGCCCTAATGTCAGGGTCTTCTGTAGCTACCTAGCTGCCCAGCTCTGCCTGTATTGTGCAGTGTCTTTCTGTGTAATCTAACAGGAAGATACTGGGCTTGAAGCCAGACACCTGATCTCCAAAATCATAGTTCTGCCATCAAGTGGCTGTGTAACTTTGAATAAGGGACTCCCCCCCTGAGACTCAGTTTCTTCATCAATTTAATGAGAGCTTTAAAGCAGACAAACTTTCAGTCACTTGCCAGCTCCACATTTCTCCAAAGGCTCACCAGATGCCTGAATAAGAGCAATAATTGCCCAGGCTGAGTGTCCATCATAAATGGGTAGATCAAACATGGAATTATCCCCTGTTTTCAAGGGCCCATTGTCCTGAGATTACAATGATGACAAGAGTAATAATAAATAGTATTTACTTACAGGGTACCACGGGTTGGTCACTCACTAAGTATTTGCAAAGATTTCTCATTTAATCCTTCTATCAGCTAAGGAGATGGGTACTAGTATCATCCCGATTACACAGACGAGGAAAGAGAAGCTTATAAGTATTTAATGATGTGCCTAAGCCCCCAGCTGCTAAGAGGTAGAGTGAGGATATCAACAAAGTAGCTTCTTGGCCAAGTGAAAAGAGGCCCTCAGCAACCCAGCCAGCCCCTGCCCTATGGGGGCTTCCAAGTGGGAATGCCAGTGCTTGGCACTGATGCTTACTCTTATGAATTATTGAACACTAAGGCATTTTCCAAAGGCTATTTACTGCCCCCATCAACCCCGGTGTATTGTTTGTCCTATGTTTCAGAAAACTCAGCAACTCCCGTGACTTCTTCTCTCGGCAGGGAATATTTTTCAGAACTTCTCAGCATGGAGCCATGGCATTGCTGGACTAGAAGGAAACACATCCCTTTCCACATCTATATTCCTTTTCATGGATTTATAAAGAGATGTTCTAGAGGGTCATGGTACCCATCTAAGCCAGGAGAGACCAATAACACACAGTATTAATTTTTCTTTTATTTTTATTATTACTATGAAGCATATGTTTAAAAGTTGACAATCTGGTTTCAAAACCTGACTTGGCCACTGCCCAACTGGAAAGCTTTAGTCTTTTTGCTGCAATGTGTCCTCTCTCAAATTAAGAATAACAGTATTTACCTTATACCTTTTTTTTTATTAGAACAATGCACAATGTTAGCAATTACTGTTCTTTCTGGTTGATTTTTTTATTATTTCAATCACTCTGTTAAATGTCCCATTCTGATCGTTTATCGTTTTCTTCATTTCATTGAATTATTTCTCTGCCATTTTCTGGACATTTATGGAACTTCCTTAAAGCAGCTATTTTTAATTCTTTGTCAGGCAATTCATACATGTCCATTTCTTTAGGATCAGTCACTGTCCTTTATTTTGTCCCTTTAATGAGGTGATTTCATGTTTCCCTGTTTGTTCTTGATGCTTGTGGCTATATTCTGGTGTCTGTGTAACTGAAAAAAATAGGTACTTATTCCAGTTTTTGCACGCTGGCTTTGTCTGGGAAATTCCCTTAGCAGTCATGCCATCCAGAGATTCTGGACAGACTGGTTAGCATGGTCCATGGGTGGGCTTGCTGTTGGAGTCCTTAGGCTGGCAGGCCTGCAGCCTGGATCCACATTGATGGACCTGTTGATTGAGTCTGCTGGGATAGGCTTAGAGCCTGTGTCCCCAGGGGCCAGCTTGAAGCCCAGAGACAATGGGGCTGGCCTGTTGCTGAGGGCTGTCTAGGGCTTGGAACCTTTGGGACCAACTCAGTGTTGGGATGCACCTGAAGCTCAGGGCCACTGGGCCCTGCCTGCTACAGAGCACACAGGCAGATGGGTAAATAAATGATGAAACAGGAGGGATGCAGGAGGAGTTTGTTATTGTTTTCATTTTGGAAGTTGAAAGAACTTTTTCTATATATTTGCTGATATAAAGAAGTATAGATTCCTTCTCCCAGAATAGAAAAGCCAGCTACATTGATATGGAGTGCCTAGGAATTGGGAGGTGTCACTGAGCAGGGGGGAAAGCCGAAGAGAGGCTCATTTAACTGGTGAAAAGCCAGTCATACCTACTCTCTGCCAGGTATTCTATATACATTATGCTATTTAATTATTAAAGCTGTTTTGTTTTATAAAATACTATTGTGAGCCCCATTGACAGATTAAACAACTAAGGCTTAGAGAAGTCAAGTAATATGTTCAAGGTCACACAGCAACTGAAGCATGAGCTGCACGCTCTTTCCTGCACATCACACTACCTCATTGGGCCCTGGGGGAAACCAGGAATAATTAAGGAGCTCTAAACTGACCACTACTTTTCCTACCTCTGGCTGCCCTGCCAAGGAGATAATCACATGCATTTCTCACACTTCTGTCCTCTCTGATTCATTTGTTTCCTCTGTTTGGTCATCATAAGACAGCCCAAGCCATTTCTCAGAGTTAGATTCATGCTGTGGGATGACAGGGCTGACTGTCTGCATCTGCTCTCAGGAGGCCCTCGACATAGGGCTGCAGCACTGACCAAGGCCTTCATTTGTCACTGAGGCCAATGTCTCAGACTTCCCTGCCAGCTCAGACCCCAACATGTGGGGACAGAGACTTGCTGGCTTCAAACCCACCCCTGAGCCATCTGGCAGACCCGAGGATCCCAGGACACTTGGCCCTCATTGCCCAGACACGCTCACCAGCAGAGTGTGTACCAAGTGCTGAGGTCTGTCATTCTGACCTTGGGCTGGTAATGGGGGCACGAACTGGGGGCGAGGAGGCATGCATGCCAGTAGCAATCTCTCTGCTTGGTTGAAGAAAAAAAAATCGAGTCATTTCTTTCACCAGTGGTGGTGATTGTATTTGTTACAGATATCTCTACCTCAGGGGCAGTGAGATCCATTTGCTATATGGCTGTGCATTGGAACATGAGGAAGAACACATCATCCTGCCTTCCCAAGCACTTTGCTAAAATTGCTCTTGCTTGTGATGTTCAGAAAACACACCCAGAAGGTCTAGTGAGGGCAGTGCATGTGAGAAGAGAGGACAGAGTGGGATGCTTAACACAGGCATCTCATCAGTCTGAGAGGCTGGTCGCCAGCCTTCCTGAGACACAGGTCTCATGCTTTCAAGCCCCTGCTCAGAAGCCTGCTATGGCTCCCCAGGTCCTTCTGCCCTGAGTCCTAACTCCATCCCTGGGCTTTTGGGAGTCTATAATATCTAGTCGTACCCTATTCTCTCTCCCAACTTGAAACTGCTAAAACCCACATACTTAAAACCTCTATACTCTCATTACCTTATCAGATTGCCCTTTCCTTTCCCTCCTTTTCCAAATCCCAAAATTTCTTCCAAATTCTGCCTGATTTTTGCCTCTACCTTTTACCAGCTTTGATTATGCCACAGCATGACATCCTTCTTCAAGCTTGGTGCTGCATTCACTCTTCTAGACTTGGATACACACTGTCTTCTTTTTTTTTTTTCAGACGGAGTCTTGCTCTGTTGCCCAGGCTGGAGTGCAATGGTACGATCTCGGCTCACCACAACCTCCACCTCCCGGGTTCAAGCGATTCTCCTGCCTCAGCCTCCCGAGTAGCTAGGATTACAGACACCCGCCACCACGCCTGGCTAATTTTGTACTTTTAGTAGAGACTTGGTTTCACCATGTTGGCCAGGCTAGTCTTGAACTCCTGACCTCAGGTGATCCACCTGCCTCGGCCTCCCAAAGTGCTGGGATTACAGGTGTGAGCCACCGTGCTCAGCTTGCTGTCTTCTTTTTAAAGGCTTTCAAAGTGTAAAACTCCCATGATCTCCACTGGTCCTTCAGGCCTGGCTTAGAAGCCCCCATCAATGTTCACTGTGTTGTTATTTTCTCTTATCCAGCCTGACTCTCTCAAGATACAGATCAATGACCTCTCATCTGGGTTGCACCCTTGATTTTCCTGCTCCTATCACTGGCTCTGCCTAAACAATTACTGTGTGTCCTTGGCTGCCATTTAACCTCAAATGGAATCCCTTCTCAGAGGCTTTATTGAGCAACTATGATGGCTAAATGAGCCAGGCAGTGAAATGGAACCAGCATTGTATGTGGCCATCCAGGAATACAAGCTTCCCTAAATCCTTGGTTCAGCCCAAATCAGAGTTCACACGGAAGAGAAACAGACATTTTTTCATATTTCTTAACTCTCAAGTTTTCATAATACTTTGTGAAAAATGTTTTATACACACCTAGATGCACATATACACACATACAGACACATAAAAACTTCAACAATAGAAATAAAAATTTTAAAAGATATTGAGCAAACATAAGCACCTAAAAAGTACACTAAGTGACTAATTTTTATTATTCCTCTAAAATGTCTGGATAATCTTAATGCAAATCATTATTATCTTTATTTTTAAAAAAATTACGATATACTCGATGCAAACCCTAAAGGGCACTTTGGAGAAGAGCCAGGATAGGTTTATATTCTTCCCATTTTCAAATAAAATGCAAAAGAAAAAACTAGTAATCATTTTAATGAGCCTTTAAATAAATTCTTGGCCAGAGCACACTGCAGTAATTTATACAAAGAACCATATACCTATATTTGCTGAGAAAGAGACATTTGTGACTTAAGACTGAATTTCCAAGAATTACTCTAGATTCTTTTTCCTTTAAGTGATGAGTTTGAATGGAAGCACATTCGCAGCCATTCCATTGCTGGGTCACACTTGCGAAGGCAGATGGAAACTCCTAGACCGGTGTCTGCCCCCTCATTGATTCTCCTTTCTGCTTTCTTAGCCCTAATGGGATCTGATACTTTCCCTTTTGGGGTGCAAGGAGTCTTTTCTGGTTCTTTTTCTGGATACACCAAGAAGAAAAACATTTGGACGTGGAATCAGTAAATGAGGGAGGTTTGGTTCATGTTTTGTTCTTTTCCTTTTTTTTTACTTCTTCCTTTCATACATTTTCCCCTAAACCCATCTCCAAAACACTGCTCTAGCCGCTTGGTAACTATGTTAATTTATGAAGCAGGAAAAAATGAGATGGCTGTGAATTAACAAAAGTGGGACCATTTCTCTCCATGAGCAGAACAATCAGTCTTTCTCAGGCAGTCAGCAAGTCTGGTTTTAAGAGACAAGGAAGAAGATGGGGAAAGAGAAAGTGGCAGCATGCCTCCTGGATAAGGCAGGACATGAGGCTCTTTAAAAATCCAAGCCTCTGGGAGCTGCATCCTCTCCAAGGAAGCCTGAAAGCAGGCAGCTCACAGCTCAGGAGGGGAGGCCCAGCAGCCACTGCGGTCAGCACTAAAGGCACAGCCAGGCAGCCGGACCCTGGCTTCCAGTCTGCAATCTTGATGCCAGCTCCATCCCAGTAGTAACAATCTTTCTGTTTCTGTAGCTCATTTCTTTCAAACAAAATTACAACTCTCATTTTTCCTAGATATGTTCTTTATTTTTTGCCATGGAAAGGCTCTCTTATTTGATTAAACAAAAATAAAATAAGCTGCATAGGAGCAATTTGAAAGTCCAAAGAGACACCAACTTTGTTTTAAGGCTGTAGTAACTGATACAGCATCTCCTTGCTACCTTCTCCAGCCTCCTCTGTGGACCACAGCAATTCATTCAGAAGCCTGTTAGCTAACATGTCAGTTTTGGGACACTTTACCATTGGTTCTTCACCTGCTCATTGTCTGCCATACCTGCAGCCTTCAATAATAACATTCAAGATTTAAAAATGAAAAACAAAAGAGGAAAAAGAAACCCAAAAGCCTCAAACAAACAAAAACCTGCTTTTTCCTAAAGGTTTGGGGGAAAATATTCATTTCCCCACTCATCTGCTGAATTGATGGGATTCACACTATCAGGGCAATGCCCATTGAAAAGGGGCAAAAAGCAGTCAGCGCCTCAGATGGGCTTGGAGCATGGTTTCTGCCACCAGGGGGAGTTATTCTGGTAGTGCATATTCCTTATATCATGTTTGCCTTGGACAAAAAAATTAAGTGGTTTAACCTGGTCATTCTAACATAAGGCAACATGCCTATGTTAATTCCCCTAATTCGGCATTTACTTTTCTTAAAAAAGAGAAAAAGACAACCGAGTCATGTGTTCTACAGTTAAAAATTAAAGCATTTTGAGTTCATTTTCTTTGCAAGGACATGGATGAAGCTGGAAACCATCATTCTCAGCAAACTAACACAGGAACAGAAAATCAAACATCGCATGTTCTCACTCATAGTGGGAGTTAAATAATGAGAACACATGAACACAGGGAGGGGAACATCACACACTGGGGCCTGTCAGGGGAAAGGGGAGGGAGAGCATTAGGAAGAATATCTAATGCAGCCAGGGCTTAAAACCTAGATGACGGGTTGATAGGTACAGCAAATCACCATGGCACATGTATACCTATGTAACAAACCTGCACGTTCTGCACATGTATCCCAGAACTTAAAGTAAATTTTTTTAAAAAAATTAAAGCATTTTGCTGGCCAGGCATGGGAGCTAGTGGACAGTATTAAGAACAATTCATAAAAAAATGCTAACAACCCTCCCATACAATATATCTAACATGCTAGTTATGCTTCTGAAAGAAGGGGACAGGTAAGTGATCTTTTATCCCCATTTTACAAATTGAGAAGGTGAGGATCAGAGAATTTAAATGACTTCTCAGTGCCATACAGGTAGTTAACAGAAAGGCTTAAAACAGAAATCCTGATTCTTTTCCCAGATAGCCCACCTCCCAGGGACCCAGCCTCTTGCTCCTTTATCAAGCCATTTGGCCTTTGTCATGCTGCTCAACCATTCTGGGCAGTTTTGAATGCAAGTCCTTGGTTTCCCACCCAGGTTCATTTGAAATGAGATTCCAGCTGCAATACCCTTTGGGCTTTGAGAGTGGAGTACTGAGAGGCTGTGGATATCTCTGTAAGCCGTAGAGACACAACTGACATTCAGCAGGACCGACGTGGAATGCTATTTTCCTACCACTTCATATTTGTGCTCACCTTATTCTCAGTCAAGGTTCTCTATCAGATCAGAATTCTCCAGCTGTCACCAGCCTTATGGGCTTGGCAGAGAATACTAGACTAGGAGTCTGTAAACTGCTCCCGCCCCAGCTCTGAGGCAAGTGACTCTATGACCTCAGACAAGTCCCTGAGTGGCCTCTTCTGTTCAATGAGGGTCTGCACAGTCTCCGAGAGCCCTTTAAGCTCCAATATGCAGTGAGTCTAAGAATTAAATATGAATGGAAACGAGTTAAATGAGCATATTAGACCAAGGCACATGACCATCAGCAACAAATCTGAGCAAATGGCTAACATCTCAGTACCAAATATCCATCATCTGCAAATTGCATGATGATCGTGCCAACATCATAGAGTTTCTGTTGAAGTATTAAATGAGTTAATTCATTGGAAGCATTTAGGATAATTTTCAGCACATAGCAAACTCTCAAAAAACTCTAGCTCCTTCTTGTATTATTATTTTTACTATCATTGTCATTATTATCATAGACACTTGTTGCCTTTATGAATAGAAACAGATACTAGCACTAACAGAGACTTCTTTGCTCCTTAACAGACAGGTTATTATGCACATGTTACGAAGAGAAAAAGAAAGGCTCACAGAGGAGAGATGTCTGGTTGATGTGTCATTAAGTCAATGGCCATGAAGGAGGGAGTGTGGTACAGCAGAGCTAAGCTCCCACTCCCTATTGCAACACTTGGTGTCCTCTATTCTGGGTTACCAGAACAGGCAGCATCTCTAACTCCCTTGCCTGCAGGAGGAGGGCTAAGCGTCCCTGGGTAATGCGTGTGATGCTCCTATGAAGTTGCATTGGCTCATGCTGATAGAACCCCTTAATTGTGCCAGCAAGTAGTGCTGCTGCTCTGACTTCTACCAGCAGAGCCAGTGTGTTTCAGGGACCCACCTTTTGACCAAGGAACTGTAACTTCAGAAAAGATAGCCCAGGTAACAGGGCTTGGCCAGCCAACATGTAGTCATATAACTAAGAGCTATGAGGATTACACTTCCTAAGGGCTTGGCCAGCCAACATGTAGTCATATAACTAAGAGCTATGAGGATTACACTTCCTAAGGACTTCCCAACTGGCTATCCAATGAGCCACAGAAATTAAATGTGGATCATCACATGGTACTGCAAAGCCCTCTGAAAAACACTGTCTAAATGGTGGCCATCCAGACGACCTGAGCTGGAAGGGGCTTCGAAAAGCATAGAACATAAACTTGCCATTATACAAATAGAGAAATGAAAGCCCTGGGAGGGAAGTGGCCTATATAAAGACACTGAGTTGCTCAGGGGCAAAACCAGAAGCAGAAAGCAGACATCTGCCCCCTACCCCTACTCTAGTGGTCTTACCCTACAATGACACAAAAAGTCCCTTTGCACTGAAGGATCAACCATGTGCTTCCTCTGAGTCAAAGGGAAATCTTTGTAAGCCACACTTGACTTAGTTTATCTCTCACACATATAAGGGTATCAGTGCAGGTCCCCAGCAAGAGAGTCTACGAAGTGTTCTCCTGTGACTCTAAAGACCACTTTGCAAATACCAACTTTTCACCTGTAGACTTAGTTACCACTTGAATATGCCACATGCTGCCAACTGGAAACAGGGATAACAGTAGATTTGGTACAGCCTGTTAGCCCCCAAACCCTGAACTCCACCTCCTAAATATTTCAAAACACGGATGTTTCATATTAAAATCTATATAGAAAAATATCTTTAAAACTCAGAACATAATAGCAAGGATGTTAACAATAACTGGCTATGCTGGGCCCTCATTTTCACATGACAACAGTCATTTGGAGCCTAATGGCAAAAGGCCCTTTACAGAGGGGCTTCCAAGTCTCTACCTGGCCCACATCTTCCTTGCCATTATCTTCTGGCCCCTGCATGCATCCGAATTTGAGACCTAGGTCTATGTAGCAGTCATTTTCTTCGGTGCATCTTGTCTGCCCAGGTGAATTGCACATTTCTGAAAGCAGGAAACTCCCTCCCTCAAAACATACTTTGCTCAGAGGTAGACATTTTTAAAAGATTGTTCAACAGCCTAAAATTACCTTTCCACCTTTTTGGCCTTACTTTAGTGTAAGAGACTTTAATATTTGTGGACTGAAAATGTGTTACCCTGCCACTTACTTTCCCTGACCCTGCAACTATCTTAGGAGTCTGGTATTTTAAAATTCTGTGCTATGTTTTGGTTAAAGGTTTTCCAGCATTTTAAAGATAGTTCAGGGTTATGTGTTGTATCCAGAGAGCGACATTGGCATAACCAGCCTCCGACCACACACGCGGTGCCTCTCGAACAGCTTGACAAAAGCAGCTTGCTCACTGTAAGAATCTCACTGGTAATTCCCACTATATTTCTGCAGGGTAGCCTGAAAGTAATTATCCTTCTCACTGGTAAATCAATTAGGAATGCAGGATGTAATATTCCCCTCCTCCTCCAAGAAACTGCTAATCCTCTAACACTAATGAACAGAAAACCCCAGGCAACAGGGTTACCACTAATAGAGTGATGATTACAACTCACCTGGTCTTTATACCTGTGGTAGTGGCACCAACCCTGTGGGCAGATAGAGGTGAACAGGAATCCTGGACCCCCTCTTATTAGCTATTTTCCAAAATTAAGTGTCTATCTGCTTGAGCCTCAGTTTCTTCGTCTGTCAAATGAGGATAAAACTACCACGCTCAGGAGATTAATAGTAAAACTTAGAATAAAGTGTAGTAAGGAACTTAGCCCAGTGCCTAGAACTTATTAGAAGCTCAATAGAAAGAACTCATTAGCCTATACTGATGTCAGACCTTATAGTTTTCATCACACACACACACACACACACACACACACACACAGAGAGAGAGAGAGAGAGACATGTACCTCTAACTATAGTAATTTGGTCACATTCTCTGGCTGTTAGACCAGTGTGTGCTCTCTGCCATTTCCAATGCACTGTCTCCAAAGTTGCAGGTGGCAGTCACTTTGGAGCCAGAGTAATTAGACAATAACATGCCTGCATTTCTCTGTCCACTCAAAGATTCATTCTCAAATAAGCTCGCCCATGGGAGTCAGGCTCCTCTCTAGTTAAGGCACAAAGCCTTCAGCCTGTTTTTACAAAGCACAGCAGACTTGACCTTGGCACTTGCCATTCTGCATGGGCCTGAGGACAAGAAACAACTGACAGTAATGAGTTCTGGGAACCCAGGGATGTTTATCTCATGCAAGGGGAAGGAGAAGCTGTGAGCTAGAGCTTACTAGCCCCACCATAATGGAGCCACTCCTCTGGGAGGCAAACCATACACTCTCTTGCTTCCAGAGCTAATATACTATTCCTCATCTTCAAGTACCAACCAGACACATTCAGCAATTCTGGGCTCCCATAAGGAAGTTGGGCTCAAACCTGGGCAATGAGTTAATTGGCCAATGGCTGGAGAAAGGCAAACAACCGGGTATACAAAATTCACATCAAATAGTCAGAGTGGGTCAAGGTCATTAAAATAATGCTGATGCCACCATGCCACAGAACAGCAGTCTAGGACAACTTTGACTGAAGCAGCTTCGTGCATTTCATATCAATACTCTCATTTAGACAGGGAATTATAAAACCCGCTAGATGAAATGATTATACCCTGCTCACAGCCTGTGATAAAGACAGTACTCCCAGTCTAAATCTCAGCTACCTCCAGGAAGCCCAGAATTGCTGAATGACTAATTTGTCCTCAAAATAAACCCATTGGGAAAGCTGCTGTAGATCTACCATTTATAGCAATATAGTCTTGGGGTAATTTATCAAAGTCTATTTTCTTACCCTGCCTACTTTCAAAGTGGCTGGGAGGATTAGAGATCATGTGGATAAAACTCTTAAAAGGGAGTTTAGGATAGTAGCTGCTCAGTTAGTGCTACCTGGGATGATTACTGGTAGAAGGAAACTATACACAGGTTAACACCTCTGCTTCCTTCCAACTTAATGGTTAATTAACTATCAGTATTTGGATAATTTTATGTTGTTCAAAATTGTTTAAAAAATCAACAATTAGCTTTGGGAGCAACTACATGAATACAAACTCAATTTACTGTTTTGCCAGGGGCAACAGATCTCATTTGATGTATTCATAGCCTCCAAGGAAAGCAGCAGCCATCTGTTAAATAAATAACTCATTAGGTGAAAAGCAAGTGCTTCTACAAGATGAACTCAAAAATCCACGAGAGACTACTGCCATTGGCTGACTGATGAAATGGGTTGCTACAGATAATTTGGGTACTAACCAAATCTAAACCATCTTGCCTAACACAAGCTGAGATGAGTATCCATATTACCATAAGTTTAAACTTGAAGACGTAAAGAAGGAAACTTAAAAACGAAGTTGTGTTACATGGTTCCAGAGCTCTAGACTAATAAAGGAACAAATAAGAGTATTTTTATTTATATCAAATTTTCTTTTTGCCTAAGTGGCTGGAGAAGGGGGATTTCTGCTAAGCTGAATATACTGGTTACGAGAAAGTTAGAATGTAGACTACGTGTGCACTGTCAACATCAAGAGGCTCAGATTACAATACATACCACTTAGTAAAATGAAAATGAATCCAATTTCATTTTTTCTTGGATGATGAGGAAAGCACTTTAGATCATGTAGGACCCTTATGAACATTAATTTCTTTTTTTTTTCTTCAGACGGAGTTTCACTCTTGTTGCCCAGGCTGGAGTGCAATGGTGTGACCTCTGCTCACCGCAACCTCCACCTCCTGGGTTCAAGCGATTCTCCTGCCTCAGCCTCCTGAGTAGCTGGGATTACGGCATGTACCACCACGCCTGGCTAATTTTGTATTTTTAGCAGAGACAGGGTTTCTCCATGTTGGTCAGGCTGGTCTCGAACTCCCGACCTCAGGTGATCTGCCCACCTCAGTCTCCCAAAGTGCTGGGATTACAGGCATGAGCCACTGTGCCTGGCTACAAACGTTAATTTCTATTGCTATTTTCTAAAAAAAAAAAATCCATGCCATTGGCCTGTTGCTTATTTTTCCCCAATCTGAGTGAAGAAAATGTCTGTATGTTTAACTTTCTGGGTGGCAGTGCCTCCCAGATGGGAGTTAACTACACTTTGGTGATGTTTCTCAGACCAGACAACAAAATAGGCCTAACTTCTGTTTATTGAGCACTAGTTTCTGTGAGAAATGGCTCCTGAGAGCCCACTGCCTGAATGTCACCATGAGGAAGGATAAATGGAGGTGGTATCCCCGTGCCAGTGAGAGCCAAATCTCAACTCTACGTTCCTTCCAACCCACAGAATCTGCCTTAATCCATCCCTTGTCTCTATCACTTCTAAGAACTTCTTAGTTGCACTAAGGAGAGTTCAGACTGTCAGGAGTAGAAAAAAACAGCAAAAGACAAAAAGAAACATCATTATGATATTTTCGAAGAGGAAACATACATGACAGATGAATTCCAAAACAGATACAAACAGGTACAAACCTTCACGAGCCACTTAGGAAAATCCTCACAAAAGTGGCCTATCAATCATCTACATGAAAATACGATTAATTCTGTTGTGGCCCAGATACAAGACAGAGATCAGCGCTGTAGGGCACTTTTCATGCACCAAATATCCAGTTCTTGCTTCGCCCAAAGTGCATATGCCCACTGAGATCCAGTATGCTCAAGGCACTTGTGTGGGATGGGAGGAGCACTAAATTAGGAGTCATCAGACCAACTGACAAGGCTGCTCCTAACCTGTTGAGTTGGCTGGGTGGGGCAGTTGTCCTCTGTGGGCCTCTGCTTCCTTCTCAAGAAGGGAGAAGGGCAGGAGAAGAACTGAAAACCATCACTGCTGGCTTGATTCAGTCAACTTTAATCATGTGCCCATCAAGGACATGGCACCAAGCTTTAATTCAAGATCATAAAGCAATTTTGAACCCCTACGCTATCACTGTACAAGAAGAAAAGCTGCAAAAGATGAGCTGATGCAAATACATCTGGCCTGACAATCAAGAGTCCTGGGTTCTAATCCTGGCTCCTTTTTCTATCTGGCTATGTGAGTTTTTTTTGCTTCAATTTTCTCATCTGTAAAATGTTGTTGGCATGGAAAAATGATTTCTAACCGAGACTCCATGGATATCTTGGGTTCATGAGTGGGATCTGAGGTGTCCACGAAGTCCTCAAAATGTATGAAAATTTTTGTGGCATAGGCATATTTCTAGAGAGGCCACCTAGAACTTTAATCACATGTGTAAAAGACTTGCAGTCCAAAAACTGTTAGGCACACTGTTGGTGGGAATGTAAATTAGTATGGCTATTATAGAAAACAGTATGGAGTTCCTCAAAAATTAAAAATAGAGCTACCATATGAACAAGCAATTCGACTACTGGGTATATATCCAAAGAAAATGAAACCAGTATGTCCAAGAGATTTCTGCACTCTCATGTTTATTGCAGCACTACTCACAACAGCCATGATATAAGATCAACCTAAGTGTCTATCAATGGATGAATGAAGAAAATGTGGTACGTAGACACAATAAAATACCATTCATCCATAAAAAAGGAAATCTTGTCTTTTGTGACAACATGGATGAACCTGAAGACATTATGCTAAGTTAAATAAGCCAGACACAGACAGACAAATACCATTTGATCTCACGCATATGTGGAATCTAAAAGAGTTAATCTCAGAATTAGATAATAGAATGGTGGTTAACAGGGGTCGAATGGTTAAAGGGGAGGCATGTTTGGGAGACATTGGTCAAAAAATACATAATTACAGTTATATAGGAGGAATAAGTTCAAGATATCTATTGTAGAGCATGATGACTATAGTTAATGGCAATATATTATTTTCTTGAAAAATGATAAGAGTAGATATTAAGTATTATCACCACAAAGTAACTGTGAGTTACTGCATTTGTTAATTAGCTAGATTTAACCATTCCACAATGCATATGTACTTCAAAACAGTATGTTGTACAATATAAACACATACAATGTTATATGTTAATTTTAAAATAAACAAATTAAAAGAAACTATTAATAACCACTTGTCTAGGTGAAATCTGTGCTTTCTTCTAGCTCTAAAATCCAATAATTTAAATAATGATACTGAAAGATGTGAAAATGGCAATGCTTTGGGACAAAGAAAAAAGAAACTACTCAAATAAAATCAATAACAGGTGCCTAAACAGCCAGCCTGATGATCAAAGCTTTGGCACTTGGCTAGTGGGCACAGTCTAGGGCCTGAGAGTCCCTAGAGCTAACTGGATCCTTTGGCTATCTATCACCAATGCTGAACCATAAGTCAACAATTCTGCTCCCTCCCTTTGCTGGGTGTACTTAGGGGCACTAGAGGTGGAGGTGAGGAGAAAGTCTATGGATGCACATTATTCTGCTAGTGGCTCAGGTAAAAGCTGCTCTGCTCTGAGCAGCATAAACAGTCATAATTATCAGCCACAGTTTGGACTCTACCATGTTAGAAATCAGAGACATCCGCACAATGGTTTGAAGCTTGCTCCTGAGCTTACCTTGAGGAAGAAAGCACTGGCAAAACCACGGGGGAATGCAAATCAGATTGCAAGAGGAGAGCTTGGTGGTGCCATTTTTTTTTAGCCTTTTAGAAATATTAAAATGACCTTTAATATGGTCATTTTGGTGCATGTATTTGAATCATGTCTGCCTACGTTTCTAAATAGCAGTGCTTTCTTAGCTGGAGAAAGAGCACATCTCCCCAAAGATAATACATGGTGCAGTATTTGTTTTCTAAAACTGCCCATTGTTCCACAGAATCCAGGCCTCCTCCTCTCAGTAGATTTCCATGGCCAAGGTCTGACCTTATATGATTTCATCCTGGCTGCTAAATCAAGAGGAAAGCAGAGAAGCAGAGGTGCCAGAGGAGTCTGGTCTGCCCTCTGCCTCAGAAGCAGCTCAGGATCAAGTTGAAGAAGCCAGGAGCTGCCTTTCTTTCCTTCACGTGGGAGAAACAATCTCCCTTGGAGTAAGGGGTTCTCAAAAAATGTACCAGCAAGAGGAAGGCTGTGGAAAGACTCAACTCTGAAGCTGAGCAAACCCATGCTTACATTCTAGATCTGTTACTTACCACCATCTGATTCAGGGTAGAAAGTTACTTCATCTCTCTGAGCTTCTCTTGCAAAATGGGGACCATAATAGTTTCTATCCCATAGATTCATTGTAACGATAACTGAGATAAGACATAGGTACATAGTTTTACTGGTGGCATTACTATCACTGCTGCTGTCACTATTATTATTATTACTATCAAGCTTGTTGTTAGAATTACAAACAGCGTTTATGAAGTTCCCAGCATATAAACCAGACCTCTGTAAATGATTCAATGACAACTGAGTTTTTTCCTTAACCTCTGGCCCTAATCAGCACAGCTACCCAGCAGGAGTGCTCAGGACCTACTGACCCAGTCTCTTACCTTCCTTTTGTTGGTTGGATTGACATAGAGGTAACTGAGGACAGTCTTCAAACCCACTTTGTCATTCAGCTTTTCATAGGTGGTGCCATAATCTGTCGACCTGCAGGTAAAAGAGAAAACAGAGAGGGAGAGATCATTTTACCAATGGGCAGCTATGTCTAAAGGGAAGCCAGGTTCTCCCTCGACCGACCA
Source organism: Homo sapiens (assembly GCF_000001405.40). NCBI lineage: Eukaryota > Metazoa > Chordata > Mammalia > Primates > Hominidae > Homo > Homo sapiens. The sequence continues at coordinate 104,915,740 of NC_000010.11, read as the reverse complement.
GCACCTTTCTTCCCGAATCATATGAGTGCTTCAGAGATAAAAAGCCCCATTAATTTTAGAAGAGCAATTAGACTAATGCACCTGCTTACTACCTAAGCGTGCTCCCCTTTGCTTCCAGCCTTTCTCAGGACCTACTTTTTCGCCCTTTGTGAAGTTGTTTGGTGAAAGGAGCTGCTGGAGACGGCCTGACTCTCATGCTGCTCAGCCCCGCCCCACCCCCCCACCCCAGCTCTGTGTGGAGTTGTGGAAGCACACAAGTTCCCACCAGCGGACCCTCTATACGGGAGTTGTGTGTGGAGGCCATGGGAGCATGGCCAGCTGTCTCCTGAGGTCATCACCAGGGTACAACCAACTTCAACCCACTCCATTGAGCCTGAAGCAAGGGACCCTTGGAGGGGTAGGAAGTGCCCAGAAAACTTATGGGGTCCAATGGCTAAATGAGACCACACCAGGCAGAGGGTTGGATGCTTTACACAGGGACAACGATGTGGGTGTGTCCAGGGTGAAAAGCCTATGGCACTGGGCTGCTTACAGAGGAGGGGTTCATCACTCCAATGATCCTGCTGGCTACCTGCTCCTCCTTTCCAGCACACTGACCTATGCCAAAACCAGAAGTAGAGGCTCCTTTCTTTCCATCCTGCCTTCCATGGTGGAGGAGGGAGAGAGGGTGCCAAACAGTGGGATTCAAGTAGTTGACCTCCCTGCCATACTGTTCACCTGTCCCCAAACCCTGGCCCACAGAGACCTCCCTCCCTTTTTCCACCACCTGTATCATCAGTTCTCACCTCCTCTTCCCGTCATCACTGTCCTTGGCTAGACTTACAAAACTTCTCCAACTCAAGCTTTAGAAGAGCACAGAGGTCAATGCATTTTCTCTGTACTCAACTGACCTTATAGGGGCCTGAAATCCGCCACAATCTCAGTTCCCAACTCTGGCTCTGAGCCTTGCTTTGAACTGGCATTTGATGCCCTAGTAACCACCACCCCCAGCCTTTGCTTTGAGCCTTTATCCACCTTCTAATGCTAATCAGTGCTTCCCTGGCCAACAGCTCAGCTTCAGAAGCTTAGTACTTAAAACTATATAACCTTTGTCTTTTTTTTAAGAGACAGGTGCTCACTCTGTTGCCTAGCCTGGATGGAGTGTAGTGGCACAATCATAGCATCACATCAGCCCGATGGCTTGTGCCTCAAATTCCTGGGCTTAAGCCATCCTCCCACCTCAGCCTCCTTCCCAATGTGATGACCCTTAACAGTCACCCCCACCCTCATCCAAGCTGGCAGATTCCTGGTCCCTGGGCCCAGTGTAAACACCCACCTGCACCTCCTCTGTAAAAGCTTCTCTAGCCCTCCTCCCAATCACCGCTCCTCTCTTTTCTGCACCAGAACAGATTTCCCCATCCTTAGGCACCCAAGGCACACTGTACATGCCTCTTCTCTAACTCTTCAATAGTGTCATGATTGATTTCTCTATGCTCTGTTTCCCCAAGCACAATGTAGGCTCCTCAAAGAATTAAAGAACATCACAAAACTCCCTTCATAAGAGGAAAGAACATGAATTTTGGGTGTAGCAAAATCTCTGTTTCATTCTACATCCATAGCTCTCTGGTTGCATGACCATGTGCAAGTTATTTGCACCACTGGAGCCTCAGGTTCCTTATCTGAGGGATGAAGATTCCGGGTGTGGTGACGCACGCCTGTAATCCCAGCACTTTGGGAGGCCGAGGTGGGTGGATCACCTGAGGTCAGGAGTTTGAGACCAGCCTGGCCAAGATGGTGAAACCCCGTCTCTACTAAAAATATAAAAATTAGCTGGGCATGGTGGCACACACCTGTAGTCCCAGCTCTGGGAGGCTAAGGCAGAAGAATTGCTTGAACCCAGGAGGCAGAGGTTGCAGTGAGCTGAGATCGCACCACTGTACTCCAGCCTGAGTGACAGTGAGACTCCGTCTCGGAAAAAAAAAAAAAAAAAAAAAAGAATGGGGATAATTTAGTCTCATGAGGCATTTGTGAGGTTACAAAAATATAAGACATGGGAAACCTCCTAACAGAATGCAGGTATACTAAAATGTTAAAAAATAAACAAAAGTGAAGAGGCATTCATTCATTTCTCCTTTCTCCAAAATGTACAGCACAAAGTTTTACACATTATGCACACTCAGCACGTTTCACGTTTACTGAATAAACAAATATCAATATTTCAAACCCCTCCCTAGGCTACTGGCTCCACATGGTCATGAGTTATGCTAACTTTAATCATCAATCCCCCAAAAGCTGACTTATTCTCTGACTCTTGTCTACTGCAGGCACAGAAGCTCTGGGAATCACTCCCAATCTTTCTCCTTGCCTTTCTACAACGCAGATCACTCTTCAAGTCTTAATAATGCTATTTCCTAAAAAACTTAGACCCCTGGTATCCTTTCCATCATCACACCAATGCTGTGGCTCATACATCATCATGTTTCAACGATCCCCCAATTTGATGCTCTTCTTCCAGTCTTCTCCCTCCCCCATTCATCCTCCATGCTGTTACCAGGCTATTTTTCTACCCCAGATCTGTCCACCTCACTCCTTGGTAGTAATTGCCCAATGCACACAGTCAAGCTGAATCTTCCAAGCTTAAGTCTTGTAAAATCTGGCTTCAACGTCCCTTTCTGGACCCATTCCCAGCCACTTGCTCCTCTGGCCCTTTCTCTCCAGCCTCGCTAAACTTTCCTGAGCATGTCCTACATTCTCACTGCCCTCCGCTGCTGTACGCATCATCTCCTTGTCCGAACTATCCATCCCTGTTTCCTCTACTTGGCAAATTTTCCTCCAACCCTCAACATCTAATTCCAACATCACCCTTTTCCAGCTTTCCCGGGGGGGATTAATCACAATCTCCTCTGTGGTCCCGTACTATCTTGTACGCATTTCTATTTAAGCATTTATCCTATTGGTTTGGCTACACTGTCCTTATTCTGGGATCTCTTCCTTGGCTGTAACTCCTTGAAGACTAGAACCATGTTTTTAACAGCTCCAGTGTCTTGCACCATGCCTGGTACAAAGCAACTGCTGAAAGTAATAGTTTTTGTATTGTTTTAATTTGTCTTTATTTGTAAGAATGAATGGATGAATGAGATTGTCCAAACCTACTCACAAGTTTTTAACCAACTACTGATGTCTAGTGGTAATTCAACACACAGCAAACAATGCCTAGAAAACACGCTTGAGGCTTTGGATGCTAGCACAACAGTGCAGACGGTACAGTCTAGCAAGGTCTGTCCTAGGGAAGGGTCTGTAATTCACTTGTAGTAGAATTACGGTTAAATGACAAATCACCCTGAGCAACTATCCTAGGCAGTGCAAGACTGGAGATAGACCATGATCTCTAGAGGCTGTCATTTGCATTTTTATTAATCCAAGTAAAATATTTTACAGAGTTAATTACTTCTTAATTCTACACTCTTGAAGGCATTAAGGCAGCATGGTGTGGAGAAAGAACATTGAAGCTGGAGCCTAGAAGTCGAGACTGTAGAGCTGATTTTCAAATGCACTCAACGTGTTACCCTGCACAAGCCACTTTTAGAAGGCTGTTAAAAAATTATTCTGACACTGGTTAAAATGATTAAGTAAACTTTATTCAGGACTACTGCAATATGTAGAGAGACTACTGCAATGGGATTTTGCAGTAGGGGAAAGACAGGGCTCAACTCCAAATAGAAAAAGGAAAAGTGGGAATTTTTTATCAGAGGCAGAGGAGAGGTCAGTGGATGAAAAATTGCTAACAGGGGAGGGTAATTCTTTGTTACTAATCTAACAAGTTTCTTGCTGAATGCAGGCCAGGGTGATCAGATATTATCTAGATTATAGTGGAGGATGAGGACTTTCATTAGCAACAGAGGCTGGGAGATTCTGGCTAACATGACTTAGAAGGATTCTTGTTAAAAAATTGGACTCTTGAGAACATGCCCAAGCAGGGGAGCCTAGTTAAAAAAAGAGCTCAGAGGATCCTAACTCAAGTTTGGTTAAGGAAAGCATCTTTGTCAAGCTCCATTCCATCATTAACACAAGAGGTTTACTTACATAATCCTAAGGTCCCTTATGGGATCTTAAATTTTATTAAACCACCAACACAATGCTAAGTTGTTTTCCAACTATCATCTTTTTCTCATACTATCTATAGCAAAAGTCTTAGAAGAGCTAAATTCTCAGGGATCCCTGCAGGACTGATGGAAGTCACAACAAACTTCCTTCCCGAATCCAAATAACTCTCACAAAAGATAGTACGCTGATCATCACACATGGTCTCACTTTCACAAGCTGCATGACAGATTAACACTGACTTTGCTATTTTCCAAAAGTGGCTGCTGAAAAGAGGGACTGCCCAACAAAGGACACCCTCTATGTCTCAGTCTCCTCCATGCCTCTGGCAGGTTCTGCTCATTTGGTCTCAGAGGAACAAGTCCTATTTGATGAAGATACCTCAGGGAGCCTGGGAGCCTATGGAACCAACAGTGCCCTCGACTCTGTCCTTTCCAGGATGGCCACTGCACACTGCCCTGACCACAGCATTCTGTGGGCCCACTTGGCCTGGGGTGAGGGGCAAATGGTAGAGAGGTCTCAGCCCCATTGCCAGAGACATTTATGCTGGCAGAACTTGCTCTTACAAGAAAGCAAACCATCCTCTCTACTTTGTGATTCCAGACATCAGCCAGTGGGGTCACTTAGAGAAAACAGGCTCATCTCATCAATTTTAAAGCTAGCCTCCCAAATCCTGACACTAGGTTCATAAGACTGAAATGTTCAGAACACTGGAGCCATGACACCAGTGCCCTGAGCCAGGCATGGGCCTGGCACTCTGCCAGTTACCATTCTGAATTGTTCAGTGCACACAACTAACCTGGAAGGTGGCGCATGAGGTCAGTGTAGCCACGGGGCTCTGGCTCCTGTACCCTGGCTCCAGTTACCCCAACCCCACTCCACTGTCACGTGTGTGTGCACACACATGTGTGTCTCTATCCCTTGTTCTTTTTTTCTTATTATTTCCAGCACACAGAAAAACACAATGCAATGCCCATCATTTGGCCACTATTAGATTTAACAAGTGTTTGTGTGCATAAACAACACATAACCTTTTTGAGTGTTTCTACATGTACATAAGTGTTCTCACATAGGATATATGTTCAGCAGCTTGCTTATTTCACCCAACATTCGGCTTGTGAGATGTATCCGTGTTACATACCTAGTGGTCATTCATTCACTTTAACTGCTATCTAGTGTTTCAGCTTATGAATAAACCACTGCTTATCCTTTCAAACCACTGAGAAGTATTTTTTTTAATTTGCTATTATAAACAATGTTACAACAAACATTCTTATGCGTGGCTTCTTGTGTATTTGTGAAGAAAAGTTTTTCTGGGGTGACGTCTCTGTGTGGGTCACCTCAGGGCATAACTTCTACTTCACTGGCTATTTACAACATCTTCTCCAAGGAGACTGTACCTCCAAAGAGACACTGCTCCTTGGTTTCACCGCCTGCTCAGGCACCTGCTCATCATCTGGCAGGTCCTGCCAGCTACCTGTCACTCACGCTACTCTCCAGGTACCTGATGCTGACTGGCAGACTGGACATCCTCCCTCTTCAACTTCGTAGAGGTGCTTGGGACTATTCTATGGCATCAACTCCTAGTCTGAGTCCTGAAACTGTTCACTGAGTTCTTGTCTCATCCAGAGGCATTCCGAAGGACTTAGTGCGGACTGGTACATTGTGGGAGGAACCCCCAGTCTGACCTGCCATACACTTGGTCATTCCCACAGGGCCACTTTCCCACTGACAATTTCAGTCAGGAGTGGAGGTGTGAGTTATCGTATGCTTTTTACCTACCCAGCAAGTTCACTACTCCTCTAGTGATCTTCTCGGGGAGAGGCTGGTGGCAATAAGAATATGGGCTATTTTAAAAGAAAAAAAAAAAAACAGAAAAGACATCCAGTCGATGCAGCCAAGTCAGCCTCTCAGTAGAGCTGAACTGCAGCTCAACCTCCCTGTCCTAATGCCCCATTCTGGCCAGAGATAGACACTCTGCCAGCTCTCACGGGGCCATCTGATGTTCTCAATCTGGGTGAGCACATGGCTTTCCTTATCCAGTCAGCACCTTCTTCTGGTGTTTACCACCCTGGTCCTCAGTCCTCTCCTCATTTCTTCTCCTCTTCTTGCCCCTGAGCTCTGCAAAATTAAGGATCATTAACCCTGGCATCTTTCACCAGTCAGAAGTCATCTCCTCAGTGGCCTGCCTTCTGAGGGATACAATCTAAAACTGGCAAACAATCTAAAATTGGCAAACAACCACAGTTGTGGTTGTTCCTTTCCTCTCAGCAACTTCTGCGTTGCCATGTTTGGCTCATTCCTTTGCATATATTTATCAACCACGGCATCTGACATGGGCTAGGCACACTGTGCTTTGCTTCCCCTTTCCGGCCATTTAAAGTAGCTCTAGCTCAGGTTGGCAAACTTTTTTTTCCTGTAAAACAACCAGATAGTAAATATTTTGGGTTTTGTGGACCTCCGCCACAACTACTCAACTCTGACCTTTTGCAGCTCCAAACAAGCCAAGCACAATAGCAAAATGAAAGGGTGCTTTTGCAAAAGCAGGAGGGGTATGATTTGGTGGTGCTGCTCTAGCTGGTATCAGCTAGAGGTAGAGAATATCAGCCTCCACCTCTGTCCCACCCCCGAGTCATGTTCTCACCCTGCTTTTGTCTCTAAGACAACTTCTCAAGATTTCTGCCTGGATCTCTGATACCCTAGAGCATCCTTCCCTGCCTGGCTGCCACATCAGGTCAAACATCTGCCTCTGTCTGGCATTCAAGGCCTTCGTAGTTTACCTGCTTTGCTTTACCATTGCCTCCAATGTTCAGATTGTCTCCTTTTTTACTCCCAGCTCCAGTACTCATTGTACTACAAAGATCTTTCCTATAATTCCCACCCACGCCCTCCTCTGCATTTACACCAATTGCACCTAAGAGCTCCCTATTTATTCTCTGAATATACATGTGTGCTTTTGATATTTTCAGCAATTGCTAAAAGCTTCTCAAAAGAACAGTCACAAATGAATTTTTTTTTTAATTTCTGAAAGTGCAGAGCACAGTTCTACATAAAGAAAACAAGCAGACTGGAGTAGTACAAAGACAACTAGACTCAGAGCCAGATCTAGCTGTGCAAGCTTTTCATGTCTCTGAACCTCAGCTCAGACAATAGAGTTGTTGTTATTCAGATTCAATGAAGAGTAATAAGATACCTAGCTTAGCATCTGCTAAAAGCCCTTGTTCCATAAATGCTTATGGCTGTCATTTTTATGAATACCCCTGATTGTATTGTCCTCAAGGGAAATCACCTTGTTTTCTTTTTCTTGATTTGCACTACTTACACTTAATAGGGGTGAGGCACACGGATACCCAATAAATCATTAAAGGATCTGTGGACACTGTTTCCAATTGTCACCATAAGTGTATGATAAGACCCAGTTGCCTGGAGAATCAAAAGATACAACTATGCTTCCAAGTGCCAGGCCTTGGGGAGCACCCACTAGCAGCTCCTTCAGGTGTACTCCACTGAGATACACTGAGGATTGTCAACAATCAAAGACCATAGGCTATTAGGTGCTCTGGTGTGTGGTGAACCACAGCCCATTCCAAGGTCAGCGTCAGGAGTTCCCACAGCACAGCTCCAGACCAAAGACTTCTCAGAGAGTTGTGATGGAAAAGCATTAATGTTTCCCTCTGGCCTATTCCACTCCTCATTTTAGGGCCAGTGCCCAAAGTCACATTAATCTGTATCTTTGCAATGGCAGAAGCCCAGCCTGACCACAAATAACCATCCAGATAACTAATTTCAGACCTCAAGCCAAAAGTAAGTCATTTAAACAGCTTCATTCTCCAAGTGGGTATTGCCCCACCCTCTGCTTCAGAAACTCCACAGGAAGGTTGATGCCAGTGCAGAAGCTTACACAGCTCTCCCTGACCTCTTTTTACCCAACTCATGGCTGCATTGTTTAGTCTCACAAAGAGAGGCACAATGATACAGGATAATTAATTCGTCTCTATTTCCTCCTGCCCCCACTATTTGAATGAGAGCCATCACCGGTTCTAAATGCGGAAAATTGGAGGTTTGCTGTCTTTGGAGACCAGTCATGCAGAATTCATGGTTCGGATCAGATAAGTTGTAGACCCACCAGCAGCAGCTTCCCAGCACACGTCTCAGGTAGGACAGAGGCTGAAGTATATGGGGTTGGGCCAATATTCAGATCTTCAGTTTCTTTCTTTTCCTTTCTTTATTTGGTGTGAACACATTAGTTCTCACTGAAGACCTTCAGTTCAGAAAATAGGATGGTGAGTTGTTATATTTAGGTTTTAAAATGCCAAAAACTCTAACCTATCAGGCAAAAGACCTATTTGTATCATGCACGTAAGGGAAGGAAAGAAGCCCTCCAGGGAAAAGAAAGTGCACAAACAGGCCCATGAGAAGGTATGACAGCCCATAATTCACTGCATCTCTGTTGATATGAACATAACTGAATAACAATTATCAGGGAAAGGCTAAATAGAGTGTATTACACACACACACACACACACACACACAGTACTATACAGCAGCATTCAAGAGTAAGACAGATACCAGAGTTATTGACCTGAAAAGTCTCTAAGACATAATACTAAATATATTACACACACACAGTATATCCAGACACAACAAGGCAATACATTTCCATTAAGTTTATAAGCGTGTAAACAAATACATATAAAATCTAGTGGAAAATATATAAAACTACTAATAGAAGTTACCACTGGGTAGGGAACCGGGGTGGGCTGGGGTTAGGTAGCTAGAAGCACTTGAATTTACTTGTAATGTTGAGATGTTTTCAAACAAAAGTGTATCCAAGTATGACTCATGTAGTTAAAAATTATAGCAATAAAGTGATTGTTACCAAACAGTCACAATGTTAATCAACAAATTAACACATCTGTAGGAGAACCCAGTTACAGATAAGCTTCTGCGTTCAAAAAGGCAGACCAAAAGAATCACAAGAGGATTCATTTCAGAGTCAAGGAGATTTGGATTCAAATCCAGTCTGTGGAGCCTCAGACTAATTATATAAACTCATGTTTCATGTCTGCTCAATGGGAATCTAAATGTTGTGTTCTTAGGGCTTTTGTGAAGCTTATATAGCCCTACTATCAGAGGGTTCACTTCACTGTCTGTTGTTGGGCAACACCAAGGTAGACCAATAATATTATCACAGAAGGAGAAACTGCCTCACACATTTCTGGGCAAACAGCAGCTGTGTTATAGCTACATAACCCCCAGTGGACAGGCTAACGCCATCTCATTCCCACCATATCAGCAGTAAGCTACCAAAAGACACATGGGAGGATGGGGGGCCTGCTACATGTAATCAAAGATAGCCTCCAGCAGGTGGCCAACACTTAACAAATTAAAGTCCAGGGAAAACGAACCCAACTTTTCCACTAAGTTTTCCTGGGGAAAAAAATAATGAGGCCTACACTAGCAGGTGCTGGACAGTTTTAGCAAGGCATCACTGTCTAAAAAATAAATATGTTTATCATTTCTCTTTAAAATTACATAGAGCCAGTCGGGGCCCTGTGACATGTGCACAATTATGTCTGTTTGGGCACATCCAGAAACCTCCAGGATAAAATGTGCAGCCGCCCAATGAAGGAACATGAATAAATAGAGAGCCTTCAGACCACCTTCCTACCCTCAAGAAACTAAATTCTGTGTCCCACTCATCTTTAAATATTTTCCTTTTCTGTAATAAGCACAATGCCTTGCACATGGAAGGCACTCAATGCTTTCATTAATCACTTTTCAATTAATGCAAATACCTCCCCTCCCAGAGTCTTCAGCCCGGGAGAGAAGAGAGTGTCTCCTTCTGCCGCCATCCTCCCCGACGGAGCCTCTCATCTCACCTGCCTCTGCTTTCCCAGTGCTCAGCATCTTTGTCACTCTCAGAGAGCATCGTATCGGCTTTCTGGGACCACATCTTTTTCTCTTTTCTGCTGTTGTTTTATGCCATTATTTAACTTTGTGTGCATGACACTTCTTTCTCCAGACAGAATAAGGTCTTTGAAGTCAAGGGACTACCTTGGACGTCTCTTTTAACCCCTAAATCATGCTGAATAATGCCATGCAGGGTAAATCCTCAAACTGAGAAAATATGTCCCAGGGACTGAAATAGTCACATTCAGACAGATTCCCTTCTGACTGAAACTGTTCTGCTGTGAGAAACTAATAGCAAAGCAGATGCTCCTTTGTGCTGGACCAGTTTTACCAGTTGTCCTACTGGCCATCCAGAATAGAAAGAGGGCTAAAGTCTTCCAACACATGGTGTTTTCCAACACAGGCAAGAAGAAGAGGAAATTCCCAGTTTCCAAGGAGTGAATTACAGCTCTCCTTTTTGAGCCTCTAACACTATAGTAACTTCATCTCGTTTTGGGTCCAGAAACCTAAAACTTCATTTATCTCTTCCTTTGTAAAAATTATGGAGTGATTGCTCTGCTCTCTGTGCTGTGTTACATGCACATCATTTAAAACAATTGCCTATTGGATCCTACATTCTACACTGACTGTTCTTGACAACAGACCCGAGTAGTAGGGCATGAAAAACAATCTCAGTATTTTCTAAGCTTTCTTTTGAATGGCTAAGCAGGAAAAAGCAATTAGCTAGAAGTCGGATGTATTGTCAAGTCATAGAATATGCCTTAAACTATCACAGTGACTCTTAGAGAAGTGTCCCTTTCAAGATCTGAGGCAGTGTGCGCCTGAACCCACATGACATGGGCTGGCTCAGTAGACTGGTTACCACAGCCTTGGATAAAAGGAATGTCACACCCTAGAGTCTTTTAAAAAAAAAATACTGAAAATTTATGGTAGAAATACCCTTAAATTAAAAAAAAAATAATAACGCACAAGATAGCCACATCATATAGAAAAACTCAGTTAACATTTTGGTGTGTTTTTCTTTAACTCTTGTGTGTTTACAAAATTTGGGGTCATTATTTATAGAATTTGGGTCCTGATTTTCCATTTAACATAATATTGTAAGCATTTCCACATATTGTTACATATTTTTCAAAAATATCATTTTATTTTAAAGCCTTACAACATTCCAGTGTATGAATGCATCATAATTTACTTTAACTATCTTCTCTGGCCAGTTGGTCAGTTTCTAGCCAAAATCTTGTATTAAATAACTTGAATGTGTGTTGTCAGACATAAATATTTGTATGTATCATTATTTGTTTCCCTAGAATAGATTCATGTAAGTGTAATTACTAGTTCAAAGGATAAAAATTATCATTAAAGCTCTTGCTATAAAGTGCCTTACAGACATACTCTGGCCAGTCTGCACTTCTATTAACAATGTATAAAAGTACCAGTTTCACTGCATGCTTGCAACATTGGGCATTATCATCTTGAAATTCCTGTACATAGATGTTCTAAGATACCAAAGGACATACACATTGACGCCAAAGTGTGATAAAAATCTGAGACCTTTACTGTATCTCCATACCAGAATGTCTTTAACAGTGGTTGGTTCTCAAACTTTTATGACTCAGGACTCCTTTATACTTTTAAAAGTTACTAAGGACCCCAAGATATTTAATTCAAGTGTGTTATATCTAGCAATACATATTACAACAGAAATTACATCTGAGAAAAATTTACAATATTGACTCATTTTAAAATAACAATAACCCTGTTACATGTTAATATAAATAACATAATTTTATTTAAAAAACTATAGTTTCCAAAACAAAACAATTTCATGACAAAATTAGCATTCTTTTACTTTTCAAATTTTTCTTTCAAAGCTCTTTAATATCTGGTTTAATAGAAGATATATGGATTCTTGTATCTGTTTCTACATTCAATCTGTGATAATATCAAATATGCCAGGTAGCCTCTAGTAAACTCCACTGTACACTCATAAGAAAATAAGAGTTTAAAAAGCAGATAACATTTTATTATTATTAGAGAATAGTTTTGACTCTATCCATCCTCTGAAGAGAGTCATGGAGGCTACCAGGGGTCACTGAGTCATACTTTGAGAACTGCTGCTCTATGCAAAACAACTCCTGGGTCCCAAGAGGACTGTAACTTACAACATGCCTTTTTTTATTATTGTTAAATCTATGCCCAGTCGCGAATCTCCTCTCACTTCAAACCTTTACAGTTCAACTCCAGGCTCCTGTGTAAAGCCCTCTCATCTACCGTGCTCTTCTGTTATCTTTCCTTTCTCTGGTTTTCTATTGTTTTTATATATCTACAGCACAATTTGCCCTGTCCCCTCTGATTTCCATAGTCTCTTGTCCTCACCACAACTATAAGCTTCTTGAGGTCAAGGATCAAGACTCTGGCAGACACTTAGACTCTGTAATTAATTTCTCGGAAGACTGTCACCCTAAATCACTGTGGCATTAAGTAACTAACATTTGCATAGTGCTTTATACAAAACACTTTCTCTTAAAGCAGTTCACTGAATCCTCACTATGACCCTCTGACATAGATATTTTATCTCTGTCATAAAAATGAGGAAACAGACTCGGAGACGTTAAGTGACTGACCAAATGACAATCCTGGAACTTGAACCCAGGTCATATGATTCCAAGTTCTATGCACTCTACTTCAATGCCCGGCCATTTATTTAAACAATGGTAATTGAGCATCTGCTTCACAAAGTATCACATGGCAAGGGTTTCACTGATTCACCTGCTCAGGGGGTCTCCATGGTCATTTCCTATTGGAAAGCTATACAAGTATAAAAAGGAGAATGCTTGGAGTCAAAATTAGGTTAGAATTCCTGCTCTCCTACCTACTAGCAACACAACACCAAAAACACTGCCTAACCTTTCCAGGCCTCAGTTTCCCCATATCTAACATGGGCATAATAGTTGCCATCAAGCAGTGTTATTAGGAGGATTCAGTGAGAAAACCTACATAAAGCACAGGGCAAGAATCAGCTTAGTTTCTTGACAGGCTTTCATTCCTTCCTACAACTGTCTTACCACCATTCCCTGTTTCTCCTCTGGAAAATAACAATGACTTCACAAGATGAAGACAGCCACTTCCTATCATCTGAGTGATCTGACTATTGAACAGAAAAACATATTTTATCTCAGATAACTGGTTCTGGAGTCTTTGGAACAAGAAGGTTGCAGAAGCCAAGGAAAAAAGTATAACTGGAAAGAGAAGACAGCAATTTTCATGGTCAATCCATGCAAAAGCCTGCAAGGGCCTTGGCTCAAGGACCCTGTCCCTCACAGCCCACTCCCCTCAACATACACAAACATTCCTCAAGTCCATGACCTCTCAGAGTCACTGGAATTCAGCACTTTTCCAGAGATGGGTGCTCCCCTGGGTAAAGGGAGTGCTCAACTGGGCAAGTGAAGGTGCTGACAGGAGCCAGAGTCCCAGTCAGAAACAGAATGTATCTCAGCCAGTTAACAATCATCAGGACTGGCAGCAACATGGTCCTATCAGCCATCTTCAGTGGCTCACACTTAAGCATTCAGCAAGCCCCATGAGTTATGGTTGATTGGGTTTCTAGTCTTGTTGTTACAGACACTCTTTGTTTCCAACCAAAAACAATGCTTCACAGTTTGATTACTCTCTTTCTCTGTAAAATGAGATGGTTGGAATCAATGATCTCAAAAGTCCCTGCCATCCCCAACATTCTATGCATCTGATCAAGCTCCAAATGGCTTCTGGCTCCTTCCAAAATGCAGATCTATGCTCCAAAGATGCAGATCTGTCACCACTGAGAGGCCACTGAGGTCCTGCAAAAACTGCCTAAGTGAGGGCAATGTCTCTGGAGTAAGCATTCAGCTGTTCAAAGGTTTGCCAGCCTCTGCATCACCTAATCTAGGCACCAGTGGGAATACTGTCAGAAAGAATAATATGGTCTTAGGGAGACAAGACCATCTCTCACTAGATAACTAGAAAGCAAGGCATGAGCAAGGCCTGAAAGCCAAGGGCTGAAAAACATCATTTTAAATCTAATAACAAGACCACCAGGAAAGGCTGGGCAAGACGACATAGCACATTGGTGAAATTCAGAGACAGTCCTCTCCTGGAGAGACTGTAGGTGAGGGGAAGGTTTGAGGGGGAGATGGTAGTTAGGAAAGGGGCTCAAGAGTGCTATTAGATAAAACTCTGAGGACAAGGACCCTACTAAGTCTCCAGTGCACACTCCCTGATACATTGCAGGAACTCAATAAGTACCTTTAATGAATAAATAAGGGATAAATGAGTAGGAAGCAATTAAGCCAAATGGAATATATTACCAGAGTGGTTAAGTGCACAAACTTCGAAGTCACAGACATGGTTTCAATGCCTGGTTCCACCACTAGATACTTGTGTGATCTTGACCAGGTCACTTACCCTCTTTGAACTTCAGTTTTCTCATCTATAAAATGGGCAAAACTATCTAAAAAGTTTTTCCTGGGTTGTTTGGTAACTAAAGCAGGCAATGCACATGAAGCATTTATCACAATGTCATGCATATTATAGGCTCTTAATAAATGGTGGCCATTATTAATATGATGATGATGGTGACAATGTCAATGAAGAAGACAATGACATTTATTAGTGATAGAGGAGCTCAAAGTAAAGGAAGGAAGACTTCATGAAAAAAGTAGGCTTTGAAAGAGGGTTGAGTATTGGAAGGTCAACAGAAGACAAAGAGTATGCTCAAAGGCTTGGAACCTGAAAAATGCAAGTATTTTCAGAAGGTAATTAAGGAGACTGGGTAGATAATAAAATGTTCTTTCCCCGCCCCCCTCCCCCCACCCCAAGATAGAGTCTTGCTCTGTCGCCCACACTGGAGTACAGTGGCACCATCTCAGCTCACTGCAACCTCCACCTCCCAGGTTTAAGCAATTCTCCTGCCTCAGCCTCCCGAGTAGCTGGGATTACAGGTGCGTGCCACCACAGCTGGGTAATTAATTTTTTGCATTTTTAGTAGAGACGGGGTTTCACCATGTTGGCCAGGCTGGTCTTGAACTCCTGACCTCATGATCCGCCCACCTCGGCCCCCCAAAGTCCTGGGATTACAGGCGTGAGCGTCCGCACCAGGCCATAAAATGTTCTTACACGGGCATAAGAGGGGATAAGTTCAGATCAGTAGAATAAGATTATGTGGAGGCTCCTACATATCTGCTAAGAAGCTTGAACTTGTCTTACAAGAAATGAGATAGGAATATAAAGCCTGTTTGAAAGGACTAAGCTGTTAGTGATTTATATGATGGTTTGGTGAAGCATATGCTCCAGAGGTAGAAAGACTTGTCAGGAATCCATCTCACTATCCTGGATGACTGTAGGTTGCAAGAAATAAAAGACAGGTAGAAGAAGCATAATCTGTTTACTGGCATGGTCAGAGGTGAAGAAGAAGGAACAGGTAAAGATATCTTAAAGATACCAAACCTGAGTGCCTGAGAGAATTCTGTTATCACTGACAGAAACCAGCAGAGCCAGCATCTCTGTAGCACATTATAAACCAACTTTGAGAAAAAAGGAAAACATCCTAAGCTGGGTTCCCTAAAATCAGAGCCCAAGTCTGGGATTTGGAAGCTCAAGAACTATGGTGGGAGTGCTTTGAGGCAAAACCTAATGGGAGAAAGGGAAGCAAGACTGGAAAGAAGCAGAAGACAAACAAGGATGTGGTTTCCTGTGAAGCTTAATCCCCAGGGAGGCTCTGGGGCAGACACCTCACCACATACATGTCCCACTGTAAGGCAAGAGGGCTGGGCTTTTGTGCCCCATATCAGCTAGGCATTGGCCATCCTAGATGTAGGAAAATGGTAACCTCTGGAGATGGTCACAGCACTCAATGGCAGCTAATGGATGAGTAAAGAAAATGTTGACCTAATGCTTGGCACATTCAGCTCAATAAATGCCTTCTATTATTATTATCTTAGCATTAGGATGATGGCAAGATGTTCAAGATATCTGATGGATAAAAGAAAACAATTTTGAGCAAGTACAGTTATCTGCCTGGTATAACCCCTGTCTGGGAGAGTAATTCACTTCCCCTCCATTTCCTGACCTACTTTGTGGAAGCAACAGAAAGCTAAGTAGTTGTCATTTTCTGGGTTATCAACATTGGCCATGCAATTCATCCAAGGTGTGAGAGCATAACAGAAAAGTTAGGTGCAGCTTTCTACAAATGGGGAAAGTTAGGCTGTTTGCATATGAAGCACTGGATGTAGGTGGGAAAACTTGGCATGGATGCTCCATTTCTCCAAGGCTCCTGACATTGACTGCTAGCTCATACATCCCTGGCCTGAAACCCTCTCTCCTGGATGGAGCCTACCTGCGATGTTATTCTAACACATCTAGAACTCCATACAGCTGAATTTTCCTTTTATATGGCAGGAATCTCCCTGAAAGGATGTGTGTGAGTCTGTAAGTTTTAATGTGCCAGATAAGCTGAATTCTCTGTTTAAAAACTATATACTAAGTCCCATAGTAGAGAAGAACACTTAAATGAATATTTCCTCTGAAATATCAGGTCTGTCTGATGTAAAACATGCTTACATTTTATAGGAAGCTGCTGTTTCATTCTTTGGCCCAGAAATCAATCAACAGATGTTTACTGAGTCCCTATGGTATAAACAGAGCTATGCTAGATGCTAGAAAAACACAGCATATCTTGAGAATAGTAAATAGGTATCCAGGCTAGAGAATAAAGTGAGTGTAGGAATGGGAGGGCTGGACATGCATCTTGGAGACTGTATGCATTGAAGCAACTAACTGCAACAGCAAACAATACCAACATTTCAGTGACTTAACACTATGTTAGTGTATTTCTCACTCATATCATAGCCCAATATGAGCCAGCAGGGTGATGGGGGGAAAAATAGGGGCTCTGTTCTATGCAGTGCTTTCGAGATCCAGCCTCCTTCCACATTAGGGTTCTGCTCTCCTGTAGATCTTGGAAATCTCAATTGAATTGGTGAGTCCGAAAATGAATAAGCATGAAGAAAAATGTGGGAAGTGTTTTTGCCAGGTATGAAAGTGGCATCTATCACTACTAGCCTCTTTCCAGGGGCCAGATTTCAGTCAATGAATAAAGGCTGACAAATGTAGTCTAGTTTCTTGCCCAGGATGAAGAGGAAACAGGTTTAGTGAATATCTAATCAGTCCCTGCCACAGGAATATAACAGTGAGGTTCCAGGGTTTTGAAATTAGCATTTTATCTCACACATAAAAAAGCAGTTAATTACTTATGGCCCCCAAGGAAACTTTAAGCTAACTTGAGATACCCAGAAACATACCGTACCTACCAAAAGAAAAAGAAATACAATTTGCTGAGTCCCTATTCTTCATTCATTTTCCAAATATTCATGCAGTGCCTATAACTTGCCTGACACTATTCTAGATGCTCAGAATACCACAATGAAAGGAAACAAACAAACTATTGTGTTAGGCACTGTATAATAAGATAGATATTTTTACTTTTATCCCAATATTTCAAATAAAGAAGCGAGGCTTGGAGAGACCAAGAGATTTTCTAAAATTCCCTGATGTGGTAAGTGGCAAAGTGGGTGTCTGAAAACAGGTTGTCCTGACTTTAGAACTCACGTTCTTCAGATACCACACTGGCTCTCAGACAACACTCCATAAAGAAACTGGAAGCCTTACAGAGAAGCCACCACAAACCTACCCTAAGCCATTCTGTCAAGGGTGCAAAGGAACAGATGTGCAATCATGGAGATTTAACGCTCTATTTCCCACCTCCACTAGAATGAATGAGCTGGACTAAGTGAATGTGAGAAGTCAGTATGGGCGGCAGATATCTGAATGTGTGTTCTCAAAGGCTGGCTGGCAAGCATACGTGGGACTACCCCCAGGCAACCCATTCAACTCATTAGCGACCAGAACAGGACTTGCTCAAAGCATTCCATTCCCAGGACCACCCAACAACTGCTTCACTTGCAAGAAAGACTATATTCTGCACTCACAAAGGAAAAATGAAATCAAACTTTCTCTCCAGTTTCTGTCATTGATCTCTAAAATTCCTCTACCATTCCATAGTTTACCAAACTATAAATGTATGAGAAAGTCAGGGTTGGATGCAGGGGAATCGTACCAACAAAATTAAAATCTTAGATGAACATACAGCTTTTCAATGTGAAAATTATCCTGCTTTTAAAGAGAAGTACATTGATAACTTCAACTATCTATAAAATTGTCTTTTGAAGCATCTTATGCATTTTAGTGGAACTGCTCTTAGAGGCTGTATATACTGTGATGCAAGAAGCCTCCCATCTCGTAAATGTTCCGCAACAATCTGTCCAGTGCCCAAAAGTCTGTCTTTAAATATTCGTTCCTTTGGGTTTGAGATCATTGTTGGAAAAGACAAAATTCTGGGAAAGGTATTAAATAGTCAATGACTTCGTGTGAATTATATTATCAGATAATTGTTTTGTATGAGGACAGGGCCCTAGGACGGGGTGAAAACATGATAGGCCCACAGACTGTTACCTTTTGTACAGACTGAGAGAGTAAATCCCTGTCTCCCAAAGCTTAACAAAGCTGAAAGTATTATTGCTTTGACATTCTCAGGGATGAGTTTTTGCCTCAGTTTTGCACATTAAATGAACTGACCTGCCCCTAATGAGTTTCACTGTATGAGCAGCACCCAAAAGAGTGAGCCCAGCATGCTATAGTCCAGCACCTAGTTTTAAACCCATCACCTGCCCTAAGCTTGCTCTCCATAATTCCCATCATAATTCCTGGTACTCTAGACCAGGGGACAGTAAGCTTTTTCTGTACAGGGCCAGAAAGCAAATATTTTAGACTCTCTGAGGCATATGGTCTCTGTAACAGCTACTCAACTCTGCCATTATAGCACAAAAGCAGCTATAGACAATATGTAAGTAAATGAGTACAGTTGCGTGCCAGTCAAATGTTATTTCTGGACACTAAACTTTGAGTTCACCTTATTTCTAAGGTATTACAATGTAGTATCCTTTTGATTTTTTTCAACCATTTAAAAATGTGAAAACTGTTCTTAGCTCATAAGCAGTACATAAACAAGAAGTGGGCTACATTTGGCCTGTGGGCCACCACTGGCTGACCCCTGCCCACTTGCCCCATCCCTACTGTGGTCTCTCATTACTTCTTGAATCACACAACTGCTCTCACTGACCTTGCAGCACCAACACTCCGCTTTTCCCTCAGATCGAAATCTGCACTCACACTTTAAATTATGCCTTCTTTGAGTTGCCCCTGGCCTCAACCATTCCAGTCCCAGGCCCCTATCCTGGCATTTGTCCTTGGTGGCTAGCATGCCCAGCTGATTCGCTGTAGCTTTAGTGGCAGGAAATCAGGTAAAATGGCTGCCAAATATTGTGATTCTTTATTAAGGCCAAGGTCTTGTGGATCCTTCCCATTCCCTGAATTCCTTTGCCATAAGACCAGTGAGGAAGTCTGTGTCCTGCAAAGAGGGGAACTGACAACTCCAGCAGCAGAAAAGATGCACCAAACCCATCTGGTCAGTGCAATCTGGCCAGGCCCATGTGGCTATTATCACATTGCCTTAGAGCAACAATTTACCTCCAGGTTGGAAAATGGCAGTAATAAAAAACAAATGGACTCTGGCCAGAAAACTCCCAGGAAAAAGGGACTCTGCATAAAGAGAAATGGAAGAAAAATATTTATATATGTATATAAAGGGAGACATTATCTTCTCCTCCAACACATTTTTCTGAAGTTACAAATCTATGCTTTCTATTTATTCCCATTGGAGGGAAAAACAAAAATCCTGAGATTCATGAGCAGTGCTGTTTATTTATAATCCAAGAACTCTCCTCATACCATATGGTTGGGAAATTTACAGAGAAACAAAGTGAGAGGAAATTGCCTGCTTAATTCAATAGCTTTGGCAAAGCTAGCAGGCAGGGAGAGCATCCAAAACTCTTCCCCCATCATACATGTAAGCGTGTACAGGCATGGAGACAGACATTCAGGGAGCAGAGGGAGCCCTTTCCTTGCCATCAAAGCCAGAACTCAGTGTAGTGGATGAGAACAGCTGATGAGACCAGCTGAGGAAGCAGGAATCATTATATTCTTGCACATCCCTGAGACACAGATGCTGTGAAAAGGAAAGGAAAGGAGAGTGTGAGCTGAGGGATGCTGGAGCAGTCAGTTTCTGGACAAAGAAAGAAGATATACAGTACATGAGAGTTCTTAGGAAGGCAAAGTGCACGCAAGTCTCTACAACACTTTTTTTCTCCCTGTTGTTAGTGGGACATAAGAAGTTTCTGATTCAGTCTCTGCTGCCCAACATGCTTTCCAAAAAGAGGCTATCACTCACTACCTTTAAGGGATGGGGCACGAGTTTGCACCTGAGGGCATCTTTCCTCTGCTGTCTACCCTCTACTTTCAGATTAATCACAAATGGAGAGGAAGGAAAATATTTGGGGTTGAAGATTATAAGTGCAAATGAAAATCATGCCCAGATGTGGAAAGGGATTGAAATAGGTAAAAACAAAAATGGCATGCTGGGTGAAGGCAGAGGAAAGCCTCAGCTCCAGCCTCACCTCCTTGAGGAAGTCCTCCCTGACAGCTCCTGTCATGGTACTCCACCATCCCCTGAGTGTCCACAGCCCACAGGGCCTGTTCATACCACACTGGAGCCCCACACCTGCTGCCTGCAGTATTAGCTGCTTTTTAATATGCATATGGCTGCTCCTCTGGTTCACTTCCCACTTCTATTTGGATGACTCCCAAACTTTATCCAGCTCTAGCCTCTCCCATGAGTGCCTGTCCCACATTTCCAAATGCTGTGCAATGAACCGTTGCCATTTCAATTCCAGGATGCTAACTAAAACTGAGCTCGTCACTTCTCCCATCATCATTCTCCTGCACCTACCTCTCCTCCCCCACTTCCTCCCTCCTTCTCCTTTTCCATTCCCCAATTTGGTAATAGGACCAAATCCTACAACTCTTCCTGGTCCAAAACATTCGAATCATCATGACTGTTCTTCCATCCCTCACCTCTAATTGCTGCCAAGTTTTGCTAGCTCAGAAATACCTCGTGCATGGGTCCTTCTTGGTCTCTCCTTCTGTACAATCCAAATTCAACATGATCAGCTGCCTGCCAGGCTGCCTGGGATTCTCTAAGACTCCCCTAGCTTATATTCCTCCACTTCTGAACCTCCTCCTCCTCAGTCCAGGTTTCAGAGTGGTGTCAAATTTGCCTTGCTAAAGCACAGCTAAGGAGCACAAAGTCATTTTCCAGCTCAAGAGCCTTCATGATTCAATATTTGCTGTGAAATATAACTCTGGTATTCAACACCCTGTCTCCACTCACCATCACCACCACTGCTCATTCCAATCCAGGGTGTTGCACACAGTTGAATCTCAGCAATTGCTTGGTGATTAAATGTTGGTAGATGAAGAATACTGAAAAGAGCAATGCCTTTTTCCCTCCTCTAACACTATTTGAGAGAAACGCTGCAGTTGAGAGGACCTATGGGCTTATAAAACTGACATGATTTGACAGTTACATGTGTGTAAAACAATGATAAGAAAGCAAAGGGTGGAGAGAAGAAAGGAGATTACACAAGAGTTCACGACAAATAACAGAGAGGAAGCCTGGTCAGTGAGTAGCTGGAATAATTAAGAACAAGCCCCCAAAAGGTCTGTGAAAAAAATAGAAAGGCCTGGGCAAGCCAGGAAGAAGTAATTTATTGACAGGGAGTAGACATAGCTAAACAATGAAATGAATTTGCCGGTTGGGAGTGTTGCAGAAAGGGAGGATGGAACAGGTGCTGGAGAGAGCCATAAATTTGTCACAGGAGAAAACCCGAGGTCCTTATCAGAATGGGTGAAGGAGAGTCTCGGAAGAGCAGAAAGCTGACCAGACTACTAAGCATGGCAGTGCTTGCCTGAGAAGGAAATAACTGGAAAAGCAAGGAGCTGTTCACTTCGCCATTGAGATTGCTAGATTCTTTGCGACATGCAGAGCAGATACGGCAAGGCATCTTGGGCATTTGGAAGGAAACGAGCCCTAATTCATAGAAACAGACTCTACAAAGGACCAGTTAAAGGTCTCGCACCAGGGGACTGGGTGGCCAAAGTCAGTCAAGGCATAAAGGGGGACAAGTGGGACAAAAGGCTTGTCATCTGTCAGAAACATTGAAAACAGCCAGTACATGCCACTGATAGAAAATCTCTCTACAAGTGAAATCAAACTGGAGTGAACTGCACCTTACCTTGCTCTGATTACCAAAGCTGACAAGGCAGACAGTGTGGGGAGTGGACAGAAGAGGCCATTGTTCTTGGTCATTCTATACTCAGAATGAGGTTATGCTTTGCATATGGCGATGCCTGGGAGACCGACTACCCTTGGAGATTTAATTCCACAAGTCCCTGCTGAGTATCTACATCAGCCTTGCATTACGTTACTCTTTTACAAACACAAATCCCAACAAGTATAAACCAAATACCTGCCCATTTTCCTTGGGACCCAAGTCAATTATAAGTAATAAAGCAAACGAAGTCCTGGCTCTCATGAAGCTCACAATCTAGAGTGGGAGGTAGACAATGAACTAGTGTGCTAATAAGTAAGTTCAAAACCTGAAACTATGACGCACAATGGAAACAAACAGGGACCATGACAGAGACTGAGAGAGGGTAGCTCCTTCTAAAAGGAGATTCCATTTAGGCTAAACCTGAAAAATTGAGTCATGCAAAGAGTTAAATAAAGAGCTTTGCAGTGAGAATGGCATGTATGAGGATCCTAGGGAAGAAAGAGATTGACTTTTTTAAGGAATTACAGAAAGGCAGTAAGGCTGAAATACAGTGAGCAAGAGAGAGAGGCACGCAATGAGAACACACTATGTGTTACAGCCTCCTAGTTTCACACTGGGAAGACATAAAGTGGGAGGAAAGAACTCACATGTATTAAGTACCTTGTGTCTCAAGCAATAGGAGAAAAAAAAATTTTTTTTTTTTGAGGCAGAATCTCACTCTGTTGCTCAGGCTGGAGTGCAGTGGCACGATCTCGGCTACTGCAACCTCCGCCTCCCGGGTACAAGTGATTCTCATGTCTCAGCCTCCCAAGCAGCTGGGACTACAGGCACACGCCACCACGCCCTGCTAATTTTTTGTATTTTTAGTAGAGATGGGGTTTCACCATGTTGGCCAGGCTGGTTTTCAACTCCTGACCTCAGGTGATCTGCCCGCCTCAGCCTCCCAAAGTGCTGGGATTACAGGTGTGATACACTGCTCCCGGCCAGATACTATTTAACCATGGCCTTTGCCTTTACCTGTAGAAGCTTACAGACAAGTAACATATGTGAAACAGAATAGTCAGTCATGCAGCAGATGTTTTTATTGGTCTTGATGTGGTAAGAACTGTGAGTAAGGTAAAAATCTCACTTCCACCCTCGGCCAAAATAATACCTAATCCCAACTAGCTTAGTGCATCTCCCTAAACACAGCACTGAGCTAGTCCATTACTATTAAGTTATTAGTATACTTACAATCTAGGTTTCCTAACAAGAAAGATGAACAGACCCTGAATGGACATTTTAACCATCAAGCTGGAATTTTTAAGGGCCACATGTTTTTACAACTTCCAGCAGTATAAAGTTGTAAAACTTAAAATGAGAATCTTCACAAAATATTCACGCTGACAGTCTACATCTTCACTGAGGGGTCACAAACCTATTTAGAGAAAAATATGTTTAACAAATAAGGATCAAAGAAGAGCAGCAACTCCATGAAGTTCATTCTCTTTGTGATTTAAATCTTGTCTTTGAAGATCCAGGAGCCAATTCATTACCTTCGGAGGTGCCAGTCATAGTGTGTGTTATGATTGAAAAAGCACCAACCTGGAAGAAAGAAATCTGGATCCAATGCTAGCTCTGCCACTAATCTGGTTCAGCAAACCTTAGGCAACAACTCACTTTTTTGGACCTCAGTTTTATCAGATATAAAATAAAGCATAGGTACTTCTGATTCTGGACAAGAGGGAGTAACAGAGAGTGAATTTACCCGCTCACATGAAACAATTTAAGAACTAATAAAACATATAAAACAACAATTTTCATGTCACTGGACACCAAGACAATGAAGGAGAAGCATCCCTAAGAGACAGTAAACAAATTCAGTAAGCCTTGTAATTGCCCCTTAACCCTGCATGGACAGAGTTTTCAGGCTACATTAGGGAAAAGTAACTTAGGTGAAGCCCAGTGATCTCCCTGAGTTCAGCAGACAGAACAGGAAAGCCTAAGGCAAAGCAGCTAGAGTTTGCAAGAAGCAGTACTGAAAAACGGACAGCTGCACAAGTAGAGAGAACTCTGGATATACAGAGCGGACTCCCTATCCTACTAAGTCTTCAGCTGAGTATTGATCAGTGCATCTATGTGAAAAATACCCAACATCAGAAAAAGAACCGCCTGAAAGAATTAGAAGGAACAATTCCAGAAGTTCACACAAGGCCAATAACAGTTACTGTTACCATAAGCCAGAGTGGCAACCCTCATAAGTCATGGGGAATCAGGTAGAATACCTCAGAAAACTTCCCGCCTCAGTAGTGGGGCAAAACACTTGTAAACCCTAAACAAAACACGTGTAAGAATTCAACTGTTTCCAAACAACATAATCATGTCCCAGAACAAAGCTCAATAAAATTTACAGGAATTTTAAAATATCCAGCACCCAATAAGATAAAAATCACAGTATCTGGTATCAGATAAAAAATTATTTGGCATGCATAGAAGCAGATATCTACAACACACAAAAAGAAGAAAAATCAATTAATCTAAATCAGTAGTTCTCAACTGGGGGTGATTTCTCACTGTCTGCATCCTGGGAGCATTAGTCAATATCTGGAGAAATGTTTAATTGTCGTGACTGAAGATGGGACTGGCATTTAGTAGGTGGAGGACAGGAATTCTGCTAAATATCCTATGATGCACAGGAAATCCCCTACAAAAATTATTAGCCACTGAAAAATGTCAATATTACCAATGTTGACAAAACTTACTGAAAACCAGGTCAGAAATGACACAGGTGACAGAATTAGTAAATAAGGACATTAAACCAGTTATTTTAACTTTATTCCACAAGTTCAAGAAGCAAGAGAAAAAAGTGTACATGCAAGTAGAGACATGAAAGATATAAGAAGACACAAATCAAACTTTCAGATATGAAAATTATAATGAATGAGATGAAAAGTACACTAAAAGGGATTAATGACAGATTAGACATTACAAGGAAAAGGTAAATGAAATTGAAAACACAGCAATAGAAAGTGAACGAAACATAGAAAAAATAAGTTTTTTCTATTTATTTGCATACCAAAATGAAACACAAAAAAAAACTGAGGAAAAAATGAACAGAAAATCAGTGTGCTGCAGGACAACATCAGTTGTAATCAGAGTCTCTAAAAGGAGAAGGAGGTGTGGGGGTGGGGCAGAGAAAAATATTTTAAGAAATAATGGCTGAATATTTTCAAAACCTGGTGAAAACTATAAGTCGATATCCGAGAAGCACAAAAACTTCCAACCACAAGAATCATGAATAAAACAACATCAAAGCACGTCGTACTCAATTGCTTAACATCAGTGATAGAAACATAAGAATATAGAAAAAAAGATATATGGAATGGAACAAAGCTATGGATGACAGAAGATTATTTTATAGAAACAATGTAAATGATAAGAAAGTACATTTTTAAAGTTCTGAAAGGAAAAATAAGCCAATTAAATTACATTTCTTTGATAAACAAAAGCAAAATAAAGGTTTTCTAAAACAGATGAAAGAACTATCATCTGTATACTGGTACCACAAGAAAATGTAAAGGAAGTCCTTTAGGCAGAATTATTAGAATGATACCAGATGGAAATATGTATCTACGCAAAACAAAGAGCACCAGAAATGGTGACTACATGGATAAATATAACTCTTTCTTAATATTCAAATATCTTTCAAGAATAAACTATTTAAATAAAAAATAATAATGTATTGTGAGGTTTATAACATGCATAGAAATAAAATGTATGCCTCTAATTGTCCAAGGGCTGGAAGGAGAGTATACTGTTTTAGGGTTCTTGTGCCTTTTGTGAGATGGTAAAATGTCACTTGAATCTAGCCTGTGATAAATTAAAGATGTGTACTATAAACCCAAAAGCAACCCCTAACCTGACACAATAAATAGTTATACACAGCAAGTCAAAAAGAAGATAAAATGGGATAGCAAAAAAAAAAAAAAAATACCATCCAAAAGGAGGGAAAATGGAACAAATAACAATAGGACAGATCGAAAATAAAGAGTAAGGCAACAGATTTAAACCTAAAACATCAATAATTACATTAAATGTAAATGATCTAGAACTTTAATTAAAAAGCAAAGATTGTCAGATCGGATTTAAAAAAAAAAAAAAAAGCACAGGAAATCTACCACAAATATAAAATGTCTACACTCCTCACTGGAGCCTTTAGAGTCTCAACTAGATGGTGTCTAAAAGAAATGCACTTTAAATATAAAGACACAAATAAGTTAAAAGCAAAAAGATGGGGTAAAAAAATATATACCAATAAAAAAAAGAAAAGCTTAAGTAGCTATATGAATACCAAGAAAAGTAGATTTCAGAGCCAAAAAAACAACTACCACAGATAAAGAGAAATATTTTATAATGATAAAGTAATCAATCTTTCCAGAAGACATAACAATCCTAATGTTTATGCATCCACTAACAACTCCAAAATATATGACCTAAAGTAGGGAATAGGTAGGGCTAATATTCAACGGTAATAATTTTAAAACAATTGGATTTTGTAAATGGCTGTTGCCCTCGAGGCCCCCAAATGTCTTCCAGCCAACTCAGTCACTCCCCAAGGATCTTCCCACAACTCACAAACTGAAAGGCTATAACACCTGTGTAACATAGATCCTCCCAGCTAACACCTGTATAACATGGATCCTCCTGACCCTATTTGTCTTTCTCTACTCTGACTGATTTTGTTTTTCTCTATGTGATTGATTGGTGTCCTGTCATACCAATTGTTAAGTATTTAAAATGTAACCTCTGGACTTAGATGGAGGTAATCTACAAATTTCCTGCCATTTCCAAGGTTTTATTCTTGCCTTTATTTGAGTCAACATAGAAAAAAAAGGTGAGTACTGGAGAGGTAGTTAAAAGTAGTGAAATAAGAATGGACAACATCTTCACTTTGCATTGGTAGCACATGTAGATCACATGTTTTTAGAAACATGGAAAACAATGGACTCTCCTACTGGGCCACTTCACATTTTCCACTGAGTACCATAAGGTCTGATCCTTAACAGGAAAATAGAATGAAGCCCAATTTCTTGGATCGGCCAGCATTTGAGTCTCCTGGTCCAACTACTTAGCCAGTCACACTTTGCTCTGGTGGTAGCTAGGGATTTATGGATTTGATTTTAACATTTAATTTTCAGTTTTATTCTCAGAAGCAGGGGAATAAAAGAGTAAAATCGTTTAAAAGAGGTTAACTGTTACAATTGTATGAGACTCTAAAAAGTAAAGGTAAGGGGAATTATTTTTACAATGCTCACTAAAAGAAATCTATGATGTCTCAATGCTGCAAGCAAAAGGAAAAGAGGTCCAAGGGGAGAGCA
This sequence comes from Homo sapiens, assembly GCF_000001405.40. NCBI lineage: Eukaryota > Metazoa > Chordata > Mammalia > Primates > Hominidae > Homo > Homo sapiens. Next base: position 104,888,067 of record NC_000010.11, on the reverse strand, counting down.
CAGCTTCCCAACTGCCTTCAAAAAAAACACACCATAAACCCAAACTCTTAGAAGCACTCTCATTGGTCTCATGCTGTCTTCATGGGCTTGCTCCGCCCCCGCCCCCCCGCCCCCACCATGTTGCTGGGAAGGTATGGAAGATAAGAGAGATAACTGGTCTTATACTAAATGTGCAAGCATCTGTACTTAGACACCTCATGCAGATCCAGCCACTGCCAGATCTGACAGATGCAGTAGATCATGTATGACAGATACAGAACTTAAAACATCCACAGAAGCATAAGTAGAACAACAAAGTCATAGAGGTGAGAATAAGTGAGCACAACTATCAGAAGTGGTAGTAGCTGAAAACAATCCAGTTCACATGCGATCTAAACAAAATTCTGGATGAGAACTACAACCACCAACATCACCACTTGGGGATCTTGAGGCAGACAAGATCGCAGGGTGAGCACCCAACAACCTGACCCAGAGTGACAATTCCACCCTTTCCTATAACCGGACTCTTGTCTAGAAGCTGCATTCTAAGTAACAAGCCACCAGGAGGAAGTCTAAACTCCTCACTGGAGCCTTTACAGCCTTCTAACATCCCTTCTTCTTTCCTCCATATCAGTAACTATATCTTTAGTTATTCTTATGCACTCCCACTCCATGCCAGCAATACTGAATGACTCCAGGTCTCCCCAAGATCCATATTTGTTTCCAATCCCAAGATTTTGCTCATGCCATTCCTCTTTCTAGTATGTCCTCTGTACCTCCTCTCTGCCCAGCTCTTTCTTATCCATCCTTTCAGCCTTAGCTTAAGCTACTCGCACCCAAAAAGTCTTCCCAACCACTGCAGTCCACAATTACCATTTTTTATCCTGAAGTCCTTTAGCATTTATGAACTGCAAAGTGTCTATGCCATGTGTTCACAGAAGGTTTTAAATTTTCATATAATCACTGCATGTGAATCTTTTGTCTCCCCAACTAAATCATAAATCCATGTAAAAGAGACACTCTACAATGAATTATTTTCCCTACTATACTTTAGCAAGATATTCACTAAATTACTTGCTGAATGAAAAAATTTGAATCACTAGGATTACCAAATACTCCCACATAAATATTACTTTTAGAACACTTTCCTGCAGCCAGCACTGCAATTAAGCTCACAGGCAGGAAAGTGAATAACCTGCATATGTTCTAATCAGAAAGTTGGACCAAGAAGGTAGTGGGTAAATTGTGGAAAGAAAACCTCAAGCAAACCTCAAAATTGTCCCCATCAATAAAGGAAAAAACATTTTATTTAGGAAGTCTAGGAACAAATATTTTCCCCACCTTCTTTCAAATGTTAAATTAAACATAAAAAGATGGCAAGTAGATTCTGCCTTGCAAGTCATTTCCCATCAATGGCTGCTGTTTTGGGCTCCCACCTAAAGAAATATTTTAATTCTACATCTAGGTTTAGGGGAGAATGTAGATAGATAGATAGATAGATAGATAGATAGATAGATAGATAGATAGATAGATGATAGAGTTATATATTATATACACAACTGTATATATTTTACGTAATGTATTATATATATACATATAAATAACATATGTGGTATCTGGACATATTCTGTGTATCTGCCTATTCTGAACACACATAAACATATATGAAACTAAGTTCATAAAGTAAATGGAATAATTCACCATTATCCCTGTTATAAAGATATTCAAATGCAATTTTCAGGAATACTGTAAAGAGAGAAACACCACATAAATAAGAGAATTTTAGAAAGGCTACTAAGAGTAAAGGAATGCAAATAGATTTGGCTGCTCACATACAGGGCTAACCAATCATTATGTATCATGTACCCCAAAATAAAAGCCTCCACCTCCACCTCATTGCATAAAACCACAAATCAAGTCAGTCTTACTAGAAAAAAAGTATTAAAGATGCATTTAAGGACTATGGAGCATGGAGCCAACAGAGAAATTCTAATCCTCCTGCAGCTGCTATCTATTAGCAGCAGGGTGTCTCAGACTATCACCTGATATTTATGGTTCCTCAGTTTTTTCAGCTGTTAAATGGGTTATCTTTTACCTATATAAAATGTATTTTCCATCTCTAGTGTTCCTGCTTGACTTTGAGGATTGTTAAGTCATCAGTCACAGAAAACAGATATAACTATATTCTTCTTTTCTTTCTTGCTCTCCCCTCAAAATATTCTCATATCACTGTTTCAACTATTCAGCTTCAGATTATGAAAGCTAAGAGAAATTCTCAGAACTATTAAGGAAAAATGTCAAAATCCTTCGTAGTGCTGAGGTGCACTCAGACCTTTCCAAGAATAATGGGATAGTCATCATATGTATGTTCCAGCTAGTTTGATACAGCCATCTGCTTGACATCACATATTCACATAAGTAGGATGGCATGAGAATGGGAAAGACGCAAAACGAAAAATATTGTTTCATGGTTATGCATTCTATATTTGAGGGAAAAAGTTTTTCTCCTAAGCATTAATACTCTGCAAGCATTTAAAAAGATGATGACCATTAACACTGTTCCGGTCCTAACAAAATTAAAGTACATAAAGATGTACTTTAAAAGTCCTGCTGAGTACTTAATACCGTATTGCCACAAGGGCCACCTACACAAAGGATCTCTGAGAAGGAAAGGAATATTTTGAACATTTTAAAAGTGTGTCTTGCTCACTTGAAACACAAGTGTGTATGCTCTCTTAAATCTACTAAGTCTTCCTGGCAGCACAAACTAAAATCTGCTGTCCTTGAGATCTTTGTTGTTAAGATCCTGAAAAGGGCATGGCTTATGATTCCAAAATGTCCAGTAGACAGAAACTTTTGACAGAGGCATCAGTGTTCCACCAGGCTGTGCCCATGAGAATCTACAAGAAGACCTGAGACAGTGCTCCCTGTGTGGGTGAGCAGCAGCCCAGTCTCCTTGTCATCAGCCCAGCTTCTGGACAAAGATCTGCCTGTCCACTTTACTCCTGGCATGGTGCCTGCTACTTGATAGATTCTCAGGAACTCTGTTAAAATACTGAATTTAAAGTTTAGTTCACTCACACTCTCCTGACCTCCTACCATCTTCAAAGAAGCAGAATAAATAGTGTGAGAAAAACAATCTAGAAGCAAAAAATGAAAGAGATGCTCTGGGCAGAATAACTAGTCCAGGTCCACTAGGATTGGTAGCAAGCACCCCTGGAGGGACATAGGAGGAAAAAAAAAAAGCTAGAAAAATACATGAGATCAGATTATGGAGAGCTTTGCTGATGGGTACCTGCTTTTCTACCCAAATAGCTATCTATGAGAATTCAAAACTATTTTAGAAATGTCTTTTTTTTTCCCTTGAACCCAAATGTTCTGTTAAGTGTGTTGAATTTTGTACCCAAATTACCTCTCAAAAAGGTCACCTCCTTCCTATACCCAATGGAACCTGATCCTCCCTTCTCTAAGAACAAACTTTCACACACTTCCCATACAGTACAACATGATTATTCTTCCTAAATTCCATCTCAAATACTCATCCAGTTGAAAACCTTCAATAGCTCCCCATGGTCTGCTGACTGCATCCTTTCCCTGGCACCTAAAGCTCACTATCCTGTATTTTCTCTGAACTTTACAGTACTGTATATAACGCTAAAAGTCTCTGACATAACATATGAATTTTTATATCATAGATCCTAGATGTTGGATTGCTTTATGTCAGTGGTTAGATCTTACTTTTCTGTCTCCTCCAGGGTAAGCCAGCAATGAGCAGTCTCGACGTGGTTGAGGAATGAATAAATGAATGAGTGAACTGAGTGACAAAAGCATACTTACATTAAATGTCTCCTCTCTCCTTTAAAGATATATTATCACCTGCAGGGTTGCAAACTGGAAACTCATGGGCTAAGTCCTTCTAAAAATGTTTGACTTGGCCTGCCAAGAAGTATTTAGAAATTTAAACTTGAATGATTTCAGAAGGGTAAACAAATCTTCTGTTGACCATAGGCATTGATAACCCTTCTCTATTGCCTGCCCTGGTTTGCTACAGGTGGCTGTACCATCTGTTTGGTCAGTTCTCAACAGATAGGGTAGGACCCTTTCCCCCCCCTCATTCCACAGCAGAACAGTGGATGTAGGTAAGTTTCCTGAACCTCACTGAAGCTGTTTGCCACAGGAAAAAGAAAACCCAGGAGTCACCACATTGGAGTGAGCAGATTTGACAGCAAAGGCAGGAGTCTATGGGAAAGAGCTTCCTAATTAATCATAAGCTCTGACAAACCTACCTCCCAGCCTCCTTAGAGGAAAAGAAGTTGAATTGGCCCAGCCTGGCTTCCTAATACTTAAGAGGCTCCAAATGAAAAGACCCCTGTCTCCTTTCAGAGCATTCAAAAGCTTAAAAGGGGAATAGAGTAGGACCAACAATAAAAAATAAGATATTCCTCATAGATACCAGCCCCAGTTAGCTGCTTTGAGCGGTATCCCTAAAGACTTGACCCAAAGAAGGCATTTTTCTTAGCTGAGACTCTCCACCAAGCTTTTTATGATGCTAATAAATGAGGTAAAGTCTAAGGTTTTGCCTTTAAAAGTACATATTTCAGAGTTTTCTTTATCTTTCTTCCATTCCCAGTGAATCACTCACAGTCTTCACATAGCCTTTGCTCAAAGGCACTTAATCTTCTCATCTAATGACACCATCTACAGAAAGAAGCCGCAGTGTCTCCATTCACCAATAGCCAGATCAATCATGTGTCTCTAAGAAAATGAAGTCATACCAAGATGGTTTTTAACTTTACTGAGGGGTGTTGTTAAGACCTCAGAGACTCTCACTGCTGAAAGGCTCTGATAGCTTGTGATTAATTAGGCAGCTCTTTCCTGTAGATTCCTTCCACCTCTGCTGTCAAATCCACTCACCCCAGTGTGGAAACTCCTTGGCTTACCAGACCCTGTGGAAAACAGCTTCAGTGAAGTTCAGGAATCTTCCCGACATCCACTGCTCTGCTCTGGAATAAAAAAAATGAAGCTCCTACTCCGTCTGTTGAGAATTGACTGGCAGGTGGCACAGCCACCTGTAACCTTAAAATGTGTGTCCTTCCTCCCTGTGATTCCATAATGTTAGTCTCCTGGAAAGCAGAATGATTTCTTCCACACTTCACCAAAAATCAGCAGCATTCTCTTTGAAGTGGAAGAGAGGAGTCAAGAGAGGAAATATTATGTGCTAATGAAATAATGAATTAGCATTCCTTTTTCTAGTACAAATGTTCACTAGCTTTTCTGATATCTTCAAAGATGCTATCATCCCAGTCTGTGGCCAGGAGTGGCACTGGGTGGGGAGATGGGAATAAGCAAGAGGACTGGGCTGTATCAAATTGGAAGGTTGACCAAGGAAATAAAAAATCATAGTGTATGTTATGGGTATAGGAGTGGCCATCTGGATGTATCTTCCCTAAACAGGAGTGTTGGGTCAAATCCATAAACATATTTCCCAATGCTTTCTCTCTCTGTGGGCCTCAGGTTCTTCACTTGTAAAATGATTCTGTAGAATTCTACAGTTCTAAGAGGCCATGCTCCTTCCCCAGCACAAACAATGAGACTATATTTATCAGAATTGCCCTTCAAAACCTTAAGCATTCTAAGGATACTTGCTTCATAAGCTGATGCTCTGATAGTCATTTTTTCCTTTCTCATTCCAAACACTAAGCTCTGCTCTAAGAGTATCTGAAGCCAGGAGATTTCTTTTGACCAAAGAAATAGTCACACTTTTGATCATGCTTCAAAGCCAAACAAAAAAATAATAAGTGACTTGGGAACCTCCTTTGCAATAAATCTGGGCATTTCAGAAGCAGTCAGATGTTTCATTCCAAGATGGATTAAGAACAAAGCAGAGGTATCAGGTGAATCAGGTGGATCTCTACCCACAATTTGTTGTGAAAAGAAAATCCAGATATTTACTTTACTCTAGAAAACTGGGGTATTAATCAGTGGCAGATCAGTCAAAGGGTCAAAACCCTTTAAAGGAGACTCTGCCTCCTAAATTTCACTGTGCATCCACTGAGCAGCTCATCACCTCTAGCTTCATACCCTATTTGGGGATTTGCATTTTCCCAGTGGGAAACAGGGATGCTTACCAACTGCTGAAGATGCAAAGAGTTTTTAAATCCCTTTCAATCCACATGAAAACTGTGTGAATTCCTTAAGTATTGTCTCCATTTGACCAGTGTGAAAAACTGAGCCCAGAGAGTAAAGTGGCTTCTCCAAGGTCACATGGCCAGTTAGGGATGGAGCTGGTGCTAGCATCGCAGTCTGATGTTACACCTCATTTCATAGTCTTTTTGCTTTGCTTGGTTTTTGACGCAAGTTACTACACACTTCTTCAATCATCCGTAGATCAAAGTCTCTGCCTTTATAGCTGCCCATGTGTGTGCTTGTCTATATTTAAATAGAAGCAATTGAAAAGGGAACAATACCCACCCTTCCATTCTTAATATAAGATTCTTTAATCTGTTACTTTTTTCTCTATTAAAAGAATTCTCTTTAATCAAGGAAAAAGGCACAGACCCTGTGCATGTTGTAGGCTCCCTCACAAGTTTGGTCTTTGCAATTGAATATTTCCATTTAAATGTTCCATCGGTTCAATCAAAATGTTAATATTCTGATTAAAAAGTATCATTCTATGCATTACTAACGGGCTTCTTTCCCAACTTTTTCCCTCCAGCAAAGCACTGAGCTAGAGTTCACAAATAGACAGGCCATTTTGATTTAAAGAGGACAATTGCACACCACGAAGCTACAGTCATTGATCAGTAGAAATATTTCAGGAGATTAAACTACAATCTATATGCACTCACCCATATTTGTATCTCTCATTGTACTGTGCATGTAGCTATCAGACAGCTGCTAAACCTCTGTGTGTTTGTAATGATCAGTGGAACCAGTATGCTAGCATCTGTCCTTTTAAATCTGCATTAAATATGGGTTTCCTGATGTTATCGGGGAATGTAATTCCTTTTTCATACTTTGCTGCATAAATGATGCTGAAGTTGGAGCAAATAAATAATCATAGTTTTGATTCCAAGGCATTATCTCTCAGATTTCAGAGATTATATGTTTTAACAAGTCAGATATGCAGAAAAATCTCAGGAAATTTGAAATATTAGTGTCTTTCTCCCCTGGATACAGAGTGACAAACACACAGTTTTGAAGTCCCATTGTGACTCATGTTGTGACATTCCCACTGCAAAATGGATAGCTTGTGAAGCAGGATCAGCTCAGTAATGACCGCATCAACACGTGCTACCTCTGTGCTTATCTGCATTGTAATATTACAGAGTAAGGCAGGGGGTCAGGATGAGGGAAAGCAGGGTTTCTAATAGAGGGCTGGATAATGTACTTGAAATGTTCTGCAAGAATGTTTCCTTTCTCCAGCAGACGGGGGAGGGCCTGCTGGAGGCATTGGCAGAAGTAGCAACCTACGGGATAAGATGTTAGAGGTACCAAGGAAGCCCCTGCCCCCAAAATGCTTCTCCCACCTGCTCTGACAATTCTTTTAACACAAAGCAGACTTTTAATCCTATAATTAGGCATCAAACACATGTATTCCTTAAGGGCAGACCACAGTGATAAACTCAATCATGCCTGAGCATCAATACCAACTAGCAGATTTTGAAAGAGAAAAGGAAAGGCAGGGAGCATAGAACAGCCAATGGACAAAAGAAAGGTCCCACTGGGGGAAAGGATTGTTCAAGGAATGGAAAGACTGAGGAGGGAAGGGAAACTTTGCTGTCCAATAGTTTTTCTCTGTATTTCTATTTTTAAAAAGATGGTAACAATGGCTTTTATTGTTAAATCCTAAAGGTCTTTTACAATTCTCATTACGTTTTATTTCAGTCATTGGTTCATTTATGCCACATGTGTTAAATATCTAATAAGGAAGTATAATAAGGAATATAAGAGGAAGATAACGTAGGCTTGCCGCCCTCCAGGAAGTTATAGCCTGGTTGGACAGGTGGTACATGGTTATTTAAAATATAAATGAAATGATGAGGAAGTGAATCAAAGTGGATTGGGTCCTGAGAGAAAGGATTAGAGCTGTGGAATCCCCAGCAGCTCCAAGGCTTAACACCTCCACCACCCCAATCCCATCCTGAGAAAGAGGTGGGGGATTAAATTCACCGGATTTCATCACCTCTCTTCTAGCTATTGCCACCCATTGATTCTACCCAGGGCCTCTGTATAGTTTTGTGCAGGTTAAGCCATCCCATCAAGGGGAAGCGTGGGTCTGAAACCCAGCCTGTGCTCTGTTATGCAAGCCGTGAGCCCTGGCTCAGGGCAGCACCTGTCTAGAAGAAAGGATGCCTTTTCTAAATTCAGCGGAAACCCCTTTTGCTCATCAAGTGGCCCTCTCCAACTAGGGGAGGCATCTTTGTCTGGCTTGCACAAAGGCAGTCAATGGGCTCATAATGACTAGCCCCACCATCTTTTTCATTAGCATGCTGGTGCTCAAAATAATAGCCCCTGAAGATGTCCAAGCCCTAATCTCTGGGGCCTGCCAATATGCTCTTGCAAAAGGGACTTAGCATATATAGTTGAGAGTAAAGATATTGAGATCAGGAGATTATCCTGGGTTATCCAGGTGGGCCTAATCTAATCATATGAGTCTATACAAGAGGAGAATTTTTTCAGCTGCAGTGGGTCAGAGAGTGGTGAGGTGAGAAGGACTTGGCCTGTTATGGTTGCCTTTGAAGATGGAGACAGGGACCATGAGCCAAGGGATATAAGCAGCCTATAACAGCTGAAAAAAGCAAGGAAGTAGATTCTCCCCTAGATTCTCCAGAAAGGAACACAGCCTACTTCACCTTGATTTTATCCCAGTGAGACTTGTACTGGACTTCTAACTTACAAAACTGCAAAATAATAAACTTCTGTTATTTTATGCCACTACATGTTGGTAATTTGTTACAATAGTTTTAATAGAAAACTAACATATGCTGATCCATCATAATCTGTCCATCCTAAAGTGCTCCAAAGTTGAATCCTAACTTGTAGCAAGTCTCAGGAAAGACATGCTGCAGTCTTTTATAACACAAATCTGACCCTGAGAACCACCGAATTTGCTGATGGAGTAGGCTGGGGCTTACCAGAGGTTCCTGGAGATTTGTGATACCTTCAGGGTGAGCCCTTCAAAAACATCCACTGTGGCACTGCTGGCTGGGATCAATGGTCGCATCTATGCCTATGTTTCCTAGAACATCCAACACATCGTGCAAATCCCTCTAATTCTCTGTATTTAAGCCCTCCATATTTGGAATACATACAGTGCATTCAGACTGAAACATGACTGATAATGGCATAATTTTATGTACTTACATTCCAAACCACATATTATTTTTTCATGCTAATATTGGATTATGTTATTTTTAAAGGCCCTATAAAATATTTTAAATGGTCACATTGTATTTCATCATATAAAATACCTAACCCTTATTCTAATTGGGAGATTCTGCTTTTTATCTTACAGATATCTTTTCATAAATAATACATACAGCTTGTGTGCACACACAATTAAAGATAATAAACACAGAAGGCAATAGCTCAATTTTTTTTGCAGATTTTGAGTAAATCTTCTTGAACATCAAGTACCTTCTATAATAAAGTGAGCCCTTTGCCCAAAATGCTTATATAATGAAATTCTCCATAGCCCCACCCCTATCATCCTCCTTTGCTCATCATAGCACCTTTTATTTCCCTCACAGAATGTATTACTAGCTCTAATTATGTTGTTTTATTAATTTATCCCATTGCTTGTTGTCTGCTTCCCTATAAGCATGTCAACTTGTCAAGAGTAGGGTCCATGAATGTCTTGTCCACATCTGTATCCCAAGAAAATGGCACTGCTCTGGAATGAAGTATGGGTTCAACAGATATTGGCCAAGTGATTGAATAAATTGTGAAAATCTCTATGGTTACATTCTTGTTCCTGAGCTAATGGAAAAAAAAAAGAATTTCATAAACAAATGCAATTGAAGAATCTGTGTATATTTCCCAAAAGTTGCATTCCACATATGCACTGAGATGATGGTCAAGATATTCAGTACAGGCACATCTGAAATCCCTTCTGGAAAATGGTGAGGTATATATGTATAAATAAGTAAACAGATTTTCAAAATCTAAGTATTATTCCTAAGGAGACCTCATAAGAAAACTAGTTTTATAATTTAGAGAATAGAGAAGACTTTGAAAACTATCATAATGTTAAATATACAGTTTCCTATGTTTTAAAACTTAGGAAAATGCAGAAAACCATAGGGAAGAAATACTCTATGTGGTATCTGACTCCTTCTCAGGAAATCTTTTTCTTATCACCTGGCACAATTTCCCTTCCTGTCTTCTCTTAGCCTGTTTTCTGTCCTTATATGGTATTCCCTTAAATGGCCTTGCATTGAAATGATTTGTATACATCTTTCCTTATTTAATTCTGAGCCTATTGAGAATGTGACCAGCATCTATATTTTTTTACTCCTATGACCAGTTCAGGCCCAGACACACAGGGCTTGAAGGAATAGCAGACAGCAAGATACATTACTGGGGTAGGGATTATATTTATTGAAAATATTTTATGAGTCAAATATCTGTGCACTTAATCTTCATGAGAGGCACTGTAAGTGTATCCACTTTACATAAGAGGATACAGGTTCTGAGGGGTAAATAAATTTTTTAAACAAGAAACATTGATCACTGTGGATTGGAAGGAACTGGGGCTGGGCAATGAAAGATGGAGAAAGTGAAAAGGCAAAGAAAGGGTGGAAAGAAAGACATTTAAGACGAAATAATAATGTGGATAACCAGAAGGCATGCTGGATAATGGTGACTGGACTAGGTGAAATACGGGTTAAGAATTACTAGGAAACAGTAGGTGTTGTGATTAAAAGAGGAAGACCTGGCTGGGTGCTGTGACTCACAGTTGTAATCTCAACACTTTGAGAGGCCAAAGCAGGAGGATTACTTGAGCCCAGAAGTTCAAGACCAACCTGGGCAATATAGGGAGACCTTGTCTCCAAAAAAAAGGAAAAAATAAATATAAATCTTAGCCAGGCATGGTGACATGTACTTGTGGTCCCAGCTACTTAGGAGGCTTGGGCCTGGAAGGCTGAGGCTGCAGTGAGCTGCGATTGCTTTGCTATACTCCACCCTGAGTGACAAAGCAACATCCTTTTGAAAGAAACAAAAGAAAAGAGAAAAAAGAAAAGCAGAGAAAGAAGAAAGAAAGAAAGAAGGAGAGAAAGAGAAAGAGAGAAAGAAAAAAGAAAAGAAGGAAAGGAAGGAAGGAAGAGAAAGAAAGAAAGGAAGGAAGGAAGGAAGGAAGGAAGGAAGGAAGGAAGGAAGGAAAACCTGGACCAGTTCATTGCATGTGCAATGTGACAGCATCTGACAATGGTGTGGAGTTTTGGGGGCATATGAAAGAGGAATACTCCTAATTCTACAGTCAACAAGGGTCAGAGCCATGAAAAACCCTATCCAGGCTTCTAACTTTCAACCCAGGCTCTCTCTTTCACAGCATCCTGAGATATTACTATTTTCTGGAAGGATCAGAAAGCTTTTCTGGGTCTTTGATATTGTGCCTGTGGAAACAGATCTATAAGTGCCAGACAACCTCTGTGCTTCTACAGATTAATGTGAAGAGTGCATATCTAGAAAATATTTTGGAATCTAACTTGCTTTGTTAATAGCCAAATGAAAAGGCAGAAACCCAAAGATCAGGGTGACAGTATTAAAATAAGTACCATCCTCCATCAGCCAGAAAAATCAAGGCAAGTAATTAGCACCTGATGACACGTTTATCCAACACAAACCGGCTATAACAGGAAATGATTAAAATCCTTAGAATAAATCTCTTTCAGGAATGTTTATTGCCCTTAGTGACTTACAACAGTTGAAGTCACAGTCCTTTTTGTCAGCAGGCTTCACTGTTTTTCTCAAGGAATGTCAGATCTAATAACCATGTCAAGGTGAGAAATACAATTTGCTACTTTATTGGCATTTGACCTTGAAGTATGGAGTAATAGTAACTAGGGGAAAAAAACATGGTTCAGAAACTCTCAGATAAACTTTAAGAGCCTGTGGGTTTATGTTTGGCTGTATTATTTTAAAAACAGCCATTTTCCTTTTGCCATGTGAGTCTATTTAGCTATTCTAAGGCTTCACCTTCATGTTATAGGGTCTAGAGATTCAAAACCACAAATAATTATACCCATTGTGAAGCTTTGCACTAGCCATCAGCCTAGCACTTACTCAATCAGACAGGCATGCAGGTTTTACAATTTAGAAACACTTCTAATATGCACCATTGAGCCCATGAGACCATCTATTTTTTTGTAGACATGGGCAGGCCAGCGGCAATAACTAACTAGGAATTTCATTAGAGCAGCTGGGTCTCACTCACAACTTATAGACTCAAAAGTCTTCAACATTTCAATGCTGACATTTCAAAGGTTTATCTTAAGTAAACATTGATCTGAAGCTCCCAGTAATGAAATACCAACTATCTTTTAATAGTCTACTAAGTTCAGAGACTACATACACTCATCACTTTACAAACATTAACTAATTTAATTATCACAGTTACTTCACACAGTAGACCCTATCATTGTGCCTCATTGTGCAGATGAGAAAATTGAAGCTAAGACAAGTAACTTGTCCATGGTCACATAGCTATTTAATGGCACAGTCAGGATTTGAATTCAAGAGAGACTGCTCATATAACCCACTACTGTAAAACCAAACTGCAAATAAATGCATATGTCCCAAGATGGCATCCTTGATGCAATGCATATCCCACTTCAGAAGTCAGGGTATAATTGTTTTCTTGATTGGTCAAACAACACTCTTGGCTTGGAAATATCTACCAACTGACAAACATGATTCCATGCAAAGTAATGAGTAGGTAGAAGGCTTGATTCCTTTCTTTGAAGAGTATATAATCTTTTAAGGAAGATAAGACATGTGACTCGAGGAGAGTAAGGAAGAGTTGAGAAAATGGAAGACATCATGTATTCAAATGAAAACACAAATTCAGTGAATGTAGGAGTGTAAGAAAACTGGATAAATAGGAGACTGTGATCACATAGTGTAATTCAAGGATTCAAGTTATTATGGTAAGGTAGTTCCAAATGATGATGAAAACCAAGATTTGGTGGTGCTGGTAGGCGGCTGCAGAAGAGAGCTGAAGGGTATGAGGTCAGAGACCCAAAGGTGTTTTCTAATATTGATAGAGAAGTCATCAAGAAGGATTTCCCAGGATGTGATGCAGAAGAGAGCTGCAAGCCAGGGATATGGTAAAGAATATGATGAGATGTACTCAAGGTTAGGTGTGCAAGTTAAAGGAGTAACAGTAGGGAGGACAATAAGCTTCCTCCATTATGACACCTTCACAAAGCTGGAATATATAGTAGCCATTCCTAATTCTACCCATCCCAATTACATATAAGGTTTACTTCCATTTGTTTTTTTTAATAAAACCCTACCATTTAAGGGTTTCCAGAGGGCCCCTATAGTTTTGATATTCTGAAATTTTGGTGAACTAGTCAGTATACAAACATCAGAAAGTGTAAGTAGTACACGTTGGAAAGGCATCAGTATACACAATGCAGAGGGCAATAAGGCCTATAAGATGTTTATTATAACAGTAAGAATAGCTCTTGGCAGCAGATATTCGTAATGTCAACTGGAATGACAATGTGTGCTAGAGACAAGATAGCAAAGGAAAAATGGAGGTAGAAGAGAAACCCAGAGGAATGGACATGTCTTCTTATTGGCAGATCCAAATGGCAGATATCTAAAACCAAACTAGAAACTCTGAAAATGCCCAGTATTTTGTCATTTGTCAAAATATGTCAGCATGACCAAATCCTCTTAAACAAAGAGGAGGGTGTGAGAAGGAAGCAAACAAGATAAGCACACTGCATTTTCACCCTTATTAATGTGATTTCTTTGCTTGGCCATGTTCAGGATAAGCTCCCTTCACTGTGTTAGCCTTACCATGGCAGTGAATTTTTAATGGAAATCAACTGTCCAACCGTATTTGTATTACAATAATAACCTGAAAGAACTTGTTTAATATCAGAAGACTTAGTGGAGCAGATGAATAGTTCCAACATGATATCCATGGGATAGCAATTCAATTAAAAACTGCAAGTAGTGCTGGAGAGAGGTAGTTATTGTTCAACACATACCACAGGGCCCTTTGCTGAAGCTCAGCTATTAGCCGAACTGGTTGAGAAATTCTGTTTTCCTTTATGACAATCTGTTAGCTTGTACAAAGTTAAATTAATAAAAACACCAAACTGCCTCTGTGGTGGGAGAGCAGAATGAGGCCAAGGGCTAGTTGCATATTTTATAATTATGGATTAAGTGCATTATGCCAAGCAAATTAAAGATATGCCACAATTATAATAAAAATGAGAGATTGCATATCTCCAAATGGTGACTGTATGACTACTGCATCCAAAAGAGAATGCTGGTGCTCTGCCCCCAAAAGGCAATTGTTTCCACTATAAAAAAGGAGAAGGAAATTACTTTTCATGCACACTTTCCTTCTCAACAGGTATAACAGTCCTTCTTCTGAAGGTAGTCAGCTCAAAGCTAAATGGGGCTGTTGATTGCCTGTGTTCAGTGCTCAGAACTGGCTCCCACTGCTCAACAACTGTACACATTCCAAGAGGAGCACTTTGGTCTAAGTGGAAGCTGTCAAGCCCATTTAGGAATGAATGGATTTCCAGCAAGGATGATCTGGTCAGCCAGTAAGGAAGAATGAAAACCAAGGGTTTTATCCCACTGAGGAAAAATGGGTCCTGGATGAAGAAATTCAGCATTCTGCATTCCTTACTGCATTTCTGCATCAGAAACCCTTGCTATGTTTCTATTTTCTGCCAGCTTTGAAAACAAGAAACAAAAGCCCTTCTTGTGAAAATGACGGACACATTCGTGTGACCAGCTCTCTGCTGCAGAAAGGGCAAAGATTCTTCCTGGATCTTTCCTTGCTCTTTTCTTGACACATTTACTGTGTGGGAGCTTACTCAAATGTGTATGTTTGTCTGTGTGCTTGTGTGTATGTGTGTGTACATGACTGTAAACCATACTCTGCAAATGGCATATCAGTCCTTCCAGCCATAAGCTTTCACGCATGGCAAATGATGATGCTTTCAGCACATAACACAATTTTCCTTCTGCCAAGACTTCAGCATATTGTGCTTTTCAGAAAACAAACTTTTCAACCCATATTGTTTGTAATGGTGCGTGGGAGTGGACATGAGCATGCACATTTGGGCAAGCACACCAGACACAGAGGAGATAGAGCTAAAGAAAGGAATCTCAGTGGAAACCCAGACATCCCCAGAGGAGATATCATTGCAAGAACTTTCTCCTTCACTCGCCTTTGTTATTCACCCTCTATTTCAGAGATTCCTAAGTTGGCTCATGGACTAACTACATCAGAATTCTTGGGATGTTTGCAAAAAAAAAAAAAAATCAAAATGAGGATCCCTAGGTCCCATCTCCAACTTTCTGAATAAAAAGCCCTGGAGGATGGGACCCAGAAGCTGACACGTTAGCAGGACTGTAAATTGTTGCAGACCGGTAATGCTGATGCACACTCACATTGAGACTGAGTCCTCTATTTTCTTCCCTGGGCCAAAGACTTCAGCATGCAAATAGATTCTCAAAAATACTTAGTCAGGAGTATCAGACACAAACCCCTCATTTTCCTAACAATGAAAAGCCCAGGAATGAAAACTGACTTGCCAAGGTCACAGGGGAGTCACTGCTGGAGTTCAGTCCAGGCTGAAGACAATGCCTGCCATTTATGATTTAATGTACAATTGAGAAGTACTTTCCCAATTATGATTACATGCATCCCTCATGGTACATTGTAAGTTTCATGTGGCAGCTATTATCATATTTATATTACAGTTATGGGTAGACAGACTTGGAGTAGGATTTGGTTGACAGAGGGTATGTATACTTTGTGTACTTTATTCAGTCAGGTAGATGAGTATTGGGCTACATTTGTGAATCAATGGGTCAGTGTGAGCAGAGTAGTCTCAGGGTGTGAGAGAGCAGAAGTCACCTCCTTGCCTACAGTACAGATGTGTTCCAATCAGTTAAGACTACCACCAGAAATAAGACGCAAAGGGGTAAAACTGAGTCCTCTCAGCAGGAACTGAGAGTACTAAGCAAGCGCATCTCACAATCCAGGATCTGCCCATCACCCCAGGAACTCCCTGCCCTCACCTCGACAGGTTTCTGGGAAGGGCAAAAACAAGATCACCTTTAAGTTGTGTCTCAGGGGCACGTGTACCTCAGGCTCAATTCACAAATATTGATAGAAAGGATTCTAGCAAGGTGGCTCAAATAAAAATGGATCAAGGATTCAAAACCAATTACCAAAGCATAATCTCACTCAGATGGGCACGCTAAGAATAATTACTCTCCATAAGAAAAAATGTCTGTTGTAGACACATTGCAGAAGGCTGCATAATTAAATACAGCCACCAATTCTCATTTATCTTTCTGGCAATTTGCATTTGAGGGTCCACCTGCATTGCCAAACGCCCAGAGCTGGTGCACACAGTGGGGCCAAAAGCCAAGGGCTCAAAATTTTCTAAAGTAGCAGAATTCTTAAAAGGACACTGCACCACTGATGAATTCTGACTCTTAAAATTGGTTTGCACTCCTAGTTTAGTTTAGGAGCGGACTTTCCACTTTTCTGGAAAGCTCCCTCTTTTCCCTTTGTGTAACTAAATCCTACTCATCCTTCAAGGTCTAAGTCACAACAGAAGCCTCTGTTCCCTGTGCATTGGTTTCTTTGTCTGTAAAACAGATATAGTTCAAATACTCACCTCTTGGATTACTGTGAGAATTTAAAAAGTTAACCCACATGTAATTTTCAGATAGTGTATGACACACTGTCATCTCTCATATGACTTCATCCCGTGGTTCCTCTGGGAAGCAGGGGTTTGGTTCTTCTCCAACTACTCGTATCCTGAAGCACAGAGGGTCATCCCTGCCCCCATGAGTATGGAGGGCTGCTCTGCCCACTGTGCTTTCTGCTCACTCCTGTGCTTTGTGTGGCTGTAGTCTCTAGGCTCCTAAGGGCTGGTCACCTTAAGTCCTTTGACCTCCACTATAAAAGATGTTCAAGAGAATGGTTGACAACCTAGTCAGAAGAATGCCTCAGAGGTGGGTCCATTGGGAAATTCCTTCCGAGAGGGACACTGAAGTCAGGTAGTAGGATAAGAGAATAAGAGAGTGTGGGATGCCTCATCCCATTCAAATCAGGCTGGGCACAGCCCTGCGAGGTCATGCTCAACATGGGAAAATGACCGTATCACAGCCAGGCTCTCCCTCTCCAAGTGAGCCATTTCTCCTTCCCTCCACTCCCCTGGTTATCCTGAGGTCTACCCTCGCAGATACATGCCCTTTGTTCTTTGCTGTCCTCAGACCTAAAGCAACCTGATCCATCATCCTTTCCCTAGTCCTCCCTCAAAAGTCTCTCTCCAAACCTTCCCTCATGCTGAGGTGCAAGGGGTGGATGGCAGTTTTAGGTGTTACCTTTTTTTGAAGTAATACAATAGTTGTTAACAAGAAAAAAAAAAACATTAAACAAATAATGATCTGTCATTTTCATTAAGGGGCTAGCATAGACTCTGGCACAAAGGGCTCAATAAATACCTGTTGCATAAATGCATGCATGAATGAATGAATGACTCTCTACTCATTGTCATTTACTAAAGGTGGATCAGTGTTTCTCTTTCCTAAAGATTAAGATTGGCTGAGAGGTGCAGGACCAATATATAAAACCACTAATGAAAGAAAGAAATATTAATTTAAATGTGTGCTTTTATTTACATGTATTTCATCTGCATGATAAAAAATATGGTAAAATGTGCACCATCCTAAGAGAATTGTTGACATTTATAATATGCATCAATTCCGTGAGAACAGAAATAATGATAATGACAGCAATAGAGAGCATTTCTAGAGCTCTTATGCTATGCCATGCATTATTCCAACAACTTTCCATATATCTACTCATTCATTTACTCCTCAGAGCGACTCTACGTGATAGATGCCATCATTATGTCCATTCTGACAATGAGGAAACCAAGGTACAATGATGGAAAATTACTTGCAGTAGCTAATAATGATGATGCTCTAGACTCTAAGCTCTTCAGGGCTAGCAGCTTGCAGTCTTTTGGCCTCTACTATAAAAGATGTTTGAAAGAATGGTTGACAACCTAGCCAGAAGGATGTCTCAGGTAGGGAGAACTCAGGTAATCAGGACTACATAATATGTGTAGTAATTACGCATCCTGATATTCCAACAGAGTCCTGACTTCAAACATTCAACCTAGCACATTTAAACATGGTTCATGGTGTGTTCTGCTTATGGTTTCAGAAGAAATGGTTGGTGATAGTGCCTAGAGGGTCCATCCGAAAGATGCTGTGATGCTTAGTTTTATGTGTTAATTTGACTGGGCCACATGATGCTCAGATATCTGGTTAAACATTATTTCTGAGTGTGTCTGTAAGGGAATTCCCAGAAGAGATTAGCATTTGAATTGGTAAACTAAGTCAGGCACATGGCCCTCTTCAATGTGAGTGAGCATCATCCAACCCATTGAAGGCCTGAATACAACAAAAAGGCAGAGGAAGGTTGAATTCTGTCTCTCTTCCTGACTGTTTGATCTTCAACATTAGTCTTCTCCTGTCCTTGGACTAGAACTCACACCACCGACACTCTTGGTTTGGACACTCTGGCTTTTGGACCCAGGCTGAAATTTACACATTGTGAAACTTTTCAGCCTCTAAAATCACATAATCCAATTTTGAATACATATAAATATATGTAATATATGTATATAAATATATATTTGTATATTATATTTCACACATACACACATATCCATCATATTGGTTCTATTTCTCTAGAGAACCTTAACATAGATTTTAGTAGCAGAAATGCAGTGGTACTAGAGAATGAGTTTTCTGAATTGGTTCTGGTGTTTCTGGAATGGGCTCTCTAATCTGATTAGTTTTAAAGGTGCAAATGATGCTTCCCAGTAGTGAAGAGAGCACTGATATAGTCCATGGCATGAACTGAACTGGTAATAGAAACATGAAAAATATTTGCATTGGATACACCTAATCAACAACTTACACAAAGCAAAAGATGTCTGACTGGGTATATGATATTTTCAAGCATTTTTAGAAAACTAACAAATATAATGAGATTGGCTAGTTGCTCCAATGTTGCTAGACAAAATGGTAAAAGAAAAAGCTGAGCTCAGGGACTCAAATTCCCAGCATCGAGCTCCATATAAATGACTTGAAGGTGTCTATGTGTGCCCTGAAGGAAGCCCTTATCTCCTATAGTCACAGGGCTGAGCCTGCTGAATATCAAACATAGAATCTCACCCTGCCACTGGCTGAGATGCCATCAGGAAAACAGAGCCAGGGGAACTATCACTGGACTAGTTGGACAAAGTCTGGCCTGGAAGCCATGAGTATGGACTAGCTTGATTAAAGCGGTCTCTATCTGAAATGCAAGATGTAAGTGAGCATCTCTGAAAAACTACATGAAGCGTGGCAGGCGAGTAGTCCCATGAGAACACAGCTTTTCAATAGTGTGAGATTCTGTCAGGGAAGCTGTCTTATAGACCACATTAGAAACAGCAATATATCATGCATTGCTCAGGGGTTAGAACTTTGCTCATAGTTTTGGAACTTTGCCATGTGGTGTTTCTCAATGATGTGTTAATATTGTTGATGTGTTTTTAATTTATAGTCTATAGCTGCACACGTTATTTACAAAGAGACATTTCCCCAAGATGGCAGCCAAGACATTATCCCTTAGTCAGAGAGCAGAGCTCTGAAGCATTCTGACGTCAGAGTGAAGGTGGAAATGTAACCACCTGGGCTGAGCCATGAGGCTCCTCAGCAATTAAAAACAATCGTATATGAAAATATGAAGCAAGGATAGGGGCTCCTGTTTCTAGGAACCACAGGGAGTCAGATTCCTGCATGCTAATGAATACAGAGAAGCTCAGGGTTGTAAAACAAGATGAATACCACCCCTCATTAGTGCTGCATTTGATGGCTGTGTAAAAGGAAGAAAATGATCCACTTAAAAAGGGTCTTTAACATTGATGGGTCAATTTTGGCAATTACAGGATTTACACAGATATCTCTGTACCACATTGAAATGAGCCACAGCAAACACTATCTTCACTCACTTGTTTAGCTGATGATCATGCATGCCTTTGAAGGCCTGTATCCTCATTATCTTTGAGGTCTCAACTCATGTCACCTCCTAGGCAGGCCTGGGACTGGGATGAGGCAAGCAAGCAGGGCATGTAGGGTGCAAAATTTTAAGAAGGCACTTGCAGGACCCTAAGAGTGAATGCTTCCTTAAATATTGTACACTGGGCCAGGTGCAGTGGCTCACGCCTGTAATCTCAGTACTTTGGGAGGCCTAGGCGGGCAGATCATGAGGTCAGGAGATCGAGACCATCCTGGTTAACATGATGAAACCCTGTCTCTACTAAAAATACAAAAAATTAGCCGGGCGTGGTGGTGGGCACCTGTAGTCCCAACTACTCGGGAGGCTGAGGCAGGAGAATGGCGTGAACCCAGGAGGCGGAGCTTGCAATGAGCCGAGATCTCGCCACTGCACTCCAGCCTGGGCGACAGAGCGAGACTTCGTCTCAAAAAAAAAAAAAAAAAATTGTACACTGGGAATTTCACTTTCCTCACCCTAATCCCAGCCCTGCTTCCAGTGAGTTCTCCCCTGACCACTTTAAAAAAAGCACCCCCTCCTCTCCTCTCCTCTCCTCTCCCAAGCCCACCCAGTTCCTTTCACACCACCCTGCAGCACTAGCCACATTTAGTTATTACCTGGCTTATTGTGTACTTATCTACTGTCTGTTGTCCCCATTAGTCTGTCCACTCCACGAGAGCAGAGACATGGTCTATCTTGTCCCCACCCCAGGAATCCCTAGTTCCTCACGTGGTGTCTAGGCCACAGTAGGCTTCTAGGAATGAATCTGTTTAATGAGAATAAAACAAGGATGTGAGAGCATCTTATGATAATGGTATTCAGTGACTCTAGACAACCCAAGAAAATCTTCCTAAAGTCTAATTCTTCCTGTTCTTATTAAAAAGTATACAGAACCAGCGTGATGAGTGACTGTTCAAAATTGACATACCCCAAAAGAGATTATGGGCAAAAAATAAAAGTACCTGAGTTAGTAAAAAGTGAACCATAAAATATGAACTCCACCAGTATTAAGGCCACCTTTTCCAAACTGTTGAGAGAAAAAATGGAAATGAACAATGAATGAATGATTTACAAATAAGAGACACTTAAATTTCAATGAATGTCCAAATTAACCCCCTGTGGTAAACTTTGTCCCCACTTTCCAGATGGAGGACATTAATGTGAGGATGAAAGAGGTTACATAATTTGCATATGAATTACAGCTGATAACTGAGGCATCTAGTTTTCAAAATCAGATTTTTCCAAGCACCAAAATTACTCTTTCACACAGCCTAAGGAAGTACCTAGGTTTTTTTTAACTTGAAGGACTCAAAGTATAAACATAATAGTTACTGATGGTCCTGATGAATAGTTTCCAACTCTGGCTTTTCTAAAAAAAAATTCCTAGACCCATAAATCTGGTAACTCTGTTCTTTAAGGATAGTCAACGTAGATGATTTGTTTTTCAGAAATGCATATCTCTTTACATGTCTTTTACATATCCACCCTGCTAGCTTTCCAACATAATAGTCATTAAATTCTGTTACATAAACCTCATCTCCCGTGCCTTAATCTTTGTCCATTTCTTCTTGTTCAGACTTCAAACCCTCAAGTACCTGAACATGAAAACTAAGTCAAACGTCACTTCGCTTCCTCAAAAGAACCACCTCAATCATGCCCCTTCTCTCTCTCAGACCTTTTTCGTCTTTGGTTCACTTTTCAGCTCTGTTCTATGTGCATTTCTTCTCTCCTTTTCTTTTCCAATTTCAAGGATAATACATCAACCACAGCTGACGAATATGGGGAACAGATAGAAAACTATTCTCTGACCCCTACATGCCTCCTTCCCATGAAGACTCATCACCAAGGACAGAGTACTGCAAACAGCCTCTGTGAGTGAAGTACTATCTCGCAAAGAAAGCATGAGCCTCCCACCCCCAAGCCTGTTCTAAGGCACAGCCTGGTTTTTCATTGTCAGATGCATTGTGCTCAGCTTCTAGCTTCATGTCAAGAAAAAATTCCATGTTTCTTTCATGTTTCTTTAAGGTCCCTTTTGGAGAATGGCTTTTCAGACTCACGGGTTTCTCCCGGGTGAAAGCCCAGCATTTGACTGTCTTTCTGTCTTAACTTTCCTACTTCTCTATGCTTCATCAATAAAAGCGAAGCACCTACTCACAAACCACTAAATACTGGACTCTTGGGATCTTTTGAGGGTGTCTGCTTTCCTGTCTGAAAGTGCGCTGGTTTTAGTTCTGGTCCAACCTCTTTCCCTAATAAAGGATGGTTAAACAAGTCATTTCCCTTCTCAGAATCTCACTTTCTTCATCCCTAAAATTTGTAGAGGAGACTTGATGACTTATAGCATGAAATGTCAGTGATCTAACTGAGAAAGTTCAAAAAGGAAGAGATTGACAAGGGATCAGGTCAAGATTTGCCATCCAAGAGAAGTGAACATCTCGAGTCCTCCTATCTGCCCTGGCTTCTGCTGTGGATTCCGGCCTGCCTTCCTGCTTTCCTGTCTTCCTTCCTTCCTTCTTTCCTTCTTTCACACAGATCCTCCTATGTGCCAAACACAGCACTAGGCAGTGAGGAACCATGCTGTGTGAGAAAAACACAATCCCTTCTCTCAATAAATCTCTGTTTCATGGGGAAGGGGAAACAGTAGTGAAATAAATAAATAACCCCTACATAAGATGTAAAATAAAATGGCTGCAAGTGGTACTATTATAACAAGTGCTCAACAAGGGACTGAGAGACTGACCAGCCTGGAAACCTCTCTTAGATAGGATGGCCAGGTAACACCTCTCTGGGGAAGAGATACTTAAATTGAAGAGACAAAAGATAAAAAAGACCAGATCTGTGAAAAATGTGATTGGCTGGGGGCACCAGGGGAAGGTAGGGAGAAGAATGAGAATATTTCAGACAGGTGTGAAGCCCCCAGGCAGGAAAAGCTTGGTTTGTTCTAGAGATTGAAAGAACACCAGTTTGCCTTTGGTGATTTGGGTCCTCTTGCAGTATCTCACATTATCACCCCACTACTTGCTCTCCTTGCTCTCTATATAAACTTGGTATATTCACCTTAACACTCAAGCTTTAATAGTGTTAAATTGTGTTTAATAGGTCCAAGCATGTCTCTGATGAAAAGACCTTGGAGCACCCAACTGGACCAGCACTCCACTGGCTGATATTGCCCATCACAGCACACCAAGAGGCCATGAAAGAGAGAGAATATCACCCAGTGAGACCCTATGGACAAGCTTTGTTAACCAGGTACCACTTCAGGTATACACTGGCAATGGCAGGGAGCTGAACCCTGAAGGGACTGAATGTAGTTTTGGTGCCAGTGCACATAAAAAGGTCACTGAGGATTCCTAAGATGCCTAAGGCTGGATGGGGCCCCTGAGACCATATTCATCCAGTCACCCCAGGGAGGTCATGCACATTGGAGATCCAGGGCTGTGGTTGCAATAACACTAAGCTCTCCCCTACTCCCATGGGTTCCCAGCAGAGAAAAATCTTTTTAAAAATTTTTTTAAGGCTTTTATAAACATTTAACAATTTCTGACACCTCTGGGCAAGATAGCAAAGCCAGAAAACCATACTACATCCCTATGTACTCAAAGTATCATATTCAGCTCATTTCATACCCCACACTTTCTAAATGTCTTGCCATCAGGAGGTTTAAATTAGGATAATATTAAAAAATACCCATTCCTGGCACACAGTAGCTATTCAATATATGCTAGCAGTTATGATAACTGCCCCTGAGCACATATTGCCCTCACTTGTCCTCAGATCTCCTGGAAATGTCCCTTTTGACAACCCTGATAGGCAATCTGGCAACTGCTTCAAAATAGCCAGTGAGTTTTGACAACTGTGGCATTCTATGTATGCCATTCTCAGTCATCTGCTGGCTGGACTCCAGCACATGCCCTCACTCCAAAATATCCATCTCTCCATCCTATACCATCTAGCTGTGATGTAAGATATGCTACAGAGCAGAAAACACCACCACTGCAAAGCTAGGGATAGGAGCAGACAGGGTACCAACAACTAAGTGTCCATATGAAGCTACCTGATGCTTGGAAGACCCACAGCTGCTAGACCCAGGCAGGCTTTCAACAGACTCCTAACCTCAAGATCAAGGAGACTTAAACGGATCCTGCTCCTCTGTCTACCCAACAGACACTTACTGAGCACATACAACACAGCCAGGTGCTATGGGTAACCTCAAGAAGCCATGCACAGTAAGACCAGGTAGCAGATGAGTGGGTAGAAAAGCAGATTCTAAGGGACTCAAAATGAAGAAGTGAGAGGATGCTGGGCTAGGATGCTCAAGAACAGCTATGGGAGAAAACAGAACACATCCTAGGTCCTAAAAATGCGTAAGAGGAGAGAAGAAGAAATTCCAGAACAAGACATGGCATCAGTAAAGGCAGGGATGTTTGAAAGCGAGGCAGTAGCCTGGCTAGAACAGCTCCATAGAGGCATGTGTTCTGCTAGGGATATCCCTAGTTTGCCTCTGAGAACTGGGTTCCAAACTCTGAAGTGAGAAGGTGGAAGCCACCCAAGAAACCACTCAAAGCTTCCAGCTGAGAAACTCCTTGGTTATGAACAGGGCCTGCCCATTTGTGTTTATCATCCAAATCCACCTGTATGTCTCTCAGCAGATTTTACCCATTTTATTAAAGCCTCAGCTTCCCGCTCTGCAAAAAGGAAGAGTATAACGTACCTACTTGGGGAGGATTTGATGAGATAATTGAGCACAAAACAAGCAGATGTTTCCCCAAATGAATGTCACAGCTTCCTCGACAATTTTTAGCATACATTTCCCATCTCAAGGATGAATTTGCTGCAGTGTAAGAATAGATTAAAAAGGTGGGAACTCTTCAATCTTAAAAAATAAATCTAAGAAGGAATGTAACTTTTACAAATTAAGATTTTTGCAGATTTGATTTACAAAATATAAATAATACTTCCTGATCCCTTACTTTATGAAAAACAATACTATGATAACAGGTAAAAAAACTGAATGAGGGGAATATTGGCATCTGATTCAACAATGCATTATATTTAAAAACACATACAATTCAGTTTACACATTATATTTAAAAACACATACAATTCAGTTTATACATTATATTTAAAAACACATACAAATGATAAAACAAGTCCCCAACAGATTAACTACAAAATATATGAAAAGTCCATATGAAGAAATACAAGTGGAGAACAAACTGGAAGAAAAAAGTTTTATTCTCAAAAAAAAAATCAGGAATAAAGTAAAAATTTTATAATAAACTTGTGAAACATTCATTAAATGTCACTTATCTGCTTAAAATGCTTTCCCATTGTGCCCAAAGTAAAACCTAAACTGCTAAAAATTGCTGACAAAACTCCACAGGGCTTGTCCTCTGCCACCTCCCACACTCTGGGCCACTCTTGACTTACTCTGGCTCCTTGAAAAGCCACACTAATGGTAGTGTGGATCATTGAAAGATTCCAGTCAGACCTGTGCAAAGATCCTGTGGTCCATGTACCATTATGCACTCTCTTTTCCCCAAATCTTGAGCTCCCGGTTAACTCTTCCTCATCCTTCAGCCTCAGCTATGGGCACTTCCCCAATGTTATGACTTGAATTGTGTCCACCCCCTCAAAATTCACCTGTTGAAGAACTCACCCTGGGACCTCAGAATGTGACCTTATTTGGAAACAAAGTTGTTGCAGATGTATTAGTTATGATGAGGGCATACTGCAGTAGGATGGGCTCCTGATCCAATAGGATTGGTAGTCTCATAAAGTGGAAATTTGGACACAGGCACACATGCGGAGATAAAGGCAGAGGTAAGGTGATGATTCTACAAGCCAAGGTGCACCAAAGATTGCCAGCAAACCACCAGGAGCTGGGGGAGATGCATGCTCAGAGGGAACTAACCATGCCAACACCTCAATCTCAGACTCAGCCTCCAGGACGGTGGGACATTTCTGTTGTTGAAGCACCCAGTGTTACTGCGTTATGGTGGCCCTATCAGGCTGACACCCCTGGGAACGTCCTCCCTGATCCTCCCACTGGGTGACGTCCTGCCATTTCACTCTCCATGCTTTCCCTTTGACACTTCAGGGAGAACTTGATCAGAAGCTGCCTCCACACCGGGGCAAGCACCAAAGAAGTAGGCTCGGGGGAGGTGTGTGTTGAGGGTGTGGGGAAACACGAGAATGAGTGCCCAAAGTCATGAGACCTTACTGGAGTCCTGAGGGATTAGGGCAAAAGGCAGAGCAATCCTGACAGAAATTGAAGCAAGCCCTCATAGGCAGAACATGTGCTTAAGGGAGTCATCACTGTTCCAACACTTTACCATTATTAACTCAGGATGTCCACTCAGCTGCCCAGCTGTTTTCACTTGTACTTTAGACATGAGAAAGTGAGGCCCAGAGGAGTTACTGCCTCAAGTGCACAGCTAGAAAGTGGCATAACTGGGATTCAAATCCAGGTGGTATGGGCCAGAGAGCATGCTTTTCACTTCTCTGTACAGAGACTCCCAAGGGTGTGCACATTAAGCAGGTACAGGTAACAGGTACGACAGGTACAGAACAGGTAAGCTTCTGTTTGACAAGTCCCTCAGTAGTTATTAAGGGAACTGAACTGAGGGGGAGTTGAGACCTGTTCCAAATCTTTACAGGAAGGAAGGAGACTGGACCCTTCCACACACCTCTCCTTGATGAAACCAGAACAGGCAGTGCATTTGGAAGAGTCTTGGGTCTCACCCAGGAGGAAGGTCACCCTACTCTTCATCCTTCACTTAAGGCTTTGCACCTGGGTCTTCCACTGAGGGGACTGTAGATTTGAGACTGTTGGGAACCCCAGTGACAACCTCCAACTGAAGCCAGGTCTTATTCAGGGACTATCTTGCAGAGGGTCAAGCGCACAGGCTCTAGAATCAGAGGGCTTAGATCCAAATCACAGCTCAAACACCTAGTAAGCATGCCAGGAAAGTTACTGAAGCTCTCTGCCCCTCAGGTTTTTCAGCTGTAAAATGGGGATAACAGTGTTTACCTATTTTTACCTGGTTTATTATAGCAATGAGTTAAACATATGTAAAGCACTTCGATCATTGTCCGGCACATGGTACTTGGTAAGTGTAAGCAAGCATTATTATTGATGCTGCTGTTGTTGTTTTCATTTTTTTTCTTTTCTGTTTTTTATTATTATTATACTTTAAGTTTTAGGGTATATGTGTACAATGTGCAGGTTAGTTACATGTGTATACATGTGCCATGCTGGTGTGCTGCACCCATTAACTCGTCATTTAGCATTAGGTATATCTCCTAATGCTACCCCTCCCCCCTCCCCCCACCTCACAACAGTCCCCAGAGTGTGATGTTCCCCTTCCTGTGTCCATGTGTTCTCACTGTTCAATTCCCACCTATGAGTGAGCAAACGCGGTGTTTGGTTTTTTGTTCTTGCGATAGTTTACTGAGAATGATGATTTCCAATTTCATCCATGTCCCTACAAAGGACATGAACTCATCATTTTTTATGGCTGCATAGTATTCCATGGTGTATATGTGCCACATTTTCTTAATCCAGTCTATCACTGTTGGACATTTGGGTTGGTTCCAAGTCTTTGCTATTGTGAATAGTGCCGCAATAAACATATGTGTGCATGTGTCTTTATAGCAGCATGATTTATAGTCCTTTGGGTATATACCCAGTAATGGGATGGCTGGGTCAAATGGTATTTCTAGTTCTAGATCCCTGAGGAATCGCCACACTGACTTCCACAATGGTTGAACTAGTTTACAGTCCCACCAACAGTGTAAAAGTGTTCCTACTTCTCTACATCCTCTCCAGCACCTGTTGTTTCCTGACTTTTTAATGATTGCCATTCTAACTGGTGTGAGATGGTATCTCATTGTGGTTTTGATTTGCATTTCTCTGATGGCCAGTGATGATGAGCATTTTTTCATGTGTCTTTTGGCTGCATAAACGTCTTCTTTTGAGAAGTGTCTGTTCATATCCTTTGCCCACTTTTTGATGGGGTTGTTTGCTTTTTTCTTGTAAATTTGTTTGAGTTCATTGTAGATTCTGGATATTAGCCCTTTGAGAGATGAGTAGGTTGCGAAAATTTTCTCCCATTTTGTAGGTTGCCTGTTCACTATGATGGTAGTTTCTTTTGCTGTGCAGAAGCTCTTGAGTTTAATTAGATCCCATTTGTCAATTTTGGCTTTTGTTGACATTGCTTTTGGTGTTTTAGACATGAAGTCCTTGCCCATGCCTATGTCCTGAATGGTAATGCCTAGGTTTTCTTCTAGGGTTTTTATGGCTTTAGGTCTAACGTTTAAGTCTTTAATCCATCTTGAATTAATTTTTGTATAAGGTGTAAGCAAGGGATCCAGTTTCAGCTTTCTACATATGGCTAGCCAATTTTCCCAGCACCATTTATTAAATAGGGAATCCTTTCCCCATTGCTTGTTTTTCTCAGGTTTGTCAAAGATCAGATAGTTGTAGATATGCGGCATTATTTCTGAAGGCTCTATCAGATCAGATGGGCCTGGACATTTTCCGGCAGCAGGAGAGACACATTCTTCTTTGAGTCTGGAGATGCATGATTTCCAGAGATTTCATTATCCAAGTCTTATTCTCATAATTTTACAATAAATTTAGGCATACTAACACCCTAAAGCATGTAAATGCATGTATGCAACATACACACACCACACACACACACATACAAGCTGCAACTAAGTGAATATTTCTCGTTTAATTTCAGAGTTTGGCTTTTCCAGCATAAGAGTCTAAGAAATGTGCACTTCTTTTTTGTTGTTTTTTTTTTTTTTTATAAATGTACACTTCTCAGGCCAGGTGCGGTGGCTCACACCTGTAATCCCAGCACTTTGGGAGGCTGAGGGGGGCGGATCACGAGGTCAGGAGATCAAGACCATCCTGGCTAACATGGAAAAACCCCGTCTCTACTAAAAACACAAAAAATTAGCCAGGCGTGGTGGCGGGTACCTGTACTCTCAGCTACTCAGGGGGCTGAGGCAGGAGAATGGCTTGAACCCGGGAGGCAGAGCTTTCAGTGAGCCGAGATCACACCATTGCACTCCAGCCTGGGCGACAGAGCGAGACTCCGTCTCAAAAAAAAAAAAAAAGTACACTTCTCTTAACAAATCTGACAATGTATGCTAAGAGTCTTAAAATTCATCCCCTGGAAGTCTATCTTAAGGAAAAAACTCTAAAATGCATGGAAAAACAAAGATTTAAGTATCGAGATATGCACCAGAACATTTTTTAAGGAATGAAAAACTGTAAAACAATCTAAATCTCCAAAACAGATGAATACTTGAGTAAATTATGGAACAATACACTATCATGCAAACATTAAAATTATTTTTGCCAAATATTTTGATAACATACAAACTTTTAGTCAAACATTATATAAAAATAGGAAAAAACTGTTTATACAAGAGGATCTCAATTATGTAAAGATATATGGGTAAAAATACGTATATGTATTAAGTATGCATATGCCAAAACATAACAATGATTTTGAATGGAATTTAGATGATTGGTATATTTTAACAGTACTCTTTGTTTTTCAAGCTTTGGAAAAACATTTTTTATTAGTAAAATTATTACACAAGAATTTAAATATTCACAAAAGAGAAAAATTTAGAGCTTTGGAAACTCATTGTCTCATTTCACAGATGAACCCTTTAAAGTATCTCAATTTTCATGGCTTAGAGCATTCAGGCAGATGTGTTTGAAGAGGATGCCAATATGAAGCATCAAAGTTTCAAAGTAAATCAGAATTAGGTCCAGTTCCAAATTCTTCCGTTTGCATTGTTACAGTCCTCCCCTACCGACCGCCCAGATCCTCACCGAGGAATGAAATGGGATAAGTTTAAGAAGTCACGTCACTTTCTTTATCCTCTGCTCCACCATTACAAGAGGCCCGGTTTCCCTAGGGAGACTCTACATTTTCAGAATGTCTGAACTTTCTCTGGGTACAGTAAGCCAGTAAAGCCTGGTACCTCATAGCCCCTCACCATGTAAGACTCAATGACACCAGTCAGCACATCTAACCCCAATGTTGTAGAATCCATGTTTATACAATGGAAAGCCAGAGATTCTGGGGGGAAAAGTTTTTGTTTCCCTTCAAACAAGGAAGCTCTGAACTTTGACTTCCTGCCTTCCTCATTTTGGATGCATTGAACATCAGATCATTGGACATTCTACAGGGGCTGGCAGATGAATAAGCACACAAGTAAACAAATACATAAATGCATAAATTAATTAAGGAATAAATGAATGGGAAAAAGCAATAAGAACATCATAACATTGTGCAAACTATTCCTCCTTGCTTACAATTTCTCCCCATACTAAATCACCCTTGCTAAACACATCTTGCTAAAACACAGCAATTATTCTATAATATCTGTTTACAACCTTTACTCCTTCCTCTCTACTCCACAGAAAAGATTTCAAACTGCTCAGTCTGGCACCAAAGTCTTCCACTATGTGGCTTTCACTGTCTGGCCAGCTTCCTCCTTGGGTCACCTTCCCTGAACTGCATTCACAATTTCACTCCACTGCCTCCTAACCATTTGTCAGATTTTCCCTGAACATTCTCTCCTCCTGAATTTAATCTGACTATACTCCTTATCTAGCATGCCCATCCCCTCACACCACTCATCAAAGTTTTTCTCTCCCTCCAAAGCCTAGCTCATATTCTGCTCCTGGCATAAGCATCCTCTGATCCTCCAAAGCTAGAATTAATCTCTCTCTCTCTCTCACACGCCTTTGTTTTAAAATTCTGTTATTATTTCTTACAGAATATCATATAACAGTGGTCTCTCTCTCCCTATCACTCTCTTCCCTCATCTTTCTCTCTATATATATCTCTAATTTATTTATATATAAATATATATTATTTATATATTGATATATATTATATATTTATATAATTAATATATATTTATATATACTAATATATTTTTATATATTATATGTATATTATATATATCTAATTAGAGATCTATAGAGAGAGATAGAGATAAAGGAAAAGAGAAAGCAATAGAAAGGGAGAGACCACTGTTATATGACATTCTGCAAGAAATAATTTATATATATGCCTCTAATTGTTTATATTTATAAATATACATATAAATACATTTATATGTATATATTTATATATACATGTGAATACACAAATACATACATTTCTATGTATATATTTATATATACATACATTTCTATGTATATATTTATATATAAATATAAATATAATCAATTAGAGGCATATATATAAATTAGTTATTACAGAATAGCATATAATCATAACATAATATCATAATATCATATAACAGTGGTCTCTCTCTCTCCCTTTCTATAGCTTTCTCTCTTCCTTTATCTTTCTCTCTATATATATAAATATATACCTCTAATTTATATATATATGCCTCTAATTGATGATATATATATATGTAGAGAGAGAGAGAGAGACCAACCAATTAGGGGCACCTGGAAGGGAAAATCTTTTCTACATTCTCATATGGCCCACAGTGCCTAGGAAAGATATTGTACACAGTAGGTCTCATTAAATGAATTATACTAATACAGGGTCTGAGTAGAGCCAAATAGGCTTACATACCTCATTAGAGAACTTCACTCTGTTTCCTGATGCATTCAGAAAACGCCTAGCACCGTGCTGAGTTCACAATAAACATTCAAAAGCATGGCTGGGCATGGTGGCTCATGCCTGTAATCCCAGCACTTCTTAAGAGGCCAAGGCAGGAGGATCACTTGAGCCTAGGAGTACAAGACCAGCCTGGACAACATGGCAAGGCTCCATCTCTACAAAAAAATTAGAAATCAGCCAGGTATGGTGGCACATGCCTGTGGTCCTAGCTACTCAGGAGGCTGAGGAAGGAGGACCACTTGAGCCTAGGAGTTCAAGGCTGTGGTGAGCCATGTTCACACCACTGCACTCCAGCTTGGGTGATAGAGTAAGACCCTGTCTCAAAACACACACACACACACACATACACACACACACACTCAAAAGCAAATACCAAATAAGTTGAGCAAGGTCTTGGGGAAATAATGTCAACACACAAAAGACAATCCCATTTCATTTTCTGGTCAGTTGCAATAAATATGTGAAAACTGAAATTAAACAAACAATATATTTTACAATCACTCCAAAGAAAGTGAAATACTTAAATAAGTGTACACTTAACAAAATACACACAGATTTTATATGGTGAAAACTATAAAATGCTGATGAAAGAAATCATAGACCTAAAAGATGTACCACCATGTTCATGGATTCAAAGGCTCAATATACTAAAGATGTCAGTAGTCCACAAATTCACTTATAGGTTTAACAAAACTCCTATCAAAACCCCACCAGGGTTTTGATTTTGGCAAACAGAGACAAGCTTCTTCCAAAATATATACAGAAAAGCACAGGCCCTAGAACAGCTAAAACAAAGAAGAATAAAGTGAGAGTAATCATTCTGCCTGACATTAAGGCTTACCATATCACTATAATATGAAGAGGATGGTACTGGCAGAGGAATGGACACATCCCAATGCAACAGAATGGACAGCAAAAAACAGTCCCATATAAATATGTACAACTGATTTTTGACAAAGGGGCAAAAGCAATTCAAGGAGGGTAGGATAAACTGCACTCATATGTATTTATCCCAGAAAAATGAAAACATGTTTGCACGAAAACCTGTATTCAAATGTTCAGAACAGCATTATTTTCCATAGCCAAAAACTAGAAACAACCCAAATGCCCTTCAACAGGTAAATGGTTAAACAAATTGACGTACATTCATACCCTAGACTACTACTTGTCAATAAAAGGGAAGTATTGATACACAAAAAAGTGCATGAATCTCCAGGGGATTATGCTAAATGAAGAAAAGTGAGAAAAGCATCAAAAGGTTATATACTGTATGACCCTATAACATTTTTGAAATAATAGAATTTTAGAAATGGAGAACAGATTAGTGGTTGCCAGGGTTTAGCGATTAGGGGTTTTGGGTGAGGGAGGTAGGTGTGATTATAAAATGGCAAGATGAGAGATTCCTGTAGTGATGGAACAGTTCAGCATCATAACTATGAGGGCAGATAGACAAACCTACCTTCCCCACACCCCCACACAAACTCACACAAAAAAATGGGTACAACTAAACCTTAGAGTATCTGTATAATGTTGGTGGATTATATCAATGTCAATATCCTAGAGATATTATATTGTAGCTTTGCAAAATATCGAGGGGGACTGAGTAAAGTATACACAATATCTCTCTGTATTATTTCTTAGAACTGCCTGTGAATATTCAGTTATATCAATAAAATTTGCATTAAAAATGTGTGAACACAAATGGCACACTCATCCCAGACAATTTTCTATAATCACCCACCACCTCTCCTATGAAGAATGGAGAATTTGTGAATGACTAAGAGCATTCTACTTGCATCTCTTAGTGTGGGGATGGGTTGGGAGGGAGGCATTACAAGAAATAAAAATTGCAGAGATATTATGTGACCAATCATATCACCTTCATTTATGAAGACCCTACTGTTAAAACTTTGTACATTGTCTAAGGTTCAGGAGAACAGATGTGGAAATGAGTGTCCAGGGCTGAGACAATGTTCACGAACTAAACTGGGAGTTAAAAGCTATTCGGGGAGACAGCAAGGGGCAAGTGAGACAAGAATGGATTTTGGCATTTTACAGATCTGAGGTCAAACTTCATCTCTTTTGCCCACTGACAGCACGAATCTCGGGTTCATCATCCACCAATATGGGGTAAAACCCTTGCAAGGTTTTTATAAGTGGTATTTTTATGGTTAAAGCTCCTGGAACATTCTCTGACACATAATAACTGATGGCCTCTTAAATAAATATTATAATTGGAGGGATGTTCTTTAAAATTGTACATATTTATCTGTACACTAGAATCCATCAGGAAGCATGTGGTATCTGTGATGTCTGGTATTCCCAGAACCATGTGCCGCCCTGCTGCTGATCATCCCAGTCTCTCTATGCATAGATACGAACAACAGGGCCAGCTGGGCCAGGAAACTCTTACCTACTAAATACAGTTAAAGTTTCGACTCCTTGACCCAAGTGGTCTCTTCCATTTTCTCTTCCAGGAATTTAAACCTCAAAGGAGGCAGCTGTCATCTCATAGCAGCTCACTGGAGTGTAAATCCATGACATCCAGCTGCTATGGTTGCTGGAGATTCCTAGAATTTTGTCACTACTGGGGTTTTTTTGCTCATCTCTTCTTCCAAATGTTGGGCAATTCCAGTATCCTTCCAACAAATCCTATATCTTGCTTAAGTTAGCAATGGTTTCTGTTACTTGCAACCAAAAACCTTTATGAATAGAAAGCCTTCAAAAGGCACCTGGAATCTGTTCCCCAGCTTTTGTTCTGTTTTGTTTTGCTTTTTGAGACGCAGTCTCATTCTGTCATCCAGGCTGGAGTGCAGTGGTGCAATCTTGGCTCACTGCAACCTCCACCTCCTAGGTTCAAGCAACTCTCCTGCGTCAGCTTCCTGAGTAGCTGGGACTACAGGTGCCCGCCACCATGGCTGCCTAACTTTTTGTATTTTTAGTAGAGATGAGGTTTCACCATGTTGGTCAGGCTGGTCTGGAACTCCTGACTTTGTGATCCGCCCGCCTTGGCCTCCCAAAGTGCTGGGATTACAGGCATGAGCCACCGCGCCCGGCCTATTCCCCAGTTTTTGTGTCCTCTGATCCCCACCAGAACCTAGATTCCTGACGGCCAACTGACCCTCATAAGGCTTATCTCAAGCACAGCTCCAGGGGAGCAGCACCTCATGACCACTCTCTTGTGGAACCACTCTCTAAGATCAGTGTTAATTGCCCAATTAAACAGCCCTGATGCTGACAGAATGTAAGCTCATTAGTAAGTGCCAGAGCACATTCCAATTATTAACCTTTATGGTCGTCATTATAAAGAGGAGGGAGCAACTATGGATTTCTGCATGAATGATTACGCTCATCACTCTGAGCCAGAAGGAAGAAAGATGGGTAGAGGGAAAGGTGGTATGCTGTGGGAGAGTTATCCAAAACAACTTTAGAAGCAAATGACATTTTAGAAGCAAAGATGGCCATAAAGTGCCTTGGATCAGTGGCACATCAGAATCAAGAGGGGAGTTCTTTAAAACTATAAGTTCATAGATCCTGACCCCAGAAGTTGATTCAGTGGGATTAGAATAAGGCCCAGGAAACTGACTTTTCTTAAATTTCCCAGGTGATTCTCATAATCCACGTGAATTGAAAATCACTTAGGCAAATATCCAAGGAAACTACTAGTCCCAAAATAGTCCCTCGGCCATAGATCTCACATGAAACATGAATGGTTGCCAAATCTGTAAGGCCAGGAAAGCATGCTTACCAACATGACAGCAAGAAAAAGGGGCTGCTGAGAACTGGAAGATCCAGATTGGGGTCCCAGATCTGAAATCACTGACCACAAACCCACTAGGGACCACAGATCTGTCTGCAAAATGGAATGTTCAATTACACAGGCCTTACATTCCTCCCAGAAATATTAGAACTGTCCCGTATTCATGTGGACAATGACTAAAAATAGTATACAAGTTTAAGAGAATAATAGCAGTGAAGGGGGGAATCTTTTACAAGATAAACCTTATGTATTGGAAGACAGCTCAGCTTTAGCTTTAACTTGGGCACAAAACATTTGGAAGCAACATTAAGATATAAAAAACTTCCTAAGTTCAGTGATTCTTATAAAGAAATCTCACAGACGTGTAACAGGGAGGAGACGTCTTTTACCAGTTTACATATTTTCACCCAAATAATGTCTAGGGCAGTGGTCTTACAAGGGAATTTGCCAGAAACCTCCTAATGACATTTATAGACTATGTCCAATAAAGTAATTGGCCACCAAACGATGAGAAAGTAACTATGAAAGTTTGACTACCTAATCTTTATAGTCATTATATATATAAGCAGGAATGGGGTATATCAAATCACTCTCCTATAAACTTGAAAATAGATAGGCTCTGTGTGAGTTGAATTTTTTTCTTTTTCTTTTGGCTTCAAACCACATTCCAAGGGCCCACCTATCACAGTTTTACACACATGGACATCTGGCAGGGAAATAAATTAAGGCCTACCTTAGAGAGCAAGGAAATGCATCCACCTATAAATGTTATTTTAGAAGAGACTGTCTGATCCTATTCACTTATCAACTGCATTAGAAGGCTAATGAATTGACTGCTGAGAAAATGAGAGAGAGCTCAGGCTGTGGACAGGGATGGGCAGAATTTCACACCTTTTATCCAAATGGCAGGGTTATTTAAGATTGTGATAAAATGGTGTTGCATTTGGAGGAAAGGGAATACAACATAAAATAACAATCCACAGACACAATCCATAGAAAAGTGTTACATTCTCTCAGCCACTGGCCAAAAATCAAGATTTATGCACGCTGCAGTCCTGCCTAGTGGAAGAAAAAAGAGGCATAAAAAGAAGCCCTCTTTCCCATAATAAATAGGAAAATATTAAATCTGTAATCCAGATCTACTTCTCCAGTGTTCTCATTTCTCAATTCTCTAGCAAAGTAAGATGTCTGAGGGCCCAATATTTAGAGCAAACTCATTTCTCATTCTATTTTTTTTTCTCAGAACAAAGACTTTCATAGATTGCATGATGCTCCCTATGTTTAATGAATTCAAACTAAGTAGTTTAGACAGGTGTTCTGGCTAATGTCTGCCAACTGGATAATATCCATCAGTGAACAGCAAGTTAGCAGAGTAAGTTATTTTATTGACACTTGGATTGCAACTTCACCAGCAGATTTTATGAAAGAAGGTGGTTGTGCTCAGAAGCAGTGCTGTTAGCTCAGGAAAGGTATCTTTTGGGTATCATAAATCCTGTGTGTGCTTCCTGTTTGACTTCCCAGTATGGCAGAGACTGTGGACTCAGAGTTGAAAGAGTTTCAAAAGATCATTTCGTCTAATACCTTTATTTGTGAAGAAACAGAAGGACGGCATGAGTAATCTGATTAATTAGTAACAGAGGTGGGCCTAGAACCCAAGCTTCCTCGGGTGAGTTCAGTGGTTCCCAATCCTACCTAGGATCAGAATCAACCAAGGAGCTTTTATTTTCTTTTTGAGACAGGGTCTCACTTTGTCACCCAGGTTGGAGTGCAGTAGCTGATCTCAGCTCACTGTAGCCTCGACCTCCTGAGGTTCAAGAGATCCTCCCGCCTCAGTCCCCCAGTAGCTGGGCCTACAGGCACATGCCGCCATGCCTGGCTAATTTTTTAACATTTTTTGTAGAAACGGGATTTTACCATGTTTCCCTGGCTGGTCTCGAACTCATGAGCTCAAGCCATCTGCTTGCCTCAGCCTCCCAAAATGCTAGGATTATAGGTGCGAGTCACCGCACCTGGCTGAAGCTTTTGAAATAATAAATTCCTGAGTAATGACCAGCCTTACTAAATTGAAATCTCTTGGGTAGGGCCCATAAATTTAGATGTTTAACACATTCCACAAGTAATTCTGAGGATGCAACAAGTTTGAGAAACATGCATGGCCCCACCCTGCCTTCCATGTTAATTATTTGGGAGATAGCAAAGCTCTTCAATGGGCTTAGGCCCTCCAAAAGTTATATGAAAAGGAAACCAATAAAGACCGAGTTAACACTGTGTTGAAGAAATTGAAAATCAGATTGTACTTTGTTTGCATCCTGTGCCCCAAATCAGCAGCAGCAGCAGCATCTGGTGTATGAAAACCAAGAAATACGTTAACTTTCACCTTTTGCCAAACACAGATGAGAACATAAAGGGGAAGACAGGAATATTCTCTCTCAAGTAGAAATGCACAATTTCCAGGCATGATGTGCCTAGGAGTCTAGATTTGTTCTGTACCCCATCCTCCTAAAGGTATTAGCACAGTTGTCATCTGGAGCCTGGCTGAGGCTGCTGAGCTAACAGGGTATGAACAAACCAGAATTATTATATTAAATACTGATTACATTGACAACTTTTGCATTCCATGCATTATTTCACTGAATTTCCACAAAACCTATATGAGATAGACTTTATTATCATTCTATTTTTATGGAAAAGTAAACTGAGGCTCAAAGAGATGAAAACATTGCTCAAGGTGTTATAGCTAGTAAGCAATAGAGCTCGGGTTCACATCCAGGCTGTTTGAATCCAAGACCTACCCCCTTTAAACACTATATATGCCACCCACTGTCACCAGGTGTTTCTAGGAACCATGGGAACTACCAATACCTGAAATAGTCTTTCCTTTTTTTTTTTTTTTTTTTTTTTTTTGAGATGGAGTCTCGCTCTGTTGCCTAGGCTGGAGTGCAGTGGCATCAACTCAGCTCACTACAACCTCCGCTTCCCGCGTTCAAGTGATTCTCCTGCCTCAGCCTCCCGAGTAGCTGGGATTACAGGCACCCACCACCACGCCTAGCTAATTTTTGTATTTTTTAGTAGAGACACGGTTTCACCATGTTGGCCAGGCTGGTCGTGAACCCCTGACCTCAGGTAATCCACCCGCCTGAGCCTCCCAAAGTGCTGGGATTTCAGGCATGAGCCACCAGGCCTGGCTGTTTTTCTTTTTAAGAAGCTCACACATCCCAATGGAAAAATAGGATATAATATATTAAATAGCAAAACAAAATATATTTGCCATATTGCTCTCTTCTCCGATTCATTCCTAGAATTGTTTTGTATTTTTTATGGAATGAAGTGGGGTGGTAATAATAAACATACAAGTATTTCTAGAGCACAGCCAGTCATTGCAAAATGCACTGTATTCTGTGGATATGTATATATTCTTGCATATGCCTGCTGTTGTTTCCCATGTACATTCATCTTATCTTCCAACCAAATGAAACATTCCTTGAGGATAGCAAGCATAACATACTTTGTATCTCCCAGCAATGAGCGCAGGGCTGCTTACATAATGGGTGCTCGATTAATATAGGTTCAGTTGAAAGTTCTGTGACCCATTCAGGAGTTTCCACCAGATTGATTACCACAGCAAACAAATAGGAGACCGTCCCAGTTTTAGACGGAGGATTTCACAGCTTATATCAGCCCAGCCTTCGGGACCTCACATATAAAGAGCCTAGCGAATGGGGTGGAAGGCTTTTAATTAACAGCCTAGCAAAAAATGTCATTCCAATCTGCAGTTTTGTTTCCACTAATTCACTCAGATTCAGCAGGAATTCCACCAAGGAATTGGGGTGAGCAGCTGTAGAGGGAGGGAAGTGCATAAATAAATCATGAGTGTCATTAAAATTTGTAAACTAATAACTTCTGGGAAGTCTTAGCAATTATTATCAGGGTTTTCTTGGCAAACAAAAAATTCATAAATTCAAAAGGTCTCCATTTTCTATTTTAAAAAAGCAGCATCCCCGAGAAAGGTCACTGACAGAACAATTAAGGAGGAAATAAGTGGTCCAGACAACAGCTTGTGAACCAGATGAAAAGTCACAGAATCCCCAAGTGGCAGGAGTATGAGACAACTCAATACATGGAAAGGGACACGGCAAGGCGGGGCTGGTGCTGGGATTGGTTTGGGGCTATTGAAAACTTTCGTCAGGTCTCCAAATCCTTATTTAGTATAGTTGAAATGCTAAGCATTGTCAATGATCCAGAAACAACTAAGGCACACGGTCCCTGCCCTTGAGAAGTTCACAGGCTAGGAACGAATCACCAGTATGGTGTAAGGATATAAAGCTACCCATAAGCAGAAGAGGAGCCTCCCACCCAGAAAGGAGGGTCATGAAAGGTCTCCAGCAGGAAGTGCCTGGGAATCCGTACTCTCCATATATATCATAATCAATTATGGTGCATCCTGAAGCCAGGCATACAGGAAGAATGGCTGTGCAGTCTGGTTGCTTTTCTAATAGTAGAATGGCTCCCATACTACTAGGGTGGGTGCAATAAAGCAAGGCTAAGGGTGGGTGCAATAAAGCAAGAGAGGAGAGAGGTGAAGAACCAAGGTCTACCAATTGAAGGGATCATTCTTTGCAAATGATTCCTGTTTCCTCTCATGCCTAGACAACTGCAAATTCATTTAGCTCTGTGAAGACCCTAGACCAGCAGCCAGAGGAGAGCTCCTGCAGAGACCTCACACCTGTGGACACCTTGCACCTGTGGGGACTGCATACCTGTGGTGACCTCACACCTGAAGTTCCTTTACCATGTATATTTTGTTCTGAAGCTGATCAGTCAGGGACCCTTGATGAACAGTCATGCTTAGGATGGACAGGCAGAAGCTGGAGAATTGCTTGCTAACTCATTTCCCTCCAGAAGGGGGTAACTTAAACTTCTTTAAAGTTTTTGTTTATCAGTCCAAGGGCTCATGTCCAAGACATACAGAAATGAGTCCAAGAAACGATCTGCCAATCAGAAACATAAATCCTCACCAGGACATATGTTCAAAAGTAAAGATTTAATAACCTCGAGCAGTGGATTAATTGGCACTATCAGAGTTTCCACTTCCAGAGAAAAGTGACATCCTTCCTCCCTAATTGAGGACCATGAATGCCACCAACTGAGGCAGAGACACACGCGCATCCACGAGTGCAGAGGGCATAAATATGGCACCAAAGCATGCACCATATGCAGTTCTCATGGAAATGAGAAAGATGTGGTCCTCCCTTTGAGTCCATAGCACCACCCTACCACATGACAATGGCCTACATTTGTTAGGAATGGAAGAGACATAAATAGGAGGGTTATGTCTGTCTAGCTGCAGACTTTCCATTTTTGAAGATGGATATATGACACTGTGGAAGGAGGCTCAGATGAAGAGCCAGGGAGTGCTCCTAATCTCAGCCTTATGACCCAGGTAACTCAGGGAAAGCCCTGGTTCCTTTAAACAAGTCAGTCCCCAACCTCATGAACTCTCTACACATGATATCTTATAGGTAAAGTGTTTTTTGACTAAGGGATACCAACAGATGGTTGTGCTAAACGACAAATTTACATAACTACTCTGGTGGTGGTGAAGAAATAACCTTGGCCACCACCAGTAGAAGAGCACCAAGGTATTCTGGAAAGAATGTCACAAGGGCACAAGATACTGCTACACAAATTAATGCTTTTAAACAATCTTTTGTCTATTTAGAAGTAGATGGCCTCTGAATTATTAATCCAGTAAGGCAGATAATTATATCACATTGCAACCTGACAGGGGGTGTCATCTTGTCATGACAGCTGCTGTTCCAGGCTTCTTGATGGTACAGAACACTGAAGAAGATCACTGAATTCAATTTCAACTTGGTTAAGCATGTTAGGCCGAATCATGAAGCTGAAAGGGTGCATGTTTAATTTAGTTTCTTTGGTCTGCACACTGTATTAGGAAGGGAAATCATACGGCTCTAGGCTCTAACTATAAAATACATCATTATCAGTACAGGAAAAGAGAACGGGAGATACAGATCTTTAGAAGATACGTGAGAAAGACAGTAAAAAGTTAGAAGACTCCCGATGAGGTCCCAGCAAACCGGGAAACCCCCAGAAAGTTTAGGAGCAGTCCCTTTCCTCAGTCACACTCTATCCAGTGGCTCCTAAGCTGGGGCTTTATCAGGTCCATGAACCTCCTGAAACCTAACACAAAAATATACTCATATATGATATTGGTCAACACGGAAAACCCATAATATTCACCAGCTTTCCAAATCCCCATAAGGTCACACCATATGGAATCTGTGATCTGTAAATTCGCTCTGAGTAACTCCCTTTGCTTGGGCCCCTTCTGTGAACCTGGTCAATCTCCACACCCTCCGGACCTGGTCCAGCACTCAGCTGCTCCCTGTGCCTCCCGTCTGGCTCCATTCTCTTCCGCAGACCAGCCTCACCTGGACTTTGCCCTGTGGTAGGGACATTTCTCCACTTGCCAAACTGCATCCCTCCCTTCATGCCACCACCCAGCTTGGAGAATCTTTTCTATAAAGAATATCTTTGACTAGACAGAAATTGGTATTTCAATTCCTCCCAACTAGCACAAGGGACAACATTCTAAATCACTCTTCTCCCCTCCCTAACCCCCAACCTTCAACCTCAAAGATCTCTGCTAATTCCTAGAGAATACAGACTACACCCGCTTGGTGTCTTATAAATTCCCTCACATGCACCTCTGCAGCAAGGAATCCTTAAAAACAAAGTCAACAATGGAATGAAAATGCTATCCAAACACAGGGCTATGACAATCATTAACAATTACAGTTAAGTAAGCACTTCCTACATGTGAGTTACTGGACTAAATGTTTTTATATTTGTTTCACTTAATCCTTAAAACAGCCCATTCATTAATTTATTCACTAAGTAAACATTTATTAAGCACCTCTTGTGTGCCAAATAATCTTCTAGATGCTGAGAATACAGCACTGAATTAAAGTGAAAAAAATTCCCTCTCTCTACAAGCTTAGATGTGAGTGGGTGTGGGAAGACAATAAACAAACCAGCAAGTAAACATTTAGCATATGCCAGCTGGTGATAAGGACCAAGAAAAAAAAATGTAGCCAAGTGATGGAATTTGGAATCCTGGGGAAGGACCTCATGATTAGGTGACCTATGACCAGAGAGAGGAAGGAAGTAAGGTGTCTGCCCTGTCACCTGGGAGCACTAGGCAGAGGGAAAATCTGAGTGTAAAGGCTCTCAGGAAAAGTGTGGTTGGTACGTTGGAGGAATAGCAAGTAAAATGAGGCTAGAGCAAAGACATGTTCTGTGCTAACCCCAATTTATATGCAGAGAAACAGACTTAGTGAAGTGGACTGAATGATAAACTCCCTTAAAAGATATGTCCCCATCCTAACTCCCAGAATCTATAATGGAACCTTATTTGATAAAAGATT
The DNA here is from genome assembly GCF_000001405.40 of Homo sapiens. Lineage (NCBI taxonomy): Eukaryota > Metazoa > Chordata > Mammalia > Primates > Hominidae > Homo > Homo sapiens. The sequence goes on along the minus strand of NC_000010.11, from coordinate 104,844,867 downwards.
CTTTGCAGATGTCATTAAGTTAAGGATCTCAAGATGAGGTCATCCTGGTTTATCCAGGAGAACCCTAGATCCTTCAGAAGGAACACAGCCCTGACGACACCTTGATTTCAGACTTCTGGGCTCCAGAACTGTGAGAGAAGACATTTCTGTTGCTTTAAGCCACTCAGTTTGTAGTAATTGTTATGGCAGCCCTGGGGAACTAATAGACAGAGATTAAGTAAAATGCCCAAAATAACACAGCTTGGTGGTGGACAAACTGGGACTTCAATCCTGGCAATTGAACACCAGGGTACCCTTACAGACACCAAACTATATAGTGTCTCTTGGTACATACTGATGAATACACTGACTCTTGAAATTGTGAGAAACACCCTTCATAACTTGAAGGCCTCTAGCATTAAGCAACTGGCCTAGGTTCCTATACTTGCCTAGCCTGCTCCTAGAAATAGCCAAACCTTTTCTGCAACATGGAGTAGCAGGAATAGCTGTTCTTCAATATAAAGATAGAATTTTCTGGCTTGTTTCATGATTTGACCAAGCAGACACCACAGGAATGAGGCTTAAAGTATCACACAGCATCATTGTGCTTGGGCTTGAAGGGAGGTTTCTGAGGTTCTAATTTCCTGGAAAGTACCGTGTGAGTGGAAATAGTCATGCTTTCATTTGTTCGAGGCATGCTAGTTACTTATACCTCTGCCAATTTTCACTGAGCAGCAAAATTAGGTTTTAGACATCCTGTGAAAATGGAGGCAGGCCTCAGTCGACATGAGCAATTAACCCCTAAATATTTAATAGATACTGCGACTGCTCCCTCTTTCCTGGAGAGAAGCTGCCTAGTTCTCTGCAAACAAACAGGTCAGATGAAGAAGCATTTCACACCCCAGTCCCCTCTGCTCCAAAACCCCAGGAAACCCTCAGGTCAGGACTTAGTAGGGATGATGATGCAGCCAGATGCATGGCTTTTTGTGACAGCTTCCTGCCCAGTATTGACACATCACAAGGTAAATGGGAGAAAACACACAACACCTCAAGTCTCATGGACCTAGCAGAGAGGGTGAAGCACCAAGTCCCAGTGACTGATAAGACCCGCTGTCGACCAGTGTGACTGCACGTCAATGTGGTCGTATGGATGTGCATATGTACGTGAGGAGGTATAGGCGTAAGTGTGTGTAACACACGGGCATTCCCTGTCCTGAGAAACTCCTGGTTTCATGGCTTTATTAAGGTTCTCTCTAACTTCACTCACCCACATCCCTCTTCTCCCTCGTCCTGTGTGCACAATCATTGTTAACAGGGCAAACTTATCCACTAGGCACAAGAGGTACAGCAGCTAGGCTCACAATAGTCTTAGAGGCCCCAAAAGTGTTTTATTTTAAAATCAAAAGAATAAACTGGGCTGAAACAAGTGTTTTAATATATGATATTAATGTAGTTGTCTTTATACCAACGCAGTGGTAAAACAGACCTTTTAATATTATTTTATGGGGCAAGGGGCCCCTGAAGGCAAAATTGCCTGGGGATCAGAACATCATCATGCAGACTTGTATCTGTATCTCTTCCCATGTGTATCTGTCCCCATGATACTGCCTTCTCAAGAACCACAGCATCTAGCAGATGCAAAGGGCTGGAGGCAGTCCTTTGGCCAAGACACACATCCAGGACAAGAATCTCTCCTACAGCAGGCTTCCTAATCAAGAACCTCTACTCGTGCATGTTTATCTGATCTCTCTAGCCAGGCCCCACCTTCTTCAAGTAGAATGAGACACTCCAAAAGCACAGAAGCAATGAGAGGGCCAAGGTGTATTTGCAACAGGTCCCAAAAGAGATAAGCAGAGCAGGAAAGGAATTCACAGGTGGGGGCCATCAGTTCCACCCAGAGCATTAACATGAGCTTCCAGGAAGAGGACTATCTTCTGCTCCTTCCAGTCCACACTTCCCAACTGCTTAGCTTGCGTTTCTCATGTGAGCCAAGCCAGGGTGGCTCCTTAAGAATCTCTAATCTGCTTACCTCCATAGTGAACTCTCAGTCACGCTGCCCAGGTTGAAGTCATACAGCTTCGTCAGGATAAGTATGACCTGCAAGGGGTTGGGGATAAGGGCAAAGGAGAGGAACAAAGGGAGGGAAAAAAGGAAGCTTACTTTAGTTTGTGTAACAATATATAATGCATCTCCTATCACCCAGAGGAGGGCTTAGTATTTATCCATTGAGTTGCGGGGTATTATAGGATTAAGCAAGGGGGAAAAAGTTATTAATTTAATGCATCCCTGTAACTGGTAGCATTTATTTTAATCCTGACAGTGCTTGCATTTGAAATAAAACATGCCAACAGGAATTAATTGGCTATTGACAGCTGTTTCTCCACATCTGTCCTCCTTCGAGGTCAGATGCAGGCCAGCTGGCTTTGTTCACCACCAAGGCCACCCAGAGATCAGATGATAGGCTTGCTTTTGATCCAGAGATGACTCTGATTTACAGAATTGGAACTAAAAGGGTAAAAGGGAAGTGGTCCTGATTCTGTCTGTAAAAGGGGTTCAAAGAGATTTTGTGTTTCCATCAACAGGGCCTTGGCAGGCATAAATACCTGAATGCAGACAGGCCTACTTCCCCAACATCCCCTGATACCATCTGCCTTCGACCATGTATCACCTGCCCCCACTACTATGGAGTAAGCAGATCATTGAACCCCACTGGACTCCATGACCACTTTCTTGACATCAGTTGATGTTAAGTAACCCAAAAGGAAGCTGGACGTATCAGAGAGCTGAGGCTACCAGTAATCCAGTTGGTGGTTTTCTTAACCAATCTTGGGCTGACCAGTCTGTTCCCATGCGCTTTCTCTAGCTGGGGACTTGGCTGTCAGATGTTGCCCTACCTGCCTCTCATGCATCCGGGCAGTGGCTTAGGCACAGCTCCACATTTAAAAGGATGCTAAGTGCGTGCACCTGAATCGATTTTAATCAAAACGCAGGTGCATAATACACATTGCCTGCCTGCACGCGTGATAATCCAGTTACACATAATTGTGTTTATCTAAATTTAATGCACAACTCATTTCACTTTTTTCAGCTCCTTCCCATTCCACAATTTAACTTCCTCCAGTTCATTTTCACAGCAACCATTAAATTCTTTCCGAGATAATGAATTTCTGCTACCGAGATGGGACTTTCCCATTCTAGGTATCCATTTAAGATTAAAGAAAAATAATCAGCCATTATATTGCACATTTTTATGGCACTTAACTAACAACAAAATGCTCACTTTGAGATTTATTCTCATCCAGCACTCTATGGGGTCAATCAGCCCCATTTCCATTTCTTCTATATAAACCAAGAAAAAAATTAAAGGCAAGGGATATGATCCATTATGTGCCAAAGGTGACGGGAATATTCAATTTCTCTGCGATGAGGAATGGCAGGTTGGCAAGAAACATCATCAATGGCATGGCCATTTGTAGAATAGTAGAATTTACCAAGCTACCTGTCCTACTACCTACCACAGCACAAATCAAAGAGTATGTATTAATAGCACACACCAGTGGCATGGCTATTTGTAGAACAGTAGACTCTACCAAGCTACCTGTCTTATTACCACAGCACAACAGCAAGGAGTGAGGAACCCATGCAAAGAATTGTTCTCTACAGTCACTTAGAGGTCTTTGCCCCTCCCATTCATAACTAGTTTCCTCATTTATTAAAGCCAGAGACTAACAGAGAAATAAACTTATCCATAGCCTCACCAAGTGTCTAGCAAGTTGCCAGATAATTTCTGTTTGTTGAATCAGTATATATGGTATACACACACACATACACACACACACACCTCAAAGTTCTTCTGTTCTTCATTTGACCTTATTTCATGTACCAAGTCCTTCTTAAAGTCACCGTGTAAAAGCATGGGAGGCTATGTGCAGGCCATGCCAAATTCTGGAAAAAGTAAAAAAGCTCAAAACTGATCTACTAGGAATGAGTCAGAATGACCACCTCAGGCTCTGCAGGAGCAAGTCAGACCATTTCATTTTTTCCCCAACATCAAGCCTTCAGAGGACATGCCTCCAAAATCATTTTTCCCCAACATCAAGCCTTCAGGGCACATGCCTCTAAAAAGTGCAAAATCTACATAGAATGAAGAAAGAGATGCTGAGGGTAAGAGTTTCACTTAATTAGCAGAGCTTCTAACCACTAGATCTGGAAAACCCTTCTCCTTACTCAAAGCTTGGACCACTCCGCTTTTTCCCTCCCTCCTTCCATCATTTCCTTTCTTCCTCTATTAAATGACTATGATATTCTGGCCACTGGGCTATACATGGGGGATACAGAAATAAAAGATCCAGATTCTTCCTTCTAGTAGCTCACAGTCTAGTCTAGTAGGGGAGAAACCTAAGAAATGAGCAGGCAATTCCTATATAGACTGATAGGTGCTGTGGTGGGGAATGCAGGGAAAACCGGGGAATGTTGAAGCACCAAAAACAGAAACTAGATAGAGGTCAGGGAAGGATTCCTAAGGGTGAAACCCAAACTAATACCTAGAAAGAGTAGAAACTAACTAGCTAAAGGGAATGCTGAAGTGTTTCTACATGGAGGAAGCATCATGAGCAAAGACGCAGGCGTTCTGCAGATAAACCACTCAAGAGAATATTATTAGACTCTCCTTAGTTTCTCCTTCCTCTCAGTAGCTGCCATGAGAACATGCCTCTCAGATCTCCACCTGCAGGAAGCATAATTGACTAAGCACTCCAGCTGTTGTGCTCTGAAATCCATTGCTACCTCTTGCCAAGCCCACACCCCACAAAAGCTGCTCCTGGC